>NC_000022.11:17918275-18239129 GCF_000001405.40 Homo sapiens
CTCTTAAAAAAAAAACATTGAGGACCCAAAGAGCTATCAATATTTACTATATGTAAAATTAAGACTGAGACAAAATTTCAACATTAATTCACTTTAAAATAACAATTAACATATCTTAAGAAAAAAAAATTACTTTCCAAGACAGAAATTCAGTGAGAAGAGTGACAGTTTTCCACATTTCTGCAAATCTCTTTAATGTGTGGCAGCCAGATTCTCCTGCCTGCTCTGTCTGCAGCAGCAGCACATATCACGTAGCCTCTAGAAAAGGCCACTGTACACACCTGGGCAAACGAGGGTGGGAAAAGCACATAATAGCACTCAGTATTATTACAAAAACAGTTCTGACCTCATGGAGCGCCCCCCAGACCTGCACCCATACACACGCCTTCCCTCTGTTGCCTCCTTTCCTGCCGCCAGCCTCTCCATCCCTGCTGGCCGCAATGGCCTCCCCATGTTCCCCACCTACCAGACACCCTCTCACCTCAGCCTCCGCATCTGCAGCTCCTTTTGTCTAAAAATGCTCTTCCCTCCGATCCGTTCACTCAAAAGATACTAGTGAGCATCTATTATGGGCCGAGGACTCTTCTACGCTCCAGAAATAACAGCAGTGAACAGAGAAAACAAGCTCTGACTTCCAGGGCACGAGCCTTCTAATGCAGCTGACACATATATTCAAATGCCAGCTTCTCAGTGTGGACTTCCCTGGTCACATCGTTTAAACCTGCTCATCCTCTTTCCCTGGTTTTCTCCAAAGCACTTACCACAACTTGACATACTCCAAATGTTTTTGGTTTTTGTGGGTTTTTTTTTTTTTTGAGACAGGCTCACTCTGTCACCCAGCCTGGAGTGCAGTGGCATAATCATAGCTCAGTGCAGCTTCCTCAGCTCAGGCGATTCTCCTGCCTCAGGCTCCTGAGTAGCTGGGACCACAGGTGCACACCACCAAGCATAGCTAATTGTTTTTTACTTGTAGAGATAGGGCCTATGTTGCCCAGGCTAGTCTTGAACTCCTGGGCTTCAAGCAATCCTCTTGCCTTGGCCTCCCACTGGGATTACAGGTGTGAGCCACCACACTCAGCCTCTAAATGTTATTTACTTACAATCCATCTTTCTGCTACAATGTAAGTTCTGGAAGGGTGAGGATTTTTGCCATTTTATTCACTGTTGCGTCCTTGCACCTGGAACAGTCCCTGGACCACAACAGGTGGTGCACAGTGAGGACCACTTGATGAACAAACGGCTGTGTATATGAACTTCTCCAGGCAGAACTGAGTTAGGATATGAGACAGAAGTCGTATCAAATGAAAATGAACTGTGTGCTTTCAGGCAGTGGCACCAGGCTGGGAGTCACAGAGAATGGGACCCCTACAAGGAGAGTCCAGATGGCTTCTGCCCAGCGGGGGAGGTGCTCCCCTGGAGACCTGCCCTTTTTCCATGACCACGACCAGCCCTGGACCTGGCTCACACAGGCTCTGCCCAGCAGGCCCCACACCCAGCTCAGGACCTGTTCTTGCCATCAGAAGAGAGCCTGTCAGGAGCCAGGACCTGGAGGCAGCTTTGTTTCAATAGCCAAATAGCTTCAGTGTAACTGTTCCCTATAAAAAGAAACTGGTTTCTAAAGAACTGCGGTATCAGTGTCAGCAAATGCTATGCAACAGCCCCAGCCCACTACCCCAGAGACGAGTGAAGGACCCATAACACTTCTGATTCCAAGTTACCTGTATGGCTAACATCTGCATGAGAAAGCCACGAAGCTGCCACAAGCCCAGGTGTCAGACAAGGCAACATTTCTTCATTTGAGGCAGGAGGACACAGGACTCAAAGGGTTACTGCGCATTTCATACTTGCTGGGCGGTGACGGAGGAGGCAAGTGAGAGGGAAAGCTGCACGCGTGAAACGCCAGCCTTGGGAGTGGAATGGGGGTGGGACAAAAGCATATTTTCTGCAAGTCCCCGCAGTGAGGACTGATGTGGCTGTACCTGCCCCGTCATCTCCACCCATAGGTGGGGCCCCAATACTGCCTTCTACAATACCCCACTGGTTCCTCCAGCCTGACGCTGTGTCTTGGGGCCCCCAGCCCGTCCCCACCCTCCTAATGACCCTCTTCCGGTCATCTTTTCACTCCCTCTCCAATCTGGCCTCTGTCTCCAACACTCCACTGAGGGTGACGGTGGCTTTCAAGTGAGACAGGCTCAGACGCGTTCCGGTCTTATCTGGCTAGCTCCCTGGCTGCAGCGCTTCCTGGAACCCGCCCTCCCCTGGCTGTGCTCTGTCTCCTGCTTCTGCCCACTCTCCACACCGGCCTCCAGTCTCTCAGCTGCAATTCTTTCATCTGCCGCTCTCAAAAAATTGGATGGCCCTTGATTTTTATCATTCTGACCTTCCTCCAGAGATCCAAAGCTACTAAACATTTCCATTTAGCCATCCACAGGTGCCTCCCACCAAGGAAGTCTACCCCACACGGAGTCAAACCCACCACCCACCAAATGGAAATCTGGGGTCATCTCAGACCCTTCTCTGTTCTCCACTCCTCAACCCAATCTGCTGATTCTAACTTTAGAATGTTCATCTGCCTACCACAATCCTGGTGGAAGCCCCGAGATTCCCAGTGTGAAAGGAAAATAAATCTTGGGGCCCCAAACTCACTAAGCCAAAGGGAAAAGCCAAGCTGGGAAAGGGATCATGCAAACCCACCTTCCATTCTGGTTCCTAAATAAGATGACTACAAAGATGACTCCCTCGCATTTTGCCCACAAGGAAATTCCTTGTGGGCCCCAAGATCTTTACCCTAAAGCATTTCTGTTAAAATTCACCATGGCAATGTAAGTTGACAGCTTATCTTCACAGGTACGGGGACATAAGACAGAACTCAAAGTCATCTCTCTGCCCACCTGTGACAAAGGCATATCTGATTGTTTCCTCTGCTCTATTGTCTATGTTATCTCATGTAAAAAGGCAGATTCAGAGTCAAAGGCATGAATGACTATTTTTCCCTTCCCTCAACATGAAAACTGTGTATTTCACAATATCCCACTCTTTCTCCCTTAAATACTGAAGCTCTCAAAATCATCTTCGGAGAAAGGCATAGAACTGTCTCCCGGGTATGCAACCTTAACTTTGGCAAATGTATCTCTTAAAATGACTAAGACTTGAGACTGGCCTTGGTCATTTCCCTTGACTGACACTAGCTTGGACTAGCACAGCTGCCTCTTAATCTTTTCTTTTGTGTGTGTGATGGAGTCTTGCTCTGTTGCCCAGGCTGGAGTGCAGTGGTGCGATCTCAGCTCACTGCAACCTCCATCTTCAGGGTTCAAGTGATTCTCCTGCCTCAGCCTCCCTAGTAGCTGGGATTACAGGCATGTGCGACCACACCTGGATAATTTTCATATTTTTAGTAGAGACGGGATTTCACCATGTTGGCCAGGCTAGTCTCGAACTCTTGGCCTCAAGTGATCCACCCACCTCGGCTTCCCAAAGTGCTGGGATTACAGGTATGAGCCACCGCGCCCGGCTAGCTGTCCCTTAATCTAAACTCGCTCCAATACATCCTCCACGAGTGCCAGAGGGGTCTTTTGTAAGGGCCAATGTGACCCGTTTCAGCCTCTGCTGACACTAGGAAACAATCCAAACCCTCAGCAAGGCCCAAAAAGCTGACTTCTCTCACTACTATTAATAGATGCAACCCATCCTCTCAGGTTCCCAGCATGCACCACACTTTTACGTGTTCCTCACCTCTGCCGCCTCCTCACCTTTGCCTACAACGCCCCTCCTGCACTTGAGACTGCAGCTCAGCATTCCGGACCTCACTAAAGCGACCCCGCCCACCCCAGCCCCAAGCAGCCAATCACCTTTTCCCCTGTGTTCCCTCCCACCTGGGTGCGTGCCTCCCCTTCAACACTCCTCACTTGCTCTGGAATTAAGTCCAGGTCTGCCTACCCGTTTGTGTTTGGGTCTGGCTAGGTAGAGGAATTCACGTTCATGTTTGCACGTAGTACAGATGCGGGCAGATGCCAAGAAAGAAGGAAAAAGATAAACAGAAGTCTCGCCTGGGCCATAACATCTAATGTCACAGAACTACACAAAAGGAGAAAGGGCATTTGCATGATGATTAACTTGTTACTAACTTGTTGGACAATTTAGGGGGTGTAAGAAGGACCAGGAAGCAGCCACAGTTGAGTTCCCTAAGGCATATTAGGAGTCTGAATGGCTCCTAATTATGAAAACAACAGGACTGTTGTTTTCTGTTCACATTCCAGGATGATCCTCACCTTTTTCAGACACTAAGTCACTGGTATTATGATGTTGAAGCTCCCAAGAGTTAGAATGGCTGAAGGGAAGACTCATGCCCACAGGCTTCTTAGAGATGCAAATGGCTCGGGACGAAAGAAAACCAGGTTCAAGTGTATGCACCAGGGCACAGGCTTGGTGAGCACAGCCTTGTTCCAGGAGGGTCCTTATTCTCCAATAAGGTAGCTGTGCATGCTCAAACCCAAGCAGTGTGTCTTGGTTCCAAGCCACAGAAAGGAATGGGGAATGAGGGCTAGCTAGCTCCAAGGCCATGGTTTTCTTCAACTATTTTCATGGAGAAAATCTCAGTTGTTCTCTCCAAAGCAGAAATAAATCTAGACAACTGACCCTAAACCAGCTCAGTGGAATGTATTTTCCCTTGAAATTAGCTTAAAAGAGTATGGGACTTAGGCATGATTCATCAGTGGATCAAATGCTTCTCCAAGCCAAACCTCTCCCTCTGCTGATTCCCGCTGACCCCTGAGATCACTCCCCCAGCTACACCCCTCACCACACCACTTCCATGGGAAGGAGGATCCATTTGGTTGGAAATGAAACATTCAGAGAAAGTGAGTAACAAGCTTGCTTTCTTCTGCTCAAGGAATACTGCAAATTCCCCAAGCTACACTCAGGCAGGGTCTTGAAAGTCCACAGCCCACAACTTCTCCCCACTTATGCACCCCTTGCCCTAGGGGTGACCCTACCCTGTCCGGAGCATATTGAACTATAGCCAAAACTGTGGTTTCTTTTCTCCCAAAGACCAGTTGCCAAAAACCAACTGCCATGACCTCTCTGGGCTCCAAAATTCCAACTGCTCTGGGCTCCAAGCCAGCAACCTACCACATTTTTTTTCTACAGAAGACTTATTAATCTTTACTCAATTCAGCACCAATAAGATTAGCCAGTGTAGAGCCAGAGGGGCTACCAGCTCCATTCCACATCTACCCTGGACTAAGATGCCAGCACCTGATGGCCAAAAGGCCCAGGCCACCTTCTGGTACCTGCTGGGGCCCAGTGGCAGTCTCAGGTCCTGAGCTGGGCTTTGCCCACCCCTTGGTTTTCTAAAGCACTTGTCTAGTTTGCTACAGGCACAGGACTACTGTTCATTGGCCTGCTGGCTCTGGGATACACATTCTTTGGCTTGCTCCAAGGACTGAAACCTAAAATCTGGGCAAACCCCAGTGTTCCCTAAGGGATATTAGAAAGTGTTACTGCTGTGACCCTCTTGCCAACTGTGGCTTACACAAGTCTAACTCCAGGGAAGCCATCTGTGTTAGTCCATTCTCATGCTGCTAATAAAGACATATCTGAGACTGGGTAATTTATAAAGGAAAGAGGTTTAATTGACTCACAGTTCAGCACGGCTGGGGAGGACTCAAGGAACTTATGATCATAGTGGAAGGGGAAGCAAACACATCCTTCTTCACATGGCAGCAACAAGGAGAAGTGCAGCACGAAGAGGGAGAGAAGCCCCTTATAAAAGCATCAGATCTCAAGAGAACTCACTATCACAAGAAAAGCATGGAGGTAACCGCCTCCATGATTCAATTACCTCCCACCAGGTCCCTCCCACGACACGTGGGGAATATGGGAGCTACAATTCAGTATGAGATTTGGGTGGGTACACAGCCAAACCATATCACCATCCTTATGGGAAGGCCACCAAAGGACACCGTCAGTCCTCTCACAAATCCTGGAGAGCTCTGTGTCTGCAGTCAAGCTCCACAGACTCCAACTCACCAGGGCACAGCCAGCGGATCAGGCACATCTCACCCCTCGGACCAGTTCAGGTACAGATTAAATATACCGCCTTGAGAAATACCACTCACTGGGGCAAGGAAAAGCCAATGTACTCTGTTCAACTTAAATAAATATTTGATATAGATACAGGTTGGGCATCTCAAATCTGTAAATCCAAAACTGGAAATATTCCAAAATCTCAATGTTTTTGAGCATCAACAGGACACTCAAAGGAAACACTCAATGGAGCATTTCTGATGGCAGATTTTCCAATTAGGGATGCTCAACTGGTAGGTATAGTGCAAATATTCTAAAACCTGAAAAAAATATGAAATCCAAAACACATCTGATCCCAAGCATTTCAGAAGAGATATTCAACCTGTGCTAAACACCATGGACGTACTTTGTTAAAGGACCTTAATTAAGCAACCCTGTATTTCAGAAGACCTGCAACCAGAAGCCCCAGAGCATCTCAAGCCACAGTGTGAGAACAGCAGGTATTTCATAAACATTGCTGCAGGATGACATAGTAACATGCCCACAATAGCTCCAGTGCTCTGACCTTCCTTCCTCAGGGCAACTCAACCCACTGTTCACAGTAAGCTTCCATCCCTGCTGGCAACAGGTATTTCTTTATAACAACACAACAATGGCCTAACACACCCTGCAAACTGGGTGCCAACAGAACAATGAAATTGACCAAATAGCAACGGGGGGAAAGAGTCCTGGGATCCGAATAAGCCACAAACTGGATATTGGGCTCTGGATCCTGGAGAGCTACCCTCTGGCCAGAAACCAAAATGGGCTTGGCTCATTCCTGGTAAATATTCCAACCACACTAGGTGCCGAGCACCTGAGAGAGCAAGGGGAAGGGAGCCAGGTGAGAGCCACAAGCTGTACCAAGTTCCTGACATCAGGACCTCTGAAGGGCTCGGCCAGGAAACCAAAGGACTCAGAGCAGGGCTTCTGGCTCCCCAAAAACCACCACCAGGCCAGAAAAACATACTGTTCTCAGGACTGGAGGGCATGTTTTTCTATACCACTTGATTGCAGTATAACTTACAGACAATAAGAGTCACCCGTTTTCAGTGTACAATCAGTGATTTTTAGTAAATCTGCCAACTTGTGCAACCATCACCCTGGAGGGGATATTTAATATCTCCCAAACCTGAAGACGATTATGGTTCAGTCAGTTTTACGAGGAATGTGAAAAAAGAAGTTGATATCTACTTGTTGCTGCCAATTCAGCAACACGAAGGGAGCTCAGAGCAGGCAGAAAGCTGAGGAGGTCACAGCTATCTTGCCTCTGCCTGAAAAGCATTCATCTGGGCTTGGCTGGAGGACCTGGAAACTTAAACAATTTTTTTTTAAGTAACTCTTGTTGAGAATAGTGCTTCTCAAACTAAAATGAAGAACCCGTTCATCTGTCCATGTTTTCCCGGCACCCCTCCTTCCACAGTGTCGGAAGGGTACTACTGCACAAATCTCTCTTCACCATGACAGATCTTAGCACCACAGCCAAGGCATCAAACACGTTTCAGTTAAATCCTCAAACAGGCATTGTCCCTTCCTCCTGACAGCTGGGTGCTTTCAAAAATACTGTACAAAATGACAGGCTGTGAGTCCCAAACCCAAACATTTTCTAAATCACTGATCAAAGAAATAAAATAAAATTTATGAAAAAAAATGTTTTGACTTGGAAAACATAAACGCACAGGCATTTTAAGTGATGGTATCCATGGGACTGTAAGGTCTTACTGATGTCTTTCATCTTGACCTTGATGCTGGTCAAAGCTCTCAATTTTTCTTCATCAGTAGAACATGAGCAAAGATGCAATGAAAGGACAGTGGAATCAACAAAGCAGAACTGGTTAGAAGACTAAAGGTCTACAACTTCCCGATATACAATCCAACTTCCCTGAGTCCATTTCACCATCCTCAACCTTGGCATTCCAGGACGTCTGTGCCCTCCCAACAACAGCCTGGCTTGGAAAAGGAATATCCCAGGGGAGAAGCGTGAATCTGTAGAGTAACCGAAAAGCAAACCTGGTGGAGAACAAAGGATTATATAGCTGAACTCTCCTGCCCTGGTTTCTCTGTGCATGCTCCTCCGGCTTTTTATGCCACTTTCTAAGTAAAGAGGATGCTCAGGGCTCTGTCCTTGGCCCTCTTTCTATTTTGTTCTAGCACCATCTTTGTAACTGTCCCCTGGACATCTCCATCAGAATATGCCAGGGCATACATATTCTGCTCCAACTCAGGTTACTCAAAATAGAACCCCATCTTCCTTCCCAAACTTATGTCTCTCCCTGAATCTCAATTCTAGTAAAACTGCCATCTACCTAAGTCAGAACTCCAGGTGTTGGCCTCCACACCGCTCCTACTTCCCACTGCAAAAGGCCGGAGGCGTGGGCGTGCAGGCAACTGTACCATGCTAAGCATGGTGGGGAGGCAGCACAGTGCAGGGTATATTCGCATTTGCTCTTCCTAAATTCCTCGCCCATTTATTCCTTCCTTTCTAACGTCACTGCATTGGACTTCATTATCTCTACCTGGACCCTTGCAATAGTCTCTTAAATGTAGACCCTTCTTCAAGGTAATTTTGGTTTATTTTCTTATTGTGTTAAGATATATATAACATAAAAGTTGTTTTTAACCATTTTTAATTGTACAATTCAGTGGTATTAAATCCATTCACAATGTTGCACAACCATCGCCACTGTCTATCTCCAGAACTTTTTTGTCATCCGCAACAGAAACTCTGTACCCATTAAACACTGGCTCCCCATTTCCCCTTCCTCAGCCCATGGTTGTCACCATTCTACTCTGGCTCTATGAATCTGTCTATTCCAGGTACCTCATATAAGTAGAATCATGTATTTGTCTCTCTGTGTCTGGCTTATTTCACTTAGTATAAGGGCTTCAAGGTTCATCCACATTGTAACATATACCATGACCTCATTCATTTTTATGGCTGAATAATAATTCCATTGTAGTCCACATTGCATTTAGTTTCTCCATTCACCCATCAATGGACAACTGGGCTGTTTCTACCTTCTGACTACTGTGCACAATGCTGCCATAAACATGGGGACACAAATACACCCTGCTCAAGTGTGCAATTCCCATACTATGTTTCTTCCAAAGTGATCTTTCTAAACAAATCTACTTAAGCCACCCCCTTGCTTACACTTTGAAAGACACCATTTCTCTACCAGGCTAACCTTGGGGCTGCAGGTCCTGCTTCACCTCCACCCTCATCACCTTAACCTCCCAACACCCCTGTACTCAGCCCCCGACATCTGCCTGCTGCTCCAGGAACACCCATGTTCTTTCCAGCACAGTTTCTTTTCACAGCCTAGAACACACTTTCCCCACCCGTGCACACACTTCTCTGAACCTCTGCTTGTCCTCTGAGCTGCTTCAGTCTTCTCTGAACTAAGGCAGATGACAAATATGAACCTCCTCATCCATCGGGGCTTTAGGGCCACATCTCCAAGCCCTTCTCAGAACAACTTTGCCCTTCCCTTCTTCCTACACCCAGATCTTACCTCTGTTCTCCAAGCACCTCCCACCAGGTGCTGGGCTCCTACAAGACAGCAAGTGGCTCTGCGTCTGGTTTCTATTCCCAGCATTTAGCAGCGCCAGAACCACAACACACACTCAGATCTTTGGGGAGTGAATTAAAGGTTTGGCTTCTGACTGTATACTCTGAGCACTCGAGATAAATTGGGTTTTATTTACATGTGTCTTGCCATACTTTACTATATGCAGCATAGCGTGGTGGACACATTCACCCACTGCAGGAACGCTACCTGATGCGAGGAATAGTACTGTTAGAAACACCTGTCCGTGGGCCGGGCGCGGTGGCTCATGCCTGTAATCCCAGCACTTTGGGAGGCCGAGGCGGGCGCATCACGAGGTCAGGAGATCGAGACCATCCTGGCTAACACGGTGAAACCCCGCCTCTACTAAAAATACAAAAAATTAGCGGGGCGTGGTGGCGGGCATCTGTAGTCCCAGCTACTCAGGAGGCTGAGGCAGGAGAATGGCGTGAACCCGGGAGGCGGAGCTTGCAGTGAGCCAAGATTGCACCACTGCACACCAGCCTGGGCGAAACAGCAAGACTCCGTCTCAAAAAAAAAGAAAGAAAGAAAGAAAGAAAGAAACACCTGTCTGCATGCGTCTTCATGTAGTGTATGAGATATATCTAGTGTGGTGAACACATTCACTCACTGAGATAAGACTACTGTGATTCACATGTGCAAGGAGCACTTAAGAAACATAAAGCCAACTTTACGTAATGCAGTACATGCACCACGCTTTGGTGGACACATTCACTCCTTGAAATAACACTGCCCTGATACGATGAACAACCAGAACACTTAGATGTTTCATACCGTGGCTTTATATATTGTGTTACATGCCCCATAGGGGGGTGACCATAATCACTGTAATGACACAACCCTGATGTGACAAATGACTGGCACCCTTAGAACTTTTTTTTCTTAAGACGGAGTCTCACTCTGTCACCCAGGCTGGAGTGCAGTGTCGTGATCTCCGCTCACTGCAAGCTCCACCTCCCGGGTTCACGCCTTTCTCCTGCCTCAGCCTCCCAAGTAGCTGGGACTACAGGCGCCCGCCACCACGCCTGGCTAATTTTTGTATTTTTAGTAGAGATGGGGTTTCACTGTGTTAGCCAGGATGGTCTCGAACTCCTGACCTTGTGATCTGCCCGCCTCGGCCTCCCAAAGTGCTGGGATTACAAGCATGAGCCACGGTGCCCGGCCCTTTTTTTTTTTTTTCCTTTTTTAAAGAAAGAGTCTCCCTCTGTCTGCCAGGCTGGAGTGTAGTGATGCCATCATAGCTCACCGTAACCTCAAACTCCTGGGTCAAACAATTCCCCCTACCTCAGCCTCCCAAGTAGATGGAACTACAGATGTGCACCACCACGCCTGGCTAATTTTTTTTTTTTTTTTTTTTAGAGGCAAAGTCTAGTTCTGTTGCACAGGCTAATCTCAAACTCCTGGCTTCAAGCAATCCTCCTGTCCTGGTCTCTCCAAGTGCTAGGATTAAGAGGCATGAGCCACCATGCCCAGCCTCCAATATTTTGTTTTTAAAACCATGTGTAAGTTGGGTTATTTAACTTCCAATTCCTGAAAAAAGACCGATAAGTAACAACATTTTTTCCAAAGGCTCCCCTCTGTAAACAGGCCTGAAACCCATCTGTGCTCTATTTCATTTTTCTTTCTTTCCTTTTCTTTTCTTTTTTTTTTTTTTTTTTTGACAGGGTCTTGCTCTGTTGCCCAGGTTGGAGTGCAGTGGCGCTATCTCGGCTCACTGCTACCTCCGCCTCCCGGGTTCATGCCATTCTCCTGCCTCAGCCTCTTGAGTAGCTGGGACTACAGATGCCCGCCACCACGCCTGGCTAATTTTTTGTATTTTTAGTAGAGACAGGGTTTCACCTGATGCCCAGGCTGGTCTCGAACTCCTGACCTCAGGTGATCCACCCGCCTTGGCCTCCCAAAGTGCTGGGATTACAGGCGTGAGCCACTGCGCCCGGCCTCTATGCTCCATTTCAGAAGGAATAAACCTCTTTAAAGCAAAAGGGCTATGTGTAACCAAGAAAACTCTCATATCTGGAATGTAGAAAAATTCTGTATAAACCAATACGGAAAAAAACAGACACCAAAGGAAAAACGGGCAGAAGATTTGATCAGGCATATCACAAAAGAGGACACTCAAATCACCAAGGCATGTGAACAGGTGTTTAACATATTAGTCACAGGAAGTCCATCAAAACCATAATGAGATCCTATCACCCATCAGAATAACTAAAATTAAAGACTGACAATGCCACGAGTAGGCAACGATAGGGAACAACTGGAACTCTCAGACAATGCGCGTGGTGAACTCGTACAACCACTATGGAAAATTGTTCAGCAGTGGTTCTTGAAGCTACATACACATCTACCCTAAAACTCAGCAATTCCATTCTTGGGGATACATCCAACAGAGATGAATGTCTTATGTTAGCCAAAAGACAAGTAAAAGAATGCTCATTGCAGCTTTATTCATAATACTCAAAAATTGGAAACATTCAAATGACCAACAGCAGCAAAATGATAAGCTGCAGTTACAGTCACACAATGGAATACCACACAGCAGGAAAGAGGAATGAACTACTGCAACATCCAGCCACACCGATGAAACTCACAGATTAGTGCTGGGCAAGAGAGGGCAGACACAGGACAGAAAATACTGCACGACTCCATGTACACAAAGACAAGAACAAAGTTTATGTCTATGGTGCAGAAGTCGGCTCAGACAGTGGCTACCTGGGCAGGGCTGGGACTTGGGACCCTGATCTGGACAGTGGTGCTGTGTCAACTTGGTTAAGCTGGGAACTGTCTCCCAGGGCCCCCAGTTAGAGTCTGAGTTAGAATTGGCCACGCCAGGAAGTTCCGTAAAGCTTGGAAGGTGAACTGAAGCAGTGGCCATGAGGTGAAGGGCAGAGACACGGGCACCTGGAGGTTCCAGCCTGCCCCACTCTCCACACTGCGGCCAGCTCCTCTTCCTCACGCTGGCCCTGCTGGCCAATCACAGGCCCCAGGCCTGCCACCGGTCACTGGGCCGGGGACCCAACTGGACAGCAGCTTCCCAGAGGCAGCGCCTCCCAACGCCCCCTCCTCCGGTGGCTCCACCTCCGCAACAGACCGGGTTCCGGGCATCCCTGTGAGCTCGGGCCTGTCCAACCACACCAGTGCTTCAGGCGACCAGTGAGTGACCCCTCTCTGACATCCCCACCATCTGGACCCCCACACCCCCTGGTCCCCCAACTTGTGGAGAGTCTAATTCTTGCAATAAGTCCCTTATCCCTAACTCCCCTGACTAAACCCTGCTGGGTACACACAGATGTTCACATATATAAAAATTCAAGTTGCACACTCAAGCTTTGTGCACTTTATAAAATGTATGTTATACCACCATTTGGAAAAAAACTAAAAACAAAAGCCCCACAAGGGTATCGCATAAGTGGTCTGAGAAAACAGTGATCTGAGGGACCCAGCAGCCTGTGAATGGAATCTGCACCAGGCTTCACATACTAAGGAAGAACCACACACCACTGCTTGGCATCAGATCTGGCAGACAGCTGGGAGCCCAACGGGGTGTGGCTTCTGACCAGGACCAGGGTTGTGTGCTATATAAATAGCCAACAGGACACATGCTCCCTCCCTGGCAAACTACCAGCAAGCTACCAACTCCGTGGAACCAGGTCCAGAGTGACTTGTCCCTTCTGAAGGGACAGACTGACAGAATTCAATGTGCACCCTGAATGCAAGCTGAGTCTGGCATCCCCAAATGGGCAGAAAGGGACATGTGGAGGAAGGGCAGGGATGAGTCACAGATCCAGCCTGTGGCATTTAGAACCTGCACCAGCAGTGTTCTCAGATACCCTTCTCAGATGTGCACGCAGCTTTGCATGAGAAGATACCAATGAGGTGTGCACCTGAGCATCCCCACAGCAGCTGTGTGTCAGGCAGAGACCCATGTGTCTTGCCACCTTTCACTTCATTTGGCACATTATTTATTGAGTGCACAGTATATGTCAAGATCCGTGCTTGCAATTAAACTTACAGTGGTGAATGGAAACACAGTGCCTGCCCTTGGGGAGCTTACCGTCTAGTGGAAAATACAGACAATAAACAAGTAAGCAAGGAAGCACATAATTACAACCTATGGGTGCTAGAAAGGATATGCACAGGTGATGGTGACTTAGAATAGTAGGAGAGGCCCAACATTCAAATTCAGAAAATACAGAGAACACCACAAAGATACTCCTTGAGAAGAGCAACCCCAAGACACATAATTGGCAGATTCACCAAGGTTGAAATGAAGGAAAAAGTGTTAAGGGCAGCCAGAGAGAAAGGTCGAGTTACCCACAAAGGGAAGGCCATCAGACTAACGCGGATCTCTGGGCAGAAACCCTACAAGCCAGAAGAGAGTAGGGGCCAATATTCAACATTCTTAAAGAAAAGAATTTTCAACCCAGAATTTCATATCTAGCCAAACTAAGCTTCATAAGTGAAGGAGAAATAAAATCCTTTACAGACGAGCAAATGCTGAGAGATTTTGTTACCACCAGGCCTGCCTTACAAGAGCTCCTGAAGGAAGCACTAAACATGGAAAGAAATGATCAGTACCAACCAATGCAAAAACATGCCAAATTGTAAAGACTATCAATGCTATGAAGAAACTGCTTCAATTAATGGGCAAAATAACCAGCGAACATCATAATGACAGGATCGAATTCACACATAACAATATTAACCTTAAATGTAAATGGGCTAAATGCTCCAATTAAAAGACACAGACTGGCAAATTGAATAGAGTCAAGACCCATCAGTGTGCTGTATTCAGGAGACTCATGTACAAAGATGCACATAGGCTGAAGATAAAGGGATGGAGGAAGATCTACCAAGCAAATGGAAAACAAAAAAAAGCAGAGGTTGCAATCCTAGTCTCTGATAAAACAGACTTTAAACCAACAAAGATCAAAAGAGACAAAGAAGGCCATTACATAATGGTAAAGGGATCAATTCAACAAGAAGAGTTAACTATCCTAAATATACATGCACCCAATACAGGAGCACCCAGATTCATAAAGCAAGTCCCTAGAGACCTACAAAGAGACTTAGAATCCCACACAATAATAATGGGAGACTTTAACACCCCACTGTCAATATTAGACAGATCAACGAGACAGAAGGTTAACCAGGATATCCAGGACCTGAACTCGGCTCTGCACCAAGCAGACCTAATAGACATCTACAGAACTCTCCACCCCAAATCAACAGAATATACATTCTTGTCAGCACCACATCGCACTTATTCTAAAACTGACCACATAATTGGAAGTAAAGCACTCCTCAGCAAATGTAAAAGAACAGAAATCACAACAAACTGTCTCTCAGACAACAGTGCAATCAAATTATAACTCAGGATTAAGAAACTCACTCAAAACCACACAACTACATGGAAACTGAACAACCTGCTCTTGAATGACTACTGGCTACATAACAAAATGAAAGCAGAAATAAAGATGTTCTTTGAAACCAATGAGAACAAAGACACAAGGTACCAGAATCTCTGGGACACATTTAAAGCAGAGTGTAGAGGGAAATTTATAGCACTAAATGCCCACAAGAGAAAGCAGGAAAGATCTAAAATCGACACCCTAACATCACAATTAAAAGAACTAGAGAAGCAAGAGCAAACACATTCAAAAGCTAGCAGAAGGCAAGAAATAACTAAGATCAGGGCAGAACTGAAAGAGATTACAGACACAAAGAAACCCTTCAAAAAAATCAATGAATCCAAGAACTGGTTTTTTGAAACGATCAACAAAATTGATAGAGCACTAGCAAGATTAATAAAGAAGAAAAGAGAGAAGAATCAAACAGACACAATAAAAAATGATAAAGGGAATATCACCACCGATCCCACGGAAATACAAACTATCATCAGAGAATACTATAAACACTTCTATGCATAAACTAGAAAATCTAGAAGAAATGGATAAATTCCTGGACACATACACTCTCTCAAGACTAAACCAGGAAGAAGTTGAATCTCTGAATAGACCAATAACAGTCTCTGAAATTCAGGCAGTAATTAACAGCCTAGCAACCAAAAAAAGTCCAGGACCAGATGGATTCACAGCCGAATTCTACCAGAGGTACAAAGAGGAACTGGTACCATTCCTTCTGAAACTATTCCAATCAACAGAAAAAGAGGGAATCCTCCCTAACTCATCCTGATACCAAAGCCTGGCAGAGACACAACAACAACAAAAAAGAATTTTAGACCAATATCCCTGATGAACATCAATGCGAAAATCCTCAATAAAATACTGGCAAACCAAATCCAGCAGCACATCAAAAAGTTTATCCACCATGATCAAGTCAGCTTCATTCCTAGGATGCAAGGCTGGTTCAACATATGCAAATCAATAAACGTAATCCATCACATAAACAGAACCAAAGACAAAAACCACAGGATTATCTCAATAGGTGCAGAAAAATCCTTTGACAAAATGCAACAGCCCTTCATGCTAAAAACTCTCAATAAACTAGGTATTGATGGAACTTATCTGAAAATAATAAGAGTTATTTATGACAAACCCACAGCCAATATCATACTGAATGGGCAAAAACTGGAAGCATTCCCTTTGAAAACCAGCACAAGACAAGGATGCCCTCTCTCACCACTCCTATTCAACACAGTGTTGGAAGTTCTGGACAGGGCAATCAGGCAAGAGAAAGAAATAAAGGGTATTCAATTAGGAAAAGAGGAAGTCAAATTGTCCCCGTTTGCAGATGACATGATTGTATATTTAGAAAACCCCACTGTTTCAGCCCCAAATCTCCTTAAGCTGATAAGCAACTTCAGCAAAGTCTCAGGATACAAAATCAATGTGCAAAAATCACAAGCATTCTTATACACCAATAATAGACAAACCGAGAGCCAAATCATGAGTGAATTCCCATTCACAATTGCTACAAAGAGATTAAAATACCTAGGAATCCAACTTACAAGGGATGTGAAGGACCTCTTCAAGGAGAACTACAAACCACTGCTCAATGAAATAAAAGAGGACACAAACAAATGGAAGAATATTCCATGCTCATGGATAGGAAGAATCAATATCATGAAAATTAATGCCATCCCCATCAAGCTACGAATGACTTTCTTCACAGAATTGGAAAAAACTACTTTAAAGTTCATATGGAACCAAAAAAGAGCCCGCATTGCCAAGACAATCCTAAGCAAAAAAAACAAAGCTGGAGGGATCACGCTATCTGACTTCAAACTATACTACAAGGCTACAGTAACCAAAACAACATGATACTGGTACCAAAACAGAGATATAGACCAATGGAACAGAAAAGAGGCCTCAGAAATAATGCCACACATCTACAACCATCTGATCTTTGACAAACCTGACAAAAACAAGAAATGGGGAAAGGATTCCCTATTTAATAAATGGTGCTGGGAAAACTGGCTAGCCATATGCAGAAAGCTGAAACTAGATCCCTTCCTTACACCTTATACAAAAATTAATTCAAGATGGATTACAGACTTAAATGTTAGACCTAAAATCATAAAAATCCTAGAAGAAAACCTAGGCAATATCATTCAGGACACAGGCATGGGCAAGGACTTAATGAGTAAAACACCAAAAGCAATGGCAACAAAAGCCAAAATAGACAAATGGAATCTAATTAAACTAAAGAGCTTCTGCACAGGAAAAGAAACTACCATCAGAGTGAACAGGCAACCTACAGAATGGGAGAAAATTTTTGCAATCTACCCATCTGACAAAGGGCTAATATCCAGAATTTACAAAGAACTCAAACAAATTTACAAGAAAAAAATAACCTCATCAAAAAGTGGGCAAAGAATATGAACAGACACTTCTCAAAAGAAAACATCTATGCAGCCAACAGACACATGAAAAAATGCTCATCGTCACTGGTCATCAGAGAAATGCAAATCAAAACCACAATAAGATACCATCTCATGCCAGTTAGAATGGCAATCATTAAAAAGTCAGGAAACAATAGATGCTGGAGAGGATGTGGAGAAATAGGAACGCTTTTACACTGTTGGTGGGAGTGTAAATTGATTCAACCATTGTGGAAGACAGTGTGGCAATTCCTCAAGGATCTAGAGCTAGAATTACCATTTGACCCAGCAATCCCATTACTGGGTATATACCCAAAAGATTATAAATCATGCTACTATAAAGACACATGCACACGCATGTTTATTGCGGCACTATTCACAATAGCAAAGACTTGGAACCAACCCAAATGTCCATCAATTATAGACTGGATTAAGAAAATGTGGCACACATACACCACGGAATACTATGCAGCCATAAAAAGGATGAATTCATGTCCTTTGCAGGGACATGGATGAAGCTGGAAACCATCATTCTCAGCAAACTATCACAAGTACAGAAAACCAAACACTGCACGTTCTCACTCATAGGTGGGAACTGAACAATGAGACCACTTGGACACAGGGCGGGGAACACCACACACCAGGGCCTGTCGTGGGGTAGGGGACTAGGGGAGGGATAGCATTAGGAGAAACACCTAATGTAAATGATGAGTTGATGGGTGCAGCAAACCAACATGGCACGTGTATACCTACGTATCAAACCTGCATGTTGTGCACATGTACCCTAGAACTTAAAGTATAATTAAAAAAAAAAAAAAGAAACTTTCTGAGATAACAGAAAGAGTTTATATCTTGATTATGGAGATTATGTGAATATATATTCATCTGTCAATGCCCACCTAAAGGCTTAAAAATATCTGTGGATTATTTTGCATGAAAATTATACCTCAATTAAAAAATTCTCTAGAATTGAAAGTCATTATTGTAAAAAGAAATTACCATTAAACCAATAAATTAACAAAAACAAACAAACAAAAAATAGTAGGAGAGGCCCTAAGTCAGAGAAGCTTTTCTGAGTAACTTAAAGCAGAGGTGTGCAGGACAAGAGGGAACAGCACGTGCTTGGTCTTGACTCCTTTGGTAGGTCTCCTCTCTGATGCCACCTTCCTCTGCAAGAGCACAGTGATGACTACGCACGTGTCCCCAACCCCACTACGTATGTAGGTAGCACTTCATGCTTCTCCAAGTACTTCCATGCAGATTATCCCACTTACAACTCGTAGTTCCATGAGTCTGGAAGGCTGATGCTGATGTCTCTTCTTGACAGATACAGAAACAGAAGTCAAGAGAGATGAAATAACATCCTGAGTCGCACAGCAAGCTACCAATGGCACTTGCTTAAATGGTAAATTACCTGCTTTATCTCTTTTGGCTTCTTTCCATCATTACTACTTTTAAGTATGCCAAAGAAATACTCCCTAACTGTTCTACCACAGGTCCTTCTGAGGACCCATCAATTCTCCAAGGATGTTATTTTAAATTGGACAAGGCCAAAGTCTAGCTTTCCCCCCGATCTACTTCAGTCCCATACTTATTTAACAAAAAAGATGGGCCGGGCGTGGTGGCTCACACCTGTAATCCCGGCACTTTGGGAGGCCAAGGTGGGCAGATCACCTGAGGTCAGGAGTTCAAGACCAGCCTGACCAACATGGAGAAACGCCGTCTCTACTAAAAATACAAAATTAGCCAGGCGTGGTGGCGCATCCCCGTAATCCTAGCTACTCAGGAGGCTGAGGCAGACGAATCGCTGGAACCCAGGAGGCAGAGGTTGCGGTGAGCCAAGATCACGCCATTGTACTCCAGCCTGGGAAAGAAGAGTGAAACTCCGTCTCAAAATAATAATTAACAATAATAAAAAAGATGGATTGCTATCAAAAACAGATTGCTAACTTCACCATACCTCAAACTAACCTCTATCATGACACCTGGAAAGTTTAATTATTCTCTCATAACCAGTTTACGTGATTGTCTCCCCAGATTCATGAGTTCCTGGGAGTGAGGACCATGTCTCATCTTTTCAGCATTAAAGCAGTCAAGATATGAATGAAGCCAACAAATTACTTGCAAGAGTGCACATATTCTCTTCACCTTCTGGCAAACAGTTATATTTCAAGGTCAGATGTCAAGCTCAGTACAAGACTTTACAAACATCCCTTTCTTGCAAGGAGGAGGCATGAGAGGTCTGTCGGCCGTGTCTTGCTGATTATAGTATCTATCTTTATTTATTAAATTTTTTTAAAGTGTCAAGCATGGTACTGGGCACTTCACAGAAATATTTTCACTTCATCTTCACAACAATCCAGTAAGAACTCATGATTCTCACTGCACAGATGAGAAAACTCAGGATAACAGGGTAATTAAGTTGGCCAGCTAATAAGCAGAGGATGACAACATTCAAACTCAAGAGCGCCTCACTTTAAAGCCGTAATTATTCCACTTCCCCACAAAGAACTCACAGGTGTCAAGAATGAAATACAAACTAATACCTCCATAGGGGGACCAGAGCAACCAACCGGGAGGGAAGTAGGTTTGAATTCAGATCACTCAATAGCTGGACATACGGCCAAGCTCAGCAGGGTTCAGCCATGAACACAGCTCCACAGGTAATACAGATTTGGTAGGGGTGGGCTGCCTTTTCCCTACGCTGCTGTGTTACCAATGCTCCTCCTTACGAACGGAGGAGGCTGTATTAGGCCGCTGGGATTCTGTGCATTCCTGAGCTTAAACTTGGCAGACCACTGTGCTGCACTTTGATACCAAGCACAATTCTGGACAACAGATTTGGGTGTTGAAATGAATGAGGAGTGCCTTGGTCTAAGCTGATGCTTTGATACCCAGAGTCTTAAAGGACTAAACGGAAGCGTGGCAGAGGGTGAGGCCACTGCTCACTTGTGAAAGTCAGCCCACCCTCCTCCACACCAGTGCTCCTGGCTCAAGCTGACATCTCAAGGTCATTCAGCACGTGCAGCAAAAACCATCTGGGTAACACGTGGTGAAGGTGAAGCACACATCTACACAGGCATTACAGCTCATGATCTGCGTGAGTCTCAGGCTCTTGCTCCCACCCCTGGCTACCATGTACAGTATACAAACTCCCAGTAAAGGGGTGTTGTGGTTGGAATGTTTGTTCCTTTTGAAATTCATGTAGAAATTTCATCTCCAATGTGGCAGTATGGAGAGGTGGAGCCTTCAGGAAGTCATTGGGATTAATGACTAATCCATTCATGGATTAATGAGTTAGTGGATTAATGGGTTATCATGGGAGTGGGACTGGTGTCTTCAGAAGAGGAGAAAGTGACTTAAGTTGGCACATTCAGCTCCCTTGCCATGTGATCAGCCCTGCACGGCCTGCAGAGTCCCCACCAGCAAAAAGGCCCTCCCCTGACACCGCCCCTCAACCTTGGACTTCCCAGCCTCCATAACTGTTAAGAACAAATTTCACTTCTTTATAAATCACTCAGTTTCAGGCATTCTGTTACAAGCAACAGAAAACAGACCAAGACAAAGTGGGTCAGGGAACAGGGCCTGAGATTCAGCCGGCACCCAACTCAGCAAGTCACACACCAGCTGAGGACCAGTGCCACAAAGAAGAAGGGCTGCACCTCCTGCCCTCTCACAAAGGTGCTGCAGGGGCAAGTAGCAGCCACGTATCCCTGCCATCCCCCTAGGAGGCCAAACTCCAGAGGCAGGGCGGGAAGCCTGGGAGACTGGGCTGAATTCTGGATAGTGAATTTGGCCACATGAAGGGCTCTGACTCAACCCTCTATACCTTATGAAGAACAGACCTGCCTCTCTCTGCAATTCTGTTAAGATGGCATCAATGATTTCCAAAGGAGCTAGACAAACACTTTTTTCCACATGTAGAAATGAAAAGCCCTCCCTAGCTGGAGAGTGACTGGGAAACCAGGCTCCTATCTTCCTATCTTTACATTAAATTAGAGCAACTGCCCTCCTCTACAGCAAATAGTCTCAGTCACTTCTGCCTACCTAACGCCAAAAAGAGCTACTCTACGCAAGACACCATGGAAACTTGGATAACCAATTTAAAAGACATCGGGACCAGCAACACTACTGCACACTAATGACCTGAGCCCTTTTCCGCAGGCACAGAAGTATGTACATACTGTATTTACTGAAGATACTAATAATCCCCTAGAGTCAAAGCACCACAGCCGGCAGTCCTGTACCACTCCTAGGCCAGCCAGAACATGCCTTCAGATCACCAGAGAAGGCCCCTGGACTTCATCCCTCTGAAGTTAAGGACAAAAGCTGAGGCAAGGAAATGCCACCATCTGATTATTTTCAATGTATCAATCAATTGTCATTTTACTATCTGCCCTTTCAGGGCCAGTTGGATACAACTTCCAAAATAAGACTTCTTATGGTGAAAAGTATTTGTGAGTCAGCCTATAAAGAGAACTGATCCTGCCAGGTGCGGTGGCATGCACCTGTAGCCCCAGCTACTCAGGGGGCTGAGGTGGGAGGATTGCTTGAGCCCAGGGGATCAATGCTGCAGTGAGCTATGATCGCACCATTGCACTCCAGCCTGGGTGACATAGTGTGACTCTGTCTGAAGAAGGAAGGAAGGAGGAGGAGGAAGAAGGAAAAAGAAGGAATAAGAAAACTGATTCTGATGAAGGCTGTTAAACCCATACATCACAACTTTATCAAACCAAACCCAAAGATGAAAGGGAACAGTGAAGGACTAGTTCCATGAAATAGTCTAGTGGCAGAATACAGGGAAGAATATGACAACTTTGACAGTAAAAGAATAAAAAATAAGCTCATTACAAGGAAAGAGGCAAAGGTAGGGTAAATCCAAGAATATATCATAAAAACAAAAGCAATGGCAGCCAGAGAGAGGATCAGAAAGGGAAACCAGGCAGAAGAGGCAGTCAAAATCAGGCAGAGAATACTCAAGCAGTTAAAGAACCTTTTCCAGATCTGTGGACTAATTTCTCAAAGGAAAGGCTATAAGCCCTACCTCACAGGACAGGCCAGCATCAAATAGCTCAAGAGGTATTTAATCAGGGTAGGATGATTTACACAAAACAAGCCAAATGCCATGTAAACTCCTGTGATATCAGAGCCCTGGGTAGAATTATAAGCCCATCCACTCCTCCCCAACCTACCCACTAAAGAAAGCACCAGACACCCAGTTATGCCTAGGCCACGGGATGAACCCACTAAAGAAAGCATGAGATGCTCAGTTATGCCTAGGCCACGGGATGAATGGGCCAAGCAGAGTACTGCTTCCACTCCGTCTCAAACACAGCAGGTGCTTCATCCACACCAGCTGGACCCCACCGTTCACCTGCTCTCTTCGTCTCATAACAAGTCTTCACTCAGAACTGCTCCACATCATTTTTCTCAGCCTGCATTTGCCCTAAGAGACTCAAAAGACCCCTGCCCAAAGAGATTCCATCATTAGAGAAGTGAACTATGTCAACACCGGCACCGATGTCAGCCAAGTTGAAAACTAGTCATTATGGGGTGGAGATGATGGCTGTCAATCAGTGGATAATGATGATGGCAGGTGTGATCTTGAGCACATCCCCATTCTCAGCTTCTCTGGAAGAAAAGTGTCTGGGGCTTGGAGAGAGGCCAATGGATTATGAGGACTTGCAGGAGACCCTGCCACTGGGTTCTTCCCAGGAGACAAGGGGTCCCCTGCAAAGACGGAAGTCAAAAGACGGAAAGTAGAAACAGGTTGAGCTTCAAATGCTACACCAGAGCAACAGCTGTCATTGTTCATAAAATTCAGGCAGTTCTCAATTTGAGAAGTAACTGCCACATGCTTTCCATATGCCACTCTTGGGATACAGGAACTGAGAAGCGAAGAAGAAAAATGTATTTTTACTATACTGTGAGGTTAGCTGTTTGGTTGACCTTCACAGGGTATACATAAAGCTCATTAGAATCACTGACGAACTTTAAAACTACACCAATGTTCAGGCCCCATCCAGACCCATCCAATCAGAATCTGTGATGGCCTGGGGCAGGCGTGGTCAATCGCTCCCTCCCACCCCCATTCTAAAGTGCCTCCAGGGCCCAGGAGGGGGAAAGCAGAAGGAAGGCCTGGGGCTGCAGCACAGGCAGCGGAACAGGCAGAGGTTCACCCACCTTCAAGCGGGCCTTCTCCCTTACCTGCACGTCAACCACCTGTGTGGCAAATTCCTCCGACCCCTAGCCTTAAGACAACAACAAGGAGAGGCGCCCAGCCACAGCACTCAAGGAAACGACTTGCCTAATCTCGGAGCGTGTCTGTTTTGTTCAGGAAAATGTGAACCAGCTGTAACATTCTGTCTCTCCAGAGGTGCAGCCACACCGCAACATGGCTAAAGATAGCCCGGTGATTGTATGCTTGCAGGGAGGCACAGAATTAAGCACAGCCAAGTGGGCGAAGGCAGTCCATGCACCAAGTGACCGTGGCTGTCCAGCCAGCTGTAGAGTTTCCTCTCACCCAACAAATCAAAGCCCAGGGTGCTCCAGAAGGTAAATGGAGCCCAGCCCCACCAAGAACAGCTCTGTGGGTTGGGAGGGAGGCTTATCCAGTCCTCTGCCTGGTACCACCTCCTGTCAGACATGCCTCACCTCCTCCACTTAGCGGAGTGGTGTGGCTTTAACAGCCAAGCTTTCTAGAAACAGCTGTGAAGGTCTGTGCAGATCCATGGGCATGAAGTGGCAATGATCATATGTAAAATCTAAGGAGAGTGGCTTTCAGACGCTCAGAGACCTCACCGAGTCTGAAGACAGTCGCCAGCAGATCCCTGATGAAAAGGGAGCTTCCTGTAGGGGACTGCTGTAGGGCCACTGCGGAAGCCCTCTGAGGGAGCCTGGCCTCACACTAGGCTTCCAGAGTGTCTGAACAGCTATAGATGACAAGCACCTAGAGATGCCCGTGACGCTGCTGGGCAGCACCAGGTGAGCCAGGCCCGCAGTTCAACCAGGGCAGTCCCAGAGGGCTCCAGCTTGATGGGTGCTGCCCTAAGAGACTTGGGCCAGGCCTGCTCTGCCGAATTCCCAGCTGCACGACCGTCCTCTCTACAGCACAGCAGACCCAGCAAGGTCCAAGGTGAAAGCAGATCTCATTGAGTAGCTTCTGCCCTCAGGCCCTTCAGAACACAGGCGATGCTGAACTCACACAACACAGCCACTGCTACAGAACTACAGTTCACCTCTATGATGGACACATGCTGACAGCAGGAAGAATTCCCAAGCTCTGCAAAGGAACCGAGTGACATTCTTCTGATTATTTTTTATTTCCCTGAAATCAACTCCTCTTCCTACTCTTTCTTGGGCCAGAAGAAATTTCTTTGAAATTGTATCTATCCTTCTTTTTTTTCTTTAAAATGGAGTCTCGCTCTGTCACCCGGGCTTGAGTGCAATGGCGCGATTTCAGCTCACTGCAACCTCTGCCTCCAGGGTTCAAGCAATTCTCCTGACTCCGCCTCCCGAGTAGCTGGGATTACAGGCAACTGCCATCATGCCTGCCTAATTTGTTATATTTTTAGTAGAGACGGGGTTTCACCATGTTGGCCAGGCTGGCCTCGAACTCCTGACCTCAGGTGATCCACCCACCTCAGCCTCCCAAAGTGCTGGGATTACAGGCATGAGCCACCGCACCCTGAGCTGCATCTATCCTTCTCTTAACAGAGAAGATTAAAGCAGACAGGCAAAATATCTCCAGTGAAAAAAGTATTGTTGCTCTCGTGAAAAACAAAGGCTTTTTCCTGATGTGAGAAGCCCTCCTTACTCAAGGTGCCCAAGGCTGCGCTTTATGAATAGATCAGGCGATGTGCAGCCATGGCTCTGCTCCCACCTTTCCCATCTTGTTTGATAGCGTAAACTGGAGGAAACAAAAGAGCAATAATAGCTTTGCTGTCTGCTGTTTTGGGACCTGTCCCATAGAGAAAACAATCAGTTTGAGCTTTATGCCATGACATCATCAGCCACCAATCAGCACAGAGAAGGTGGAGCAGGTTTTGTCTGTGAAACCAACCACTGCAATTGTTAAATTGGAAAAGGCAGTGCAGGTGAGAGATGGAGTTTTTCTTTTACCTTTTTCTACATCAAACTATAGAAGAGAGTGAGAAGCAGAGGACAAAAACCTTTCTATGGAAAAAAACAGGCACCCCAGGGATGCACCTGCACTCCTGCCCCTCTCCACCTCCCACCCCTGCCAACACTGACAGTGGAAGCCTCTGTCCCATCTGCCCAGTGCTCCCCGCCAAGGACAGAGTCAGGGCCTTAGGAAAGCTGTTTTTGGTACCTGAGTGCATGTGTGTGTGTGTTTTCAAACAGGGTTCCACTCCAGTGGAGAGAGAGAAAAAGACTTTGGTTGACATGGACATCAGTTAAAACCTCTATCCAGAAACTAACTAACCAGTGTTTACTTGTGCGTCATAGCTAGAGGTTCTCGGGACTTCATTATTTTCAGCCACTTTCCTCCCAGAAAACACTGGCCATCTCATGAATGAAGCTGTTTAGCCAAGGTTAGAATATGCAAGGAGAGAGGGGGTGGCAGTAGGAGAGGGCGCAGGGTTCCAGGAGAGCAGGGGGTGAAGGAGAATGCTCACAGAGCAAATATTGTTTACAACTGCAGAGCCAAGCTAATGTGATCTCCCGCCTGTTCAAGCATATTATTACATTAAGTCCCGAACAATGAAGTCGGAGGCAGGGAGAGCAGAGCCGACCCAGCCTCCGCTTTGCTAATGGCACAAGGGCAACATTCCATGCAAAGTTTCGGTGTGCAGGCCTCCTGAGAACCCAGCAGTGCCAGGCAGCAGTGAGCACACGCACCCACTGACGATAGGACTGTGGGGACAGGCAGGTGTCAAGAGAAGGGCACTACACCCTTTCACGTGCCGCTCCAGGGGAAAGCAGGTGGGAGAAACCGCATTTTTAACTGAAAATAGGGTACAACTGGACATGTTAAGAGAAGCACAGGCTGCTGGGTCCTCCAACAGCTATCTGAGGGTGGAGCAGGCCACGGCAGCAGATGGGAGAAGAGGCTGAGGCGGAGCAGGGTTCTCCCCACAGTTCCTGGGGACCGCTGTACTATTCACTTCCAGGAACATCACTGCACACCTCTGAGATCATCAAACTTACTAGAAATAATAAATATACTATCAAATGCCACTAAATATGAAGTTCGCACTCAGGCACTGGGGGACCTTTTTTTTTTTTTTTTTCAACAGTATGACCAGGTGTAAAATTAAGATCAAGCCAATAAATATAGGGTCTAATACCTCAGGCTGGACTCAGTCTATACCTATTAGGGCTGAGTGCTGTCAACTCCAACTCTCCCTGACCCCCAGGAAAAAAGCCTCAAGTCCTCTCTCACACACCATTTCAGCCTTTACCTTTCTCCATAAGGAAGCCCCCAATCCCCATATTTCTTTCCCCATTTCAGCCTAGCCGGTGGTGGTGTAAAACGACTGCCAGCCGAGGGCCTGCGTCTCCTTCACCCTCGTCCACTAATGCACATGAAAATCTAAATTAATAGGGCACCTTGGGCGCTGGCCCAGAGAGAAAGCAGGGTCCTTGGCCAGCTCCCTGCACACGCGCTGCCAACATCCGCTGTGGGCTCTGAGCACCCCTGCACAGGCCCTGTGGGAGTAGGAGAGGCACCTCAAAGAAAAACAACCCGAAACAAAGGCACCAGCCAGGAAGACCTTCACCCATTCACATTCCCGGGTGTCCCCAAGTAAAACAGCAGGATTCACATGAGGACCTGGGTTCTTCTCCCTGAGATGTGGAGAGCAAGGGGTAACACGCGCCCTACTGCCCAGGGAGGGGAGGGGCTCAGTAAAGGCAGCGGGCCCCTCTCCACACAGCCCCCATACGCCCCAATTCCACCAGGCACCTCCCTCCCCCACCCAGAATGCCTTCCAGTCTAGCCTCCCACATCAAAGACTACAGCCAAAGCTTCTCTTCTGCCCAGAGAGCAGAGAAAGAAGGGATGAGGGAGAGAAGAGGCTGTATTTAGCAGGAAGACTGAGACAAAAGGGATGAGGTGGGTCACACAGGCCAAGCCCCACAGGAGCATGTTCACTCGGTGGCGGAAGGGCCATAGAAACTGAAGGGCCCAGCTGCTCTCTCAGCTTACAGGGAGGGGCAGACACAGGCCCAGAGGGATCCGAAAGCAATCACCTTATCAAGTTATTCAAAATCCAGATTGAAAGTCAGGACCGGAAATCCTCGCTAGTAACAACAGGGTATTAAGTGGAGGAGAGTGTGGCAAGCAGGTACAGATGACAAAGCAGGCAGCATCTCAAGTCCTTGGCTGGGTATTCCTGGGAGTCCCCTGTGGCTGTCTCAGGGAACAGAGACAGGATGCTCTTGACAGTTTTAACCGGAGCAGCTCTACCTGACCAGGAGGCCAGAGAAGACTGCACTTTCCCTGGCTTCGGGGGTGGGCAGGCACCCCTACTTCCGAAAAGAACAAAAAGAGAACAAAAGCTGCCTCATACCTTGTGGACCATATCAGAGCAGCCAGCACAGCTTGCATTCTCACACTCTGCCTGCAACCAGGACACCGCCTGTGTGAAACAACGACCCACATGTGTATTCACTGCACACACACGGCCCCGGAGAGTTCTTTCATTTAGTGTAGGGAACTAACTTATAAATGGGACACATCTTTGTATGTGCAAAAGATCCCTCAGGCGAGCCTCTGTGAGAACACCCACCTGCAGCCCCGGAATGTCTCAGCACATGCGACACTGAGTCATCTTAGCGCCACACACATGCAGACAGAGGCACTGCACACACATGTGGACACATCCCCAAAGTACCAGGGGACACAAATCCAAAACCACCAGGTGATTGGGGAAAGTTCCTCTTATGTGGAAGATAGAGGAAAAGCCAATGGCTAATGTGATGTTTAAGTGAGGGCTGATCTATTTTCCCCTTCTCTGCTCCAAAGCCATTCTACTCCAAGTGTGCACATCACAGGAGGACCTGAGGGAGTGGTGGGCAAGTTCCTACAAGCTGCCTATTTTTAACCTCTGGTCTTTCCTGCCCTCTTCCCTGGGGAACACCCCTCCCTCTGCTCTCCAGCAAAGGGCCCAGCTGAACCACATGATACCCCTTCCAAGCCGGAAGATGGGTGGGGAGGGCCCTGCTATCGCCTCTCCATACTTCAGATTTCAAAGAGTATGGACTGAGGAATTTGGACAAAAAGTGGGAGGGAAGAAATTGTTTAAATCACAAAGAAAGGAGGAGTGAGACTTCAGAAGAGAAACGCAGCACATCAAATATCTGCTGTCCATCTAAGATCAGAGCCGGGCTGCAAGGCCACATGGCTGGATTGGCCCCCTCTCCCCACTTCGTTCTCCCAGGCCAGCCTACAGCCGCTGCACGCGTTCATCTTGCAGCCTGGGCCCTGCCAGCAAGACTGTGCCCGCCAAGACAGCCTCTACACACCCAGAGGACAGTGGGCCCCCCAGCATGGCCAAACTGCCAATGAGACAATGTTTTCCCTTCATGAAGAGGTAACTGGGACAAGGAAATCCCTTAAGGAAAGAGGAAAAGACCTCGGTGTCTGCCTTGCTCCAAACTCCAATTTGCAGTCCAGCTTTCTCTCACCTTCACCGTGTTCTGTGCGCACCACTGAGATAGAATTACCAACATGAACTGAACAGTGAATTCTGCTCATTCTGGTTTTGCATCAACCTATCATTGTAAAATCAAAGTATGAAAGAAAAGATGCCTCAATCCCCTCAAGATCAAATTTTTATCTTATTTTTATTTGCTCTGTTGTCCAGGCTGGAGTGCAGTGGTGCCATCATAGCTCACTGTTAACCTCCAACTTCTGAGCTCAAGTGATCCTCCCACGTCAGCCTCCCGAGTAGCTGGGACCACAGGCGATGGTGTGCACCACCACACCCGGCTGATATTTTCTTAAATTTTTTGTAGAGATGGCATCTTGCTATGTCACCCAGGTGAAACTTCCTGGGCTCAAGTGATTCTCCCACTTCAGCCTCCCAATGTGCTGGGATTAAAGGTAATGAGCTACTGTATCTGGCCTAACTTAACAATGCTCATCTTCAAACCGCTTCAAATACAGTTATGAATTCATCCACACATACCGTGTCTCCTACCAGACAGACATTATGTGTTTAATAGCAAAAGTTTAAAAAAAAAAAACCCACAAAACTGCCAGTACAGATCCAGGATACCAACTCTAAGGTACTGGGTTCTCAAGCCTCTGCTCCTGTAAAGCAAGGCACGAGAGCTTGAAAGCTCCAGAGCTGATCTACCAGATGCCTGTGTCATCCACCTCCCTCCCATCCCTGCCACTGGAAAAGAAATCACACTGCAGTCTGGCAAGTCCCCACTCCCACTGCCTGCCCTGCTCCGGCGTGGCCTTACTCCCTCCACAGCAATCTGCAAGTGCCCCCGCAGGAGGATGCGCAAGAGCTGGGGAGGATGTTTCCACAGTGCCGCCACAATCTTGCTGGCTCTCCAGCTGGAATCCCAAGAGCTCCCAGAACGGTCACTTTGGTGGACTCCACCTCTTGGTAGCTTGTTTTGTGCAGCATGGATACCGGGGGGCCATGATGGTGTCCCGAGGCGGGGTGTGCCAAGGTGGCAGTGCTCTCCCTGCCCAGCTCCTGCTCCTCCCCTCCCCAGTCCTCACATACCAGCTGCAGAGCATTTGACACCAGGCATCCACAAGACACAGACCCTGCTCCTCAGAATCTTGGGCTCATCGTGGAAATCAAGGAACAATACAGGGGAAGACAGAATATGAGTCTCAGAAAGTTGTCTATTTTGTCCCTTTTAAAAACAAGATTTCTCATACCTGCAGTCCTAGTACTTTGGGAGGCTGAGGCTGGTGGATCTCAGAGCCCAGGAGTTCCAGATACCAGCCTGGGCAACATGGTGAGTGAGACCCCGTCTTCACAAAAAAATACAAAAATGAGCTGTGCCCACATGGTGGCATGTGCCTGTAGTCCCAGCTACTTGGGAGGCTGAGGTGGGAGGATAGCTTGAGCCCAGGAGGTGGCAGTTGTAGTGAGCCAAGATCGTGCCACTGCACTCCAGCCTGGGTGACAAAGTGAGATGCTGCCTCAAAAAAAAAAAAAATTGGCCAGCACGGTGGGTCGTGCCTGTAATCCCAGCCCTTTGGGAGGCCAAGGCGGATGGATCACTTGAGGTCTGAAGTTCGAGACCAACCTGCCCAACATGGTGAAACCCCATCTCTGCTAAAAATACAAAAATTAGCCATACATGGTGGCATGTGCCTGTAGTCTCAGCTACTCAGGAGGCTGAGGTGGGAGGATGGCTTGAGCCCAGGAGGTGGCGGTTGTAGTGAGCCAAGATCGTGCCACTGCACTCAAGCCTGGGTGACAGAGTGAGAAATTATCTCGAAAATAAATAAATAAATATAACAAGATTTCTCAAAGATTAACAAGAATCCAACTAACGTAACTGAACACTTAGCTCTGGCTAAGTACATACACCCAGCTACCACTCATGGCCAAACACTGTGACATGATTCACCTGCATTATCTCATTTTATCTTCCGAGCAACATTATGAGTATAATGTTACCTCACTGTAGAAATCAGGCAACTAAATTAAGGTTCAGGAAGTTCACACACAGTGAGCGACAAAGCAGGGAGAACTGCTTTGCTAAGGGTGGGCTGCTTCCAACACCTGTGCCCCTCCCCAAACGGTGCCTTACCTGGTGGATTCAAATGTATTAACTATGCCCTCTCTTACTTTTTCTTGCCCTCTGTCATAAACTTTTATAAGCGTGCATGCCACATCTCTCCTGCAATTCCCTATATGATCCGACAAGTTTTCAAATAAATGGGGACTGTCAGTCAATCTCAAATACCGTAGTGCCTGCTCAATGCCAAGGATGCGTCAGGTGCTACAAAGGGGTCCAAACAAAAGACGGATCTGTAAAGCAGAGGACGAAACAGCCAGGTAGTGACCCCTAATAAAACATGATAAGGACAACACACGATGCAGGGGCAGATACTCCCTGTGTGCACACAAAGCAACTGGGGAGCCTGGCACAATGCGAATCTGGGTCCAGCAGGCCTGGGTAGGGCCAGAGATGCTGTGCTTCTAACAAGCTCCTGGGCCAAGCCCATGCTGCTGACCAACAGGAGCTAAAGTGCTTCCAGAGACTCCCTGGGGTGGTCTAGAAAGGGAGAGATGTGATCAGAAACAGCCTGTAGAGGACTAAGTAGAATCTGGAGAAGTGTGGGCAGTGTGTCATCAGGAAGAGAGGAAACAGTGTTTCAGAAGGAGGGAAAAACTCAGGCAAGGAAGAAGCACAAATGCACAGGTCATTCACAGGGTACAGCTGTCTATTTTTTTTTTTGGAGACAAGAGTCTCGCTCTGTTACCCAGGCTGGAATGCAGTGGCGCTATCTTGGCTCACTGCAACCTCCACCTCCTAGGTTCAGGCGATTCTTGTACCTTGGCCTCTCAAGCAGCTGGGATTACAGGCGCCTGCCACCACATCTGGCGTTTTGTTTTTGTTTTTTTTTTTTTTTTTTTTTTTGAGACGAAGTTTCACTCTTGTTGCCCAGGCTGGAGCGCAATTGATCCTGGTTCACTGCAACCTCCGCCTCCTGGGTTCAAGCAATTCTCCAGCCTCAGCCTCCCAAGTAGCTGGGACTACAGGTGCCCACCACCACACCCAGCTAATTTTATTTTTCGTAGAGACAGGGTTTCACTATGTTTGCCAGGCTGGTCTTGAACTCCTGACCTCAAGTGATCCTCCCGCCTCGACCTCCCAAAGTGCTGGGATTACAGGCGTGAGCCACTGCGCCCGGCCAGCTGTCCATTTTAAAACACATAACAGCACTCCTAAACTGCACCACTCGGTTGCCAGGACTTACAGGACAACTCCCTTTGAAGAGAGTCTTACTGACTGGCTTGAGAATGAGTTCGGGGGAGGGAACGACTGCTGTTGCTGATCTGAAGAAGAGTCACACTCACGACAGATGTCTTGCGGAGGGCAGACCCACCAACGCCACTACTTGGAAAGACTCAGAGGCTAAAGCCATGAACTCTGGCACACCACAGCCTCTCGCCAAAGAATGCTTCATGAGACATTTTTAAATACCCACCATCCCATAAAGAACAGGAAAGGAAATCCCACTGTCAGCCCCACCCTGATCCCACTGTCAGCCCCACCCTGGGCCAGTCTCCTACCACGGGTCTTCCGGGAGAAGGGCCAAAGCACTGCTCTCTCCAACTGGGCATCTGGTGATGTGGCCTGGCTTCCTGGCTGGGCCACTTCCTCCACTGTCTCAAAGTGGCACTGCCCTTACTCAACAAGTTCCTCCACAGCCAGAAATGAATGCCCAGACTGTAAGGAAAGGTCACCCGCAACCCTGCAGTGTGCCCACTGTGAATAGGCAGGGTGGTACAGCCGGGAGCACTGGATTAGGATCAGGAGACAGGGATCTGGACCCGGGGTCCGTCATTCAGTGAGCCACACAACCTCTCCACGTCCATCTTCATGCTTACAAAATGCAAACTATGACCCAAGCTCCATCTACCTTACTATTGTCGGTGAAATTCAGCAATGGAAAGTACTTCACACACTGGCAAGTATCATAAAGGGTCTGAGAGATAAGAGCCCCTGTGTGACGCATGACACACTCTGCTGCTGTTCGGATCTAGTATTCATTATCCCTGCTTCGCCAAAGGAAAAACTCAGGGCACAGAGAACAAACATGACCTTGTTCAGGTCAAACACCAAATCCATGACTGCTGAGGAATAAAATGACTGCTCAGGGTTGCCATGAAATCAAACAGTCTTCCATTATGGAATAACTAGAGAATTATCTATTAACTACTTGCCTCTAGAAAACCAGTGTTTAAAATTTCTTTCTTTTTTTTTTTTTGAGACAGGGTCTCGCTCAGGCATCCAAGCTTGAGTGCAGTGGCGCGATCTTGGCTCACTGTAACTTCTGCCTCCCAGGCTCAAGGGATTCTCCTGCCTTGGCCCCCTGAGTAGCTGGGATTACAGGCGCCCGCCACCACACCCGGTTAATTTTTGTATTTTCAGTAGAGACAGGGTTTCCCCATGTTGGCCAGGCTGGTCTCGAACTCCTGGCCTCAAGTGATCCGCCCGCCTCGGCCTCCCAAAGTGCTGGGATTACAGGCGTGAGCGACTGTGCCGGGCGTAAAATTTCTTAAAAGTGCCCCACAAGAGCCAAATCACTTAGAACTCAAGGGCTGCTATGTGATGCATGAACACCCAGGGTGGAATGAACTGCAAGGATGGGAACGGGACTGCAGCACTGGCTCCATGCTTACTGGACCACCCATCCTGGGAAAGGATTTGGTTTCCTTTTCTGTACAAAGACAGGACTGGACTAAGTGATTCAACCCTTTGTTAGCAGCCTATCCCTAACACCTAGAACAAGTAAGCACTGTTCTAAGTAGGGGCAGGTGCCCCCAACCTCCCCATCACCCCACTCTCCTCGCCAGACCCCTCCAACACAACCTTGTGTTTTCATTTCCTTGAGAAACCTCCAAGGAAATCCGCAGCATCCAGCCCACGGGCCTGTGTGTGGCATCTCAGTAGCCTGGCTCCACCCCACCCTGCTCTCCCAGCCTCACCCTCGCTACAGGCCTGGAGTTGAGGAGGCCGAACTAAGTCAACCTGGGTCCACCATGTGGGGAGAAGTGGAAACAGAAAGAGAGAAGAGGCTCAGGAAGCAGCCAATCACACACTATAAAACACAAAGCAGCCAACCAAAAGCTATAAAACAAACACCAAGCAGCCAATCACGCGCTATAAAATACCAAGCAGCTAATCATAAGCCATCTGAGCTCCCAAGGCCTGCTGCCAAGGCAGGGGGTGGAGAGGTCCACACAGGCGGGGCGTCAGAGAGGCCACTGAGTGCAACCCAGGTGCCAGTTCTGCAGGATCTGCCTGATGAGGAAAAGGCTGGTCTATGCATGAGGTACTGGAAAGAACACTGGGACTTGGAGCCTCGGTTCGATCCCAGCTCTGTCCATGTGGCTCTGGGGGAGTTCTTAACCTCTCTGTTTCCTTTTCGGGCAAAAGAAGACAACACCCACCTCAGAGCACGGTTGTAACATATGTAAAATGCCTTTTACCGCGCCTGACTCGGAGCAGCTATCCAACAAAGGCTGGAGACGACCACAACAGCAACTCTGCCTCCCATCCCTGACATCGGGAAAGTGACGGCAACTTCAACCAAAATCCTCTGCCCAGCAGGGCTCAGGAGCATAAGGTGTGCACAGCCACTCCAGCCCTGCACACGCAGTTTGCAGCGGGAAGCACTCCCATATCTTTCCTCGATCAGAGTGAGGCATCTCTCTCTAGGTCCCTGAATCTGATCTGAAAGCAGACAGTAACATTCAGCCAAGCTTTCTTTACCTGTAGGGCCTGAACCAGACTCCATAGGAAAAATAATAAATTACCCCACTAAAATAAATTGAACACAAGAACCTCTCTGAAACCAGTCCTAAGGTCAGCTCCCAGCTAATGGATGATCGCACGCCCTTTACTCCTTCCCACCTCTGAAACAACTTCCGGGCAGTGGGGGTGGGCAATGCAATTTGATGTGAGCCAGGAGAACCCTTCCCTGGGAAGATGGGACACGATCTGTACAGAAAGGTCATGTTAAGGCCTGGGGGAATGTCCAAGCCCCCTAGAAGGTACTCTACCTTGGCTGTCCTGCTGTCTGGACATGATCTCTCTGGGACATGGGGGCTATAGGGGACATCAGGGCGGGGGACATCAATACCCCAAGGTCCAACAGACAAGAAACTCCTTGCTCTAGTGTTTGAGAAAAGGAAGACTGGCCGGGTGTGGTGGCTCACGCCTGTAATCCCAGCATTTTGGGAGGCCTAGGTGGGCAGATCACCTGAGGTCAGGAGTTTGAGACCAGCCTGACCAACAAGGTGAAACCCCGTCTTTACTAAAAATACAAAAATTAGCTGAACGCAGTGGTGCGTACCTGTAATCCTAGCTATTTGAGAGGCTGAGGCAGGAGAACTGCCTGGACCTAGGAGGGGGAGGTTGCAGTGAGCCGAGATCACACCACTGCATTCCAGCCCAGGTGACAGAGTAAGACTCCATCTCAAAAAAAAAAAAAAAAAAAAAAAAAAAAAAAAAAAAAGAAAAGAAAAAGAAAAAGAAAAGGAAGAGTTTATTTCAAGAAAAGAAACGGCATTCTGGGGAAGCAGTGTGACATTTATATGAAATATATGAGGTGAGAGAGATGTAATACGGGAAACTATGAAAGAAGGTGGGAAACTCCCCCTGCTAGAATAGAGGTTCCACGAGTATAGAAACTTTTATTGTCTGGCTTACTGTTATCATCCTTAGCGCCTAGAACCTGTTAAAGAAAAAATTATTTGGTGCTACTTACGAGAATACAGTAAGGAAGCACCACTATGATAGGTGCAGGGACCATCGCATTGGGGACCTGTAGTGGGGGACAGAGATCAGGTTCAACTCCTAACACTGCATGGACAAGTGGGAATTCAGAGCCAAGGAGCAGGTGGGGTCAGTGCATGAAAAATCACCAAGAGGAACATCAGGGGGAAGGAGATTCTGGCTCAGCCAACCTAACAGGATTCTTGCTGAAGACGGGCCAGGGTGATCAGACATCACCTGGGGCATGGGGAGGGTAGGGAATGGATCAGATATAGAAAATGAGGGTTTCTGGCTAAACCAACTCAGCAATGTTCTTTGCTAAAACTGGATTTTCCAAGGAAGTACATAGATGGGCCTAGCAAAAGATTCAAAAGGCTGGCTAATGTTTAGCCAGGCAAACGTTAAACCATGCCTGGAACACCATGGACACTCCAACACTTGATGAACAAACAGAGCAGCAGAATCTCAGTGTGGTTAAGGGCAGAGGCAAGTGAGTCAAACAAACTGGATTCAAGTCTTTTCCTTTTTTTTTTTTTTGAGACGGAATCTCGCTCTGTCGCCCAGGCTGGAGTGTAGTGGTGCGATCTCAGCTCACAGCAACCTCGCCCTCCCGGGTTCAAGCAATTTCTGGGATTACAGGCGGACACCACCACGCCCAGCTAATTTTTGTATTTTTAGTAGAGACGCTGTTTCACCATGTTGGCTAGGCTGGTCTCAAACTCCTGACCTCAAGTGATCCTCCCACCTCGGCCTCGCAAAATGCTGGGATTACAGGCGTGAGCCACTGCACCCAGCTTCAAGTCTTTTTTTAACTACTTACTAGCTGTGTGACTTTAATCAAGTTATTCAGCCTCTCTGATACTTAATACCCATATAGCAGGATTCTTGTTAAGGATTAAATGACAATGCATTTAGCCACTGAGAATGTCCAGCACACAGCAAGCTCTCAGTAAATGGTGGCTATTCACTGTGATCACCTCCTTTCTCCTGCTTCACTCCTTCAAAATCTCCCTGGTTTAGGGTAGAAGAGGAAAGCAGGCACCATAAAGAATGCAAGGATCTGTCCAGGAGAGACACTGCAGCCTGTTCCATCCTAACCCTCCACAACAGGTGTGTGTCTGCCCTGCCCCAACACCCGCTCTTACCCATCTGTTCCAGTAAAATCCATGCTCCTCCATCCCACTCTCCACAGGGAACCTTCCTCATGTCCTCCCCCTCAGGAGGGGATGTAGCTATCAGTAGGCTGAGGAATGGGCCGTACTTAGCCAAGGCCTTGGAGGAAGCTGTGTGTGGCAGGGGAAGCAGACTGCATCCAGAGAGAGCCCTGGCTGAGAACCACTGAAAAGCCAAGAGATGCCTACACTCACTCACACACTTATTCCCACCTTCCAACATCCCATAATATCCTCATTTAATTCTTACAAATTAACACTTTCTCAAGCCGATCCTTGGAGCAGCATTTTCTAAGATGAACCCCACATTTCTTCTACCAGCTGCATTTGCTATGCACCTCAATATGTCAGTGACAATTTCCTGGACAACTTCCAGCCTAGAGTGGGAGGTGGAAATAGATCTCATGCCTGAGAAGCCCCAGCCAGCATCACAGAACTGCTGAGGATTGGACCGGGAAAAGATCTGAGAGATCTCCGACTCCCCACTCAGCTGCATGTTTGCTCCAGCTTTCCTAAGGACTTGAATCCACAGAGATTTTAGGAATTTCAGATTTTTAGTCATAAACCAAAATCTTCGACCATTAAACGGTGTTTATGAATGTTTATGAGCACAAGGGAAGAAAATGTCCAGGAAGAGGGGCTCCTGAGAGAGTGTCCTCTGAAATTCCTGGTCTTATAGGAGAGGCAGCTGCAGAAGGGAGCTGCAGAGGGCACACACATGCCTGTGTCAGCGTCTCATGCCGACATCCACACTGGCTGAATCCAACATGTTCAAGGGTGCTGCATGCTCATCCAGAGCCCACTCCTCCGGGGCCCCACAGTGCTAAGCCATGGGGCTAGAAGGGCCACATGTCAAGATCACAACTTCCAAACAGACAGTTGCAGAAAGGGGATGGGGAGAAGAGCCCAGAAACACAGAGGCAGCAACCTCCCAGGTATGCCAAGCTTTGCACTGACACTGCTATGGTACCTACAGAAATCCATGCACTACCGGCCGGGCATGGTGGCTCACGGCTATAATCCCCGCACTTTGGGAGGCCGAGGCGGGCCTCCTGAGGTCAGGAGTTCGAGATCAGCCTGACAAACATGGAGAAACCCCGTCTCTACTAAAAATACAAAATTAGCCAGGTGTGGTGGTGCATGCCTGTAGTCCCAGCTACTTGGGAGGCTGAGGCAGGAGAATTGCTTGAACCTGGGAGGCAGAGGTTGCCGTGAGCCAAGATCACGCCATTGCACTCCAGCCTGGGCACAGCCGACTCCTGCACTGCGACTACGACTTAGCTCCGAGAAAAGAAGAGCAAAGGAGAGCTGCGAGGACAGCCAGCCTGTGTCTGGAGGGAGGACTGCTTACGTGCATACAGGGCAGGAAGAAGTGGACTCACATGAAGCAGAAGGTGCTCACGTGAGAGACACTACAGAGACGAAGTCAGACACCAACTGGAGAAAGATTTCCTTCTTAGTAACAGTACCCCAATCTTACTAGAGCCAGTGATGCACTCACTTACAAAACCGCATTTCTCAAACTTCCTTGAAGCTAGCTGTGACCATGTTTTCCAGGTTCTGGTTAATGAGATATAAGCAGAAGTGTGTGGGTCTTCCTGAAAGACTCCTTTAAAGGAGTCTCTCACATAGAAAAACATTTTGCCTTTCTTTACATTTCCTCCCTTTGGTGTTCTACCCAGAAAGAAAAGAAAGATGGCTGGAGCTCCGGCAGCCATGCTTTGTTATGAGGTAACCTTAAGGATGAGAAAGCTACGTGCCAGGGTAGTGGAGTTAGGTCAAATTGAACTCTCACCTGTCAATCCATAGAGTGGGCCACACAATCACCAGGCTTTAGCTGGCAAGTCCAGGTAGAAGGAACGAGACAAAATCCTGATGGCCATGCAGCTGGCTACACTGGCTCTGGGCTTCCCATCTCTAGGGTCCTTTTACATAAAAAGAAAATCTTCTTTCATGCTAAGCCACATTTTGCAATTTCCGACTGAAACTAATCTCATCTGATACAAAAATGTGAATAGAAAGCCTTCTTTACTGAGAGCCTGGGCTCGATGGCTCACGCCTATAATCCCAGCACTTTGGGAGGGAGGATCACTTGAGGCCAGGAATTCTAGACCAGTCTGGGCAACATGGCAAAATCCCATCTCTACTAAAAATACAAAACATTAGCTGGGCATGGTCGCGTGCGCCTGTAATCCCAGCTACTCAGGAGGCTGAGGCAGGAGAATCGCTTGAACCAGGAAGCAGAGGTTGCAGTGAGCTGAGATCAAGCCACTGCACTCCAACCTGGGCGACAAGAGTGAAACTATGTCAAAAAAAAAAAAAAAAAAAGAGAGAGAAAGAAAACGAGAGAGAGAGAGAGAGAGAATGAAAGAACGAAAGAAAGAAACTTTCTTTCTTTACTAAGAGAAGCTCTGAAGAAGATGAAATGGTACAGTCACAGGGAGCCTGGAGAGATCCCACCACGGCAGCCTGTCAAATGGTGCCTGCATATGGAAGACAGCTGTGGTGGCTGGAGTTTCTTAAGCGGCAAGCCCTGCTACTGAGAAAAGAGCAGAGCTTTCCTCGTGGAGTTAGACCAAGGAAGATTCATCCCAAAAAACCTAAAAATTCCACATTACCCATAACTGAAATCTTAGGAAAAACTGACCCAATGAGTTGGCATAACACGATCTCTTTAGTGGACCCCAGATGATATAAACCTGTAGATTTTTCTCAACAATTAAAATAACGTGGACCCCATTACAATTAACCTATGACACTTTTTGGATAGCTTATCTTCTACTACCTCCTGCAGAAAAATCCTCCCTATACAGAACTCAACAAATCTCCAATTCCTCTGTCCATTACCTCATTGGCCAATACTCACCCTTGCTAGGGCCACTTTGGGTCCTCAGGCCACGTTGTTATTTGTGTTCTGTTCCCTAAAAACCGTCAGAGAGACTGAGTTGAACGCACTCCACACACTGATGATGATGGCAGATGGCCAGAGGCAGTTACGGAAGAAAGAAAAGACAGTGGGGTCACAGCTCAGCTCTGCCTTCCTGCTAAGGTGTCTCCTGCATCGGCCTTGGGCCTCAGCTGCACCCCATCCTCACCCTCATCCCCCGTTAAAGCTAGAAAACTGGCTCCCCTACCCCAAAAACCAGAGGGAGCCCTCGACAGGGCAAGCTGAATCATCCGCCCATGGAGTGGACCATAGCACCAACACACAGTAGCCAGCAGGGCCAGAACTGACCACAAGAAGTGGGCTGAAGCAGGGCAGCCTGGTCTCAGGGCCTGTTGTTTTTGAGTTGTTGGGTTTTTTTATTTTTTTTTTCTTTTGAGACAGAGTTTCGCTCTTGTTGCCCAGGCCAGAGTGCAATGGCGTGATCTCAGCTCACTGCAACCTCCACCTCCCGGGTTCAGGTGATTCACCTGCCTCAGCCTCCTGAGTAGCTGAGATTAGAGGCGTCCGCCACCACACCCAGCTAATTTTTTTGTATTTTTAGTAAAGACAGGGTTTCATCATGTTGGCCAAGCTGGTCTTGAAGTCCTGACCTCAGGTGATCTGCTCGCCTCGGCCTCGCAAAGTGCTGGGATTACAGGCATAAGCCACTGCGCCGGGCCTGGGGTTTTTTTTTTTTTTTTTTTTTTTGAGATGGAGTCTCGCTCTGTTGCCCAGGCTGAAGTGCAGTGGCGCAATCTCGGCTCACTACAAGCTCCGCCTCCCGGGTTCACGCCATTCTCCTGCCTCAGCCTCCCGAGTAGCTGAGACTGCAGGCGCCCACCACCACGCCCGGCTAATTTTTTGCATTTTTAGTAGAGATGGGGTTTCACTGTGTTAGCCAGGATGGTCTCGATCTCCTGACCTTGTGATCCACCCACCTCAGGCTCCCAAAGTGCTGGGATTACAGGTGTGAGCCACCGTGCCCAGCCATCGGCCTGGGTTTTTTTGAAACAGAGTCTCGCTCTGTCACCCAGGCTGGAGTGCAGTGGCGCAATCTTGGTTCACTGCAACCTCTGACCCACAGGTTCAAGCGATTCTCCTGCCTCAGCCTCCCGAGTAGCTGGGATTACAGGCACCTGCCACCAGGCCCGGCTAATTTTTGTATTTTTAGTAGAGACACGGTTTCACCATGTTGGCCAGGCTGGTCTCAAACTCCTGACCTCAGGTGATCTGCCTGCCTTAGCCTCCCAAAGTGCTGGGATTACAGGCATGAGCCACCACACCTCAGGGCCTGTTTTATATGGAGTATGTTCTAAACGCAGCCAGCACCAGTGGAGGTTTACAAAGATGACTGCCTACGTGTGGAAAATGGTGGGGTTGAGTGGGTCAGGACTGTTTTTGTTAGTAAAGAATTAAGTAGGTTAGGGAAATAGATAGCTCTCCCTGCCCATAAGAACAGAATCCTTCTGGGACAGAAAAATAAAGGCAAATAAAGGGGGGAAAAACATGGAAAGGGTACAGAAAAAAAAAATTAACTGGATGGAAGACAGACCTTATAAGGCAAGGCTGAAGGAACTGAACTCATTTGACATGGACGAAAAGCTCATGATACCTTCCCTACCTTCAAGACTCAATGGCATCCCAATGCCTAGGAGTGCACTCTGTAAGCAAAGAGCACTTAACGTCTGTGGATAAACTGATGAGCAAAAGGAGGCTTCTCTCTCAGCCTCATGGGGACACAGGAAGAGAAGGTGTGCACAGAAAGCAGCACCACAGTTCCCGGAAGGCATCTTCCCTCCAGGCTGAGCGCGGCTGTGGCTCCCTGCCCCAGCATGGCTAGCTCACTCCCATTCCTACAGTAGCTTCCGCATCTCTTCATGGGTGCTGTTCTCACTACACTGTTGCTACGGGCTCCGTGCTAGGCAGTGAGCTCACTGGGGGTCAGCGATTCATGTCCTCTTCCCCTGTGTGTATGTAGGCCTCTGTGTACATGCGTGTGCATGTGTCCTGAAGCCTGGTCCTAGGACATAATGGATGCAGAATAAATGAAGTCAGCAAATATTTACTGTTCACTCTATGTGCCAGGCACTGAAGGCAGAAGAGTGAACAAAACAAAAATTCCTGTCCTCATGGAGCTTCGTTCTAGTGAGGGGACAGGTACCACACATGCGAACCCAGCATATGGGAAGGAAACATGCACCCTGGAACACCCCGCCCAGGAGTGTGTGTGGGAAGGAGACTCCAGGAGCTCTGCGAACTGTTCTGGAACTGGACCTGTTCAGGATTGGCAAGGGGCTCCGGGAACAGATCCTGTGGGTGTGAGACTGTGTCCCCGTCCGCTTAGGGAAGGACCATGGGGGTGAGAGGGTGGGGGGAAGGAGGCAGATTTGGAAACAGACACCCGCCCCGGGGTCAGATTTGACCCAGGGGGGCCCGCAAAGTGGGGAAGGAGGAGAGGAAGCACTAAGCTGTGCCAGGGAGATTCTGAGGCGAGCAGGAGCAGAGCAAGGACCGAAGGAGCCAGCACGGGGTCACTGGGAGTCCTCCAGGCATGGAAAGAGCACGAGCTCAGCAGGAGGTGCTGGGTCATGAGGTGAGCAGGGCAACGAGACGGTGCGGGACCTGGTAGGCCACCTGGCAGCTTTGGCATTGACTGGGGTGCGAGGGGAACCACTGCAGGAGTCTGAGCAGGGAAGAATGACATCGCTACCGTGTGTTACCAGGGGCTCCTGGTTGCCAGCTGCCAGCACACCTAGGGACACCAGGGTGGGCATAGGGAAGCCAATCTGGAAGTGCCTGCAAAAATCCAGAGGATGGCTGGCGGTGGCCTGGCCTAGGAGTCAGTGTAGGTTGTAATGAGAAGCCAAACATGAAGGCAGGGCTCACAGGACCTGCTAATGGCTAAAACATGAGGTGTGAGAACCAGAAAGAAATGCAAAGATTTCTGGTCTGAGAACTGAAGAGATAATGAAAAAGAAGCTAACAAAAGCACAAACATAAATCTCCTTCCCGCTGGGTCCTACTAGAGGCAGCAGAAAGGATTGAATAACCCGCGGCCATTCTCACTGGGGGAGCGTCAGCCCCGGGCAACAGACACCTAGTGGAGGCCCCTTCCCCCTCAGATCTGACCAGGAGGGCATCAGTCTCCAAATCTGCCTCCTTCCCCCCACCCTCTCACCCCCATGGTCCTTCCCTAAGCGAAGGGGCACATAGTCTCACACCCATGGGATCTGCTCCCAGAGCCCCTTGCCAAGCCTGAACAGGTCCAGAACAGCTTTGCAGAGCTCCTGGAGTCCCCTTCCCACACACACTCCTGGGTGCCACTTCAGGAAGCAATCATATCTCCAACATGGCAGGAGGTGGCCCAGACTTGGGGTGTGGGTGGGAGAACAAGGCCTGCACCCCTAACCGACTCTGGGGCTGGGCCTGCCCTTAGCCATTCTAGAGTTAGCGCCCCTTCCAAGGCAGGCCCACCCCACCCCAACCCTGCTGCTGCCACCAGTGCCACGGCCTGCCTGCCTCCAGTTGCTCCTCTTCACCACCACCTCACCTTCCAATGGGCAAGTGGCGGGGCTGTGCAGTATCACAAGATCAGCCTTTGAAAATATCTGTTTGGGGTTTCCTTTCCTAGGCAAATCCATACAACCTATTCCCTAAACATTCAAACTAAGACAGACTATAGGACTTACAGAAAAATGGGTTCAAAATGAGGCAAAGATAGGAAAGTGCTTCTTACAGATAATTTTCAAGGCCAGTGACTGGAGAGAGGGGTAGGTCTGTCAATCGAGTGCTTGCTGACTGCACATATCACATGGCGTGTGACGACTGCTGGGAGAGGAAAGCGAGACATCATTCCAACCCTCCAGAAGCTAAAGATCCTGGAACTCAAGGGGAAAACTAACGTAAGTGCGAAAGCGAACAAGCAAACATGTCCTCAACTGGGCAGGCAGGCTGTCGGGGTACAGAGCTGGGATCTGGGAAGGAACAGAGAGGGCCGCTCAGGGAGAGGAAGCACAGTGCCACCGGAGGCACGCACTCAGCAGGCACTCGCAGGCTGGGCAGAGGTAGAGAAGCAGCGCTGCACAGGCAGGCAGCTGACCCAGGGCTCTTAGAGCCGGGCAGGAGAGCTGGTGTGGGACCTGGGAGGAGGACAGGAGCCTTCAAAGCAGCACCGCCTGATTGCAGCCAGGAGGGTAGCATCAAGGAAGATGGAACTGCGGCCAGGCCACATCCAGGGGTGCTCGAGCACAAGAAAAAAGGGGATGGGTTAGAACTGCAGCAGTGGGAACCAGAATTTAAAAAGGGAAAATTATTCGACAAATTTGGAGCACTAACTATGGCAGGTGTAGTTTTAGGTGCTAGGAATAAGCAATTTCCAAGGACCCTTTGAACAGAAATGAAGCAAATGAGCTACACAGGGCGGCATAAAAACCAGCTGCTGGTGTTACTCCCTTCTTATCTGTATCCTGTGAAAGGGCAGGAAGGTGACAAACACTTGTTTTTCTGTAGGTGCCCAGGTTGGTTTTGAACTCCTGGCCTCAAGGGATCCTCCTGCCTTAGCCTCAGGAGCACACCACCATGCCCAGCTAAATTTTTTTTTAAAAAATTTTAGAGACAGGGTCTCACTATGTTGCCCAGGCAGTCACGAACTCCTACCTTCAAGCAATCTTCCTGCCTCAGCCTCCCAAAGTGCTGAGATTAGAGGTGTGAGCCACCACACCTAGCCAGCGAGAAACACTTCTATTCCAATCAATAATTTAACTTCAGCTACAACCTTCCTAGACACAGATTTACTTACTTATTTTTGAAACGGGTCTCACTCTGTCGCCCAGACTGTAGTGCAGTGGGGTGATCTCAGCTCGCTGCACCCGCCGCCTCCCAGGCTCAAGTGGTCCTCCCACCTCAGCCTCCCAAGTAGCTGGGACTACAGGCATGTGTCATCACGCCTGGCTAATTTCTGTATTTTTGTAGAGACAGGGTTTCAACATGTTGCCCAAGCTGGACACAGGATGTTTAAAGGAAGACTGTTAGGGACACCCATGGCGTGAGATGAAATGACAGCCATCTCCATTCTTTAATGACAATGATTTTGCTCCCCTTGCCTTCACATAAATGCGGGCTAAGGACCTGACAGTCCCTATCTCCCAAGCACTGACGCAGGAGAGCTGTGAACACGTGATGGGCCTCCGTCGCCGGTTCCTTACCCTGCCACGGCCAAGCGCCATCCTGCCTCCATGCAACCCCAAGGAGAGGAGGGCAGTGAGCATCTCTGACACCCCTTGGCACTGAGGTGAGACTCTTCCTGTGAGCCCGCACCCCATCAACGTGCTCCATAAGCCATAGGAGTCACCACAAACTTCGCAAGTGGATAATAGTCAGGCCTCACTGAAGACACAGCTACCCATGCTGATCCAGCCAGGAGGGTCGCTTCTGTGTCTCCTCCTACTCCACACCCACATGAATCCCACAGGCCGATCATTGCCTTGCAAGGTAAGATGCCCTGGTGCAGACAAGGAGCCGCTTTACCCATCAGGCTACCAGCTGAGGGTCAAATAGGCACAAGGTCGTGGGGACATATTTTAAGGACGTGGTCCCTACTCTTGCTGCATTTATAATACACAGTACAATCTGAGACCCTCGCAAATTTTGTAACACAATGGCAATAACAACCATTATTGGTTACCAACTAATTGGTACCATTAAGGTAATAACAGAGAGACTTCCTTCTGGGCCTTCCCCAAAGGCAGACAAAGGTTGGTTTGCTTCCTAATCTCAGTCTCCAGGACATTACAAACAAAGGATTCAAAATGGTGTTACTACTGGAGCTGGAATTCCGTGTTCTAACAAGAATGAAGAAAAGAGCCAATCAAGACCCAAAAAATCTGCCTCTCCTCAGCTCAAGAGGAAGAAGGCCAGCCTGCTGTTGCCCTCTGTCCCTGCATTCCACAGCACCAGGCTCTTCCCTCACATCCCTCTCCTCACATTCTTACCTTATATGATTGAGGCCAAATATGCAAAGCCCCGTCTCCCAGCCATGTACACAGTAGCTGCTGGCTGAGGACACTGCTGCCAACGCCACAGGCCCCAGCGAACAGCCCTGACTCTTATGTGATGATCTGCTTTTGGGTCCTGTCACTATCTGCGCACACAGCACACGTCCACATGTATCACTGACCAACCCTAACAGGGCAAGGGTGGGGATGTCAGAGATTAGCTCCACAGGACTTGGACCCTACGTGAAGATTAAAAATTTAAAATCAAACTCGGGCATTTCTGCCATCTGTAACCCACCTCCACACTAGAACCCTCTGACAGAAAGTTTCTGTGAGTAGGGAAATCTGGTCCACAAATAAGCTGTCCCTTTAAAGATCTGCAGCAACTTAAAACCAGCTGGTTTCTGGTACAAGCCAGTCCTCAGAAAGTAACTCTCACTTCAACTACAGAGGATAAGGTCCAATGATTTTGAGTTTTGTTTTAAAAAACAAAGCAAAACAAAAACCCCGAATTGCTCAGCTGGGACACTGGCTGGTTCAGGAGGGCTGGGGGTTTTCAGAAGCAGCAGCCGCATGGCACTGCTGACCGTAAGCGCACTGCTAAACTGAAGCGCGGTGGAGGTCTGGGAAAAGGGGAAAGCAAACACTCCAAAACAGAAACGCCATCGCTGAAAGGGCACAGAGCAGGTGCGGGCCTGCCCCCAGGTGTCTCCCACTCCCTGCGGTAGGAAGTCCTCTGACAGAGGGAGGAAACTGGGCCAAAGGAAATCCATGCATCCGCTGCTCTCCTTTCCCTCCTTCCCCTTCTATTTAAAAAGAAGAGAGTTTGAGACCAGCCTGGGCAACACAGTGAGACCCCGTCTCCAAAAAAAAAAAAAAAAAAAAGGAAGGGAACTATTTCTGTGCCTGAGAATGGCTGTGCTTGCGAGAGTCCTTCTGTATCAGAAAGCAATGACTTTTTACAGGATTGCAATAATACCCGGAACCCCTAAAAGACCCTGGAACTGGCACAAGGGTGCCTATAATTTCAATGCTTAAGAGAGGTCCTGAAGGCATGTCACTAACACAATGATTAGAGACCATTTCTTACCACACATCAGAGAGTCTTCATGCTTTGGTCTCCTACCTTAGAGAAAGCACTGACTCCATTCATCCCAAGGACTGAAATAATGGTGCTGATGAAGATGAGGCCCCCAGGAATAACTGCAGCTATAGTGTATTCATCACTTACTACTGATATACTGATTGTCACTGTGAGTTAAGTATTTAATACAGCGATCAGCCTCATGTGATAGACAAGAAAAAGGAGACAGAGAGGCTACGTAACTTGCCCCAAGTCACACAGTAAGAGCTGACACCTGATCCCAGGAAGCCTGGAACCGTGAACACTAAGTAGCCTCTCTACTGATATCTGCTATCATCTTAATCCAGAAACCACCCTGTAAGTAGTTATAATTATCTGCAAGTTACAGATAAGGGGGAAAATAGAATTAAGAAAGGTCAGATCACTTGTCCAACTAGTAAGCTATAAAGCCAGGAGTCAAAAATCCAGGTCTCCAACCTCCACATTCTATGCCTTTTCACTACACTGCACTCGAGGGTGGTCTGACCAACCACCACGGGACCAACCACCGTGGGACTTCCATGTAGACAGCTGTTCCCAGGACCAGAAGAAATAATACTGGGCCACAGGGCACACAGGCAATGAAGAGTCAACACACATGAACTAGAGAGGAGTCGGAGGTAACTCCATGCCATGCAGGATCTGCCATCTGCTGCCAGCTTCATCATTCTCAGACAGAACCCTCATCCTGCCACATCCTGCTTGACAACCACACACGTTTCCTTATCATCCACTGCTTCATGCCTCCCATCGAATTTCCAGTCCCTGACTCTGGCCACCCAGCTTCATCCCACTTTCCCTGAGATAACTGCCCTCCAAAGTGGCCCCACAGCCTGTGGGCACATTCCACTCCCTCGGGCCTGGGTGTGGTTCCCCACACCTGAGCGCTCCTCCTCCCCTCTCCAGCCTTATTCCAGAACCCCGCAGAAGACCTGCCTTCTTCACAAAGCCTCCATCTCTTCTCGTCCTTTCTGAGCCCCTCCACCTCCTCACTCCTCTGCAGTTCCAAACAATTCAATCCTTATTCATATCCAGACAGTACTGTTTGCATTGTTTCTGTTTCTCCAATGGAAAATTCCTCAGGGGAAGAACCATGACCAATCCTCAGGAGATGAGGGTAGCAGAGGGCTTCAGAGCACAGGCTTGGGAGTTGGACTGAGATTAATCCTGACTCTGCCACACACTTGGCTGTCCAATTCCTAGTTAACTCCCCTGCCAATGGTGATAAAGACAGTACCAACTGTCTAGGGTATTTCTAGGAAGTAAACGACAGAATGCATTTCTAAAGCATCTTCCATGATACCTGGCAAAAATGGTCCATGAGTAATTATTTCAATGATTATGTATCTGCCCCCAGTGTAGCCTGAGCCTTGCTAAATGTGCAGCTGGAACTCAGGAAGCAGCTGCAATTAATTGACAGAAAATTATTGGAGGTTAGGGTTATCTGTAAGAACTAGACAAAGGAAGAAAAGTAAGAGGGAATTCAAGAAAGTGAAATAGCAGATGGGAATGGGTAGTGGAACAGGGGAAATAGGATCCAAGGACTAAGTCAAATCTGTAAGTACTTCCTGGGCACCCATGTGTGCACACACTCCATGGGACTGATCAAGGGTAGGTGAGACAGAGGTTCCATGGACAAGGGCCACCATCCAGCTAAGCAGTCAACCAACACGTGCTGAAAGAACAGAACACCTGTGGCACAGATGCAAATGAACAGGATGGCCAGCATCCCTGGTCTATCCTGGCATAACTACTCGTTTTCACCATCAGTGATTTTGTTATCTTTATGTGATAGAGGCTATTCCATACAACCTATTGGCTGAAAATAATGCCTAACAATAAAAAAGCTACTAAGAATTCAACATTTTCCCATGCATTTGTATTCTGTTCATCACAACGGCATCTACATACCCTGCAAAAAAAAGTAGAACACATATATTTAAGGCATTTACTCAAGCGACAATATTTGATGAATCTGCCCTATGGATTCACAGTCTTGGCCACTGGGCAGTGTACATGCAAACACACACACACACACACACACACACACACCCACACACACCCACTCATGCCTACAGCATGGGGATCCCACTGACAACAGCTCAGAAGAGAGGTAAAGGTTAAGGACAGGCTTCTAACAAATTCAGTTCAATACATTTAAGTACATATTATAATAAAAATGAGGACCAGGTGTGGTGGCTCACGCCTGTAATCCCAGCACTTTGGGAGGCCAAGATGGGAAGATCACTTGAGACCAGGAATTTGAGACCAGCCTGGGCAACACAGCGAAACCCCTTCTCTATTGTAAAAATGACTAAAAATTGGCTGGGCGTGGTGGCTCACGCCTGTAATCCCAGCACTTTGGGAGGCCGAGGTGGGCAGATCACTAGGTCAGGAGTTCGAGACCAGCCTGACCAACATGGTGAAACCCTGTCTACTAAAAATACAAAAATTAGCCAGGCGTGGTCACGCACACCTGTAATCCCAGCTACTCAGAAGCCTGAGGCAGGAGAATCGCTTGAACCTGGGAGGCGGAGGTTGCAGTGAGCCAAGGTTGCACCCTGTACTTCAGCCTGGATGACAGAGTGAGACTCCGTCTCAAAAAAAAAAAAGAGTAAAATTTAAAAATTAAATAAAAATAATTATTAAATGATGCTTGTAAAAGTAGGTAAATAGATGCAAGTTTCACGGAAGAAAGGGTGGATCTGAGGAGATCCTGAAGGATGAGACCAAGTCCAGCAGAGTGAAGAGGAAAGAGAGGAAATGGCGAGAATTCACATGAGCAAAGGGGGAATCAGATAGCGTGCCCAGTGCCGAGCCCTGCCTCTGTGGAAGCGTTGGGGGAGGGAGAAAAGCCTAGCAACCTTGCCAGAGCTCAGACCCGCCCTACTGAGGGGACACTCACAGGTGAGCAGGTGTTCACAGGTGAGGACACTCCACGGGGGAGCAGCACAGGAGCCGGGAGCTGCTCTGGGAAGAGCTGAGGCGCCAGAGCTCCACAGTCGCAGACTCAAACCGGAGACCTCACCAGACCCTGGCTCGGGCAAGCTTCCTCAGGCTACATTTCCCCACCACAAAACAAAGATATATTAGTATGTGCCTCTTATGGATGTAATGATTTTGAGGTGAGGTTCAAATAAACAACCAACCTGAAATGCCTGGGAGAGTGTCCAACTGAGAGCCGATACTCAAAGAGTGATATAATAATTACCACAACCACTAATGCCCCAACGAGCCGCTGAAAGAAAGGCCGGTTCCACACTTTAGCTCACCTTCCTCAAACAGATGTGGCCACCAAACAGTTTGACGTAGGATATATGGAAAGCATACTAAAGGAGCTCGAGGGGAGTTAGGCGCTTTTAGATTAGCATGGGGCGACAAACTTCAAACATGCCTTGTGACCAAAAACTATGAATTCAACATTTTAAATAGATTTGTATTTTATTAACTACAAATAAATGGTCTCATGGGTAAATTAACCAATGCAAAAAATGGTCAGTTTTTAAAGACTTTATAAACAAAATTATCCCCCAACACACAAAGTCAAAAATATGTAAAATTCAATGACTTATTAAGAACATTCTTTAACTTTCTCCAGAAGACTTTTTTTTTTCTTTTTGACATGGAGTCTCACTCTGTCACCCAGGCTGGAGTGCAGTAGCAGGATCTCAGCTCACTGCAACCTCCACCTCCCGGGTTCAAGCAATTCTGCCTCAGCCTCCCGAGTAGCTGGGATTACAGGCGTCCGCCACCACACCCAGCTAATTTTCTGTATTTTTAGTAGAGACAGGGTTTCACTATATTGGCCAGGCTGGTCTTGAACTCCTGACCTCGTGATCCACCTGCCTCGGCCTCCCAAAGTGCTGGGATTACAGGCATGAGCCACTGCACCCGGCCAAATGAGGACTCTTGTAGAAATACATGTGCTTTTCTCTAAGGGACGAGAAAGAAATGTAAAATGAGCAGTTTGTCCGCAGATCGTGCTTCTTGGGTTGGTCTGGAGCCGACAGGCGTTGTGGAATGACAGTGTCCATCTGGAGATTAAAATGAGAACTCCTTTGTTCTAGGCAAGACACATGCTTTTTTTTCTCTTCCTTCCTTCTTCCTTCTTCCCTGCCACCTTTATTCCTTTTTTGGTTTATCTTAGAAATGATTTAAGGCAACATGGGCCCTTGATCTGTGAGGAGGTGAGGCAGGACTGTTACTCTGTTCTGTGGAATTCTAGAAACTTATTTTGGGACTTTGGAGGTATTCGCTTTTTCCTAAGCTCTCAGAATCATTTTTGAGAAGCAGCCGATGCTGCTAGCCAGAACAGCTGTGAGAAGCGCAGCGTCTAGGATGGCCTCTTTGCCGACACCCTGGGATGGGTGCATGCTTCCTCATGTTTTAGAGAGAACTGAGGCTCTCAGCTCTCCCTGTGTGCTGGGATGCCGTCTGTGACTTGCCTGAGAAAATACCTATGGAATGAGTGTGAGGGCCTCATGAGGTCACGTCCACGAAAGCACTGGGAGCTCGTCAGAGGAGAAGGGCACTCTGAGGCCACATAGTCGGTAATCAGACTTCCCTTTGGTCCACATCTCTGCCCTGGCTGCCAGGATTCACAGTGTGCAGAGGGACTGGGCCGTTGCTCCAGCCGCTCCAGCAGGTTAGCAGGCTCTGTGCCACTGTCCCCAGAGAAGTCTCCCTGAGTGGGGTCTGTGGGCTCTTCTCTCGGTCCCACCTTCAACACCCACTTTTCTCAGCCTGGTGAGAAGGGAGGACAGATGGCTTCCCCTCCACTGTCCCCCGCCCATGTTGTTGAATGGGATTTGAGAATGGACGCCAGGTTCTAAATCTGCCATTCCGTCTGTCCTTGAGTGAGCGGCTGACCAGCTGCTGGCCCATGCTTAGAGGATGTTCGTGGTCTGCCCCAGGGCCCACTGGTCCTTGAGTGAGCGGCTGACCAGCTGCAGGGCCATGATCAGAGGATCTTCGTGATCTGCCGCAGGGCCCACTGGTTGGAGGCCCCTTTGGGAGTCAGATAACAGAACTCTGCAGTCACGGCTGTGACCGACTCACTATGTGGCAGATGGGCTTCTGTGCTTTTTAGTTCTCACTTCCTGAGAAGTGTCAGGTTTCAGCACTAATATCATGTATACATTTTAAAAAATCCAAAATCAGAAGCAGAATTTAGTAATTCCCCACCACTTCCTATGTTCCCTCCTCTAACACCTGTAATATTCCTGGCACACAGTAGGTGCCTTAAACAGGTCCTTGAATTGGGGTTGGTGAGAAAAGGTGCTAAGTCTGTCTTTCCAAGCCATTTAATTGAGCAGCATTTTTTTTTAATGTGGAAAATTTTTTTATCTGTTACGTCTTTCCTATTATATTTATCTTGTCCTTGATTTCAGCACCCCACCCGATTTGCAGGCAGTGCTTTCTAAACTGTGCCCTGTGAGCTGTTAAAAAGTCTTCTGGAGGCCGGGCATAGTGGCACACACCTGTGATCCCAGCATTTTGGGAGGTCGAAGTGGGCAGATTGCTTGAGCTCAGGAGTTCGAGACCAGCCTGGGAAACACGGCAAAACCCCGCCTCTGCCAAAAAAATTAGCTGGGCACAGTGACATATGCCTGTAAGTCCCAGCTACTCAGGTGGCTGAGGTGGGAAGACCACTTGAGCCCCAGAGGCGGAGGTCGCAGTGAGCTGAGATTGCACCACTGCACTCCAGCTTGGGCAACAGAGCAAGACCCCGTGTCAGAAAAAAAGGGGGGGGCTGGGCGCTCATGCCTTCAATCCCAGCACTTTGGGAGACTGAGGCAGGCAGATCACTTGAGGTCAGGAGTTTGAGACCAGCCTGGCCAACATGGTGAAACCCCATCTCTACTAAAATACAAAAAATTAGCTGGGCATGGTGTTGTGTGTCTGTAATCCCAGCTACTTGGGAGGCTGAGGCCTCCTCAGCCTCAGCAGGAGAATCGCTTGAACCCGGGAGGCGGAGGTTGCAGTGAGCTATCGCACCATTGCACTCCAGCCTGGGCGACAGTGCAAGACTCCATGTCAAAACAAACAAACAAAAAACCTCATCATTCATCTAGCATTGACTGCATTCATCTAGCATTCATCTAGCATTCATCTAGCATACATCTAGCATTCATCTAGCATACACAGGCACCAGACACTGTGTTGGGGCTAAGCACAGAATGTGAACAGAACTCCTATGTCTCCTGTGCCCCAGAGATGGAAGGACAGTGGTGGACACAGCCATCGGTGTAAAAACGTCAATATATAGATACATCCATACTTACACACTGTGAGAAAAAGAACAGCAGAACCTAAGACAGAACATCGGAAGGGGCCCCCTGGCCCTTCAGGTGGTAATGAAGAGGTATCCAGCCCGACCCGGGAGGGAGGATGCCCAGGGAAAGGAGGAGCTTGCTCCAGGGGCAGAAGCAGCACACGTGCACCGGCACAGGCGACAATGCACATGGCCTTCCAGGACCACCGGCCAGTGGGCTCAGGGCTCAGTGAGAGAGGAAGAGGAGGATGGCAAGGCAGGCAGGCCACTCCACACAAGGCCAGGCAAGGCCTCTTAACGAATCTGGATGCAAGGACCTTGCTTTTTCCTACATCTTTCATTGTTCCCAAGCCCAGTGCGCTCCTCAAGGCAAACACTAAGAACACATGCTCAGTTCAGCAAATCAGTTACAAACCAGTGGCTATTTAATAAGCAAGGTACTGTTAAAATCTTGGCCCTCAAATTTTATAATTTGGTTTGTAGAAAAAAGGAACCAGACCATCCCATCTCAAACAAAAAACAAAAAAATCTTGAGACAAGAAAATATATATCCTGAGGCAGTATCTGATTAAACACCAGATGAAATGTTCAAGTCACATGGTCCACTGGAAGGGGAAATAATTCCCAGGTAAGGTGGTGACAACGGGTTTCCCAAAGAGGGTGGGACTCCAAGTAGAAACTGAAATCTGGAGCGAACCAGGCTAAGCTACCTGGGAGGGTGGACCAGGCACACGCAACAGGTGAACGGACGTACGGGAGTAGGGACAGCAAGGCACATCGGGGAGGGGTAAGCACACAGAAAGGTTGAGCCCGCCTACAACACACAACAGCCCATCCCGGGCAGCTCACCCCCATCTTCAGGGCCTTGGAGGCAGAAGGAAGATTCCCACAGGTCAGGGTCCGGGGCTGGTCTCCTGGCAGGCACACTTTGGGGCAGCAGGAGAAGGAAGGTGAGTAAGACTGTCTGCCCCAGGAAAAAGGGCAAGGGCAGAGAGCTATGGATCTCATTCACTGGGATAAAAAATTAAGTGCCAAGGAGGGAGAGGAAAGGGAGGAAAAATAATCCAAATTGTTGTAGTATTGTGCAACTGAAATTCCATGCATAAGCCAGGAAATTCAAAGGTCACAGTTCCCACAGCAACTGTAACCTGACCCGTCAGCTTAAGTAGCCTTTGGCACTGCCAGCCCCCAAGCGCCTGCAGCCCCTACAATGCCCACCCAGACCTGCCCTCAGGCCCCTGCACGTCAGGCATGTTGCGCCTTGCCCAGCCGGGCCCACGTGGGCTGCCCACCTCTGGCTACAAGGGGCCCTCAGCCATGCCCAATAGTTCTCAGTTCTTTAAGGAGCATCCTGTGACTCCGAGCCTACTTGCTGTGGGTCTTTACTTCTGACTCTTCTGTGGGGTGAGTAAGCCTCCTTCACCACCCAGATGGGGGGAAAAGGGAGAAGAGAGGTGTGTGCATGCAGACAGAGGCGCTGCTACCACCCTCTTCACTCATGCCCTGTGGCATCAACACTTGCCAAGCCTCACCATGGGGAAAACAAAGGTGGGGGGAGCCTGGGGAGGGAATGTTGTAGTTCAAAGGACATCAGAAAAGACGGCTTACCAAATGGGAGAAACTTTCTACCAGTCTGAAATCTGATAAGAGACTTACTTCTGTAGGGTATGTAACTGAGCATATGATCCTTCCCAACAGGGCCTGGGACACCGGCTTGATCATCATGAGGCCCAGGACGGAGCCACACATAGGTCATGATAGTGGAAGCAGCACAGGGTGTGAAGCTGATGGCCACAACCGACCCCTTCCAGCCCCACTGTGGAACCGGGGTGGCAGTTCAGAGTTTGGGTGTCTGCTGTGTGCAGAAGGGAGACCAATCAGAGCCAGGCTTAGACGCAGGCAAATCATGGGCCCTTTCGAAAAGACAGGCTGGCCAAGTGCGATGGCTCACACCTGAAATCCCTGCACTTTGGAAGGTCGAGGCAGGAAGATGAGTTGAGCCCGGGAGTTTGACACCAGCCTGGGCAACACGGTGAGACGCCGTCTCTACAAAAAATTAGCCAGGCATGGTGGCACGCACTTGTGGTCCCAGCTACTGGGGAGGCTGAGGTGGGAGGATCATTTGCACCTGGGAGGTCGAGGCTGCAGTAAGCTGTGGTCGCACCACTGCACTCCAGCAACACAGTGAGATGCTGTCTCAAAAGAGATTAAATTTAAAAATGTTTAAGATACATAAATAAAAAACAAGTCCCCTGAGCTCCTCCTCCTATTTATCACAACAGAAAAGACTGAAGACTCACCCAAAAATGGTTTATATCCTGGAAATCATACTTCCCTCTGGGCCATGGTTTATGTGAGCTGCCAAAATTCCAGGCTCAGGGCAAAGAATGACTTTCCTGTTACTCTGGCTCCCAGGGTGAACACAGGTAAGGAAAGTGACGAGGCAGTCAAGAGCAAAGCCCAGCTCCCTAGGGCTTTGTGAGGAAGACCAGCTCCACCACCCTGCTGTCTGCCCTGGGCCTGGCCCTCAACAGTGCTGATAAAACAGGCTTCAGGGGACTGCTGTGAGAAGTAAGTGATGGTATGTACAGCAGAGCCTATGCTGCATGGCCTGGCACACAGAAGTTGCTCAATAAACGGGAATTACTAGTACTGCTGCTATTTCCACATTTCATGTTTTACTCAAACCTGATACATTTATAAGAGCTGTGTGAGGCCAGGTGTGGTGGCTCACGCCTATAATCCCAACACTTTGGGAGGCCAAAGGAGGAGAATTGCTTGAACCTGGGAGGTGGAGGTTGGCGTTCCAGACCAGCCTGGCCAACATGGCAAAACCTTGTCTCTACTAAAAATAAAAAATTAGCTGGGCATGGTGGCACGCACCTGTAATTCCAGCTACTTGGGAGGCTGAGGCAGGAGAATCGCTTGAACCTGGTAGACAGAGGTTGTAGTGAGCCGAGATGGCACCACTGCACTCCAGCCTGGATAACAGAGCAAGACTCCGTCTTAAAAAAAAAAAAAAAAAAAAAAAGCTGTGTGCCACTGAGTCCTGGTTATTTCACAGCACAGTGGTAGCACGTAATATGTGCTTACTGTGTGATGAGCACTACTGTGCATGCTGTTCTCTTGAACTTTACACACTAGAGTTCTTCAGTCCTCACAATAACCTCATGAGGTAGATTCTGTGGATGAAGAAACAGAAATTGAGTCATTTATCAAGGCTGTATGGTTTCTATGTGGTAGAAGACAGAGCTGGGCCCAGGCAGCTGGACTCTGGAGCCCCAGCATGGACCACATCACACCCATCCTCAAAGCATGGAAACATTCCCAGGAATAAAGCAGGCAAAGGCCAGCGTGGCACAGATTCCAAAAACAGCTCAAGACTGACTTCTTTGAAAGAACTGTCAGTCTCAGGTCAGCCTTGTGATCACAAACCCACAAGAAAATGGTTCTAAGTTCTGCAGAAGGGAAAGGCCAGAACAATGCAAGAAGCCGCAGTCAAGCTGCAGTCACCACAATCATCGTGTGATGGGAAGTGGCTCTACTCAGAATGGGAACAGGACCACGCTTCAGTTCAAAATTACACTTGCTAGAAAGTCACCCAAGGATCTTGGTGGCTCACGGCTGACAGTGAATGAAAAGCCCGCAAATTTAAAAAAAAATCTCATACCCTACTTGACTGACTTCCTAACAAATTCCCACAACTTTCTGGTATTTCTGAGAACTTCTTACACTCTGCACTCTTCCTTACCCAGCTTTCCCTTGCCTTCCATATTTTTCCGCTCCCATGCCCCACACCCAGCCCCCCAGCTACAGGACTTATACTCACTTGTTCAGATTATGCACAAAGAAAAAAATTCAACGAATTCATTTACCCCAATTTAGAAATGGAAATACCTGATAAAGAGAGCTAAAAGGGATACAGAACAAACCAGGTATGAAATAGCACATTTTCAAGTCACCCCAAGTGTGTCCCCAAAAAACAGAACCCAGCACTGTCCCAAGAGTGAGTTACACAGACTCTCCTGAACACCCTCCTGGCATATGTCCTCATGTTTGGGACACAGGATTTGCTATTAAAGAGTGCTGCACTTTGGGAGGCTGAGGTGGGCAGATCACGAGGTCAGAAGTTTGAGGCCAGCCTGATCAACATGATGAAACCCCATCTCTACTAAAAATACAAAAATTAGCCGGGCGTGGCAGTACATACCTGTAATCCCACTACTCAGGAGGCTGAGGCAGGAGAATCGCTAGAACCGGGAGGCAGAGGTTGCAGTGAGCCGAGATAACACCATTGCACTCCAGCCTGGGCGACAGAGCCAGACTGGGTCTCAAAAAAAAAAAGAGTGCTACATGGCTCAAAGCCGGAGCAAATAAGACGGCCAACAGAACATCAGTATGTAAGTTAAATGTTTTATTTCTTTCTAATCTTATCTGAACAATATAGGCAGAGATGGACTGCCAAAATATGTTGTGGGGATCAGGGTAGAAGACAGTTTAAGTTTTTCATTCTGGTAACTTGTCCACATAACCCAAATTCATTTCTTGCTGTTAAATTCCGTGTCTTATACTAGAGTAAATAAAGCTGAAAATCTCATTAGATAACACGAGGGAGTTAAGGTTACACTGGGAAACAGCACTGCCCGATTTTCTTGGCTTTTGCTTAAATGTAACCTCAGTACACTTGTATCCAACCTCCAGCTATTCCCAGAAGCCTGGAACCAATCACTGTGTTCAGCAGTCATCAGTTTATGGCTGGTTTTTTATTTTAAATCAGTGGCATGATGAATAAAATATACATGTATATATGTGTATATATATGTGTGTGTGTGTGTGTGTGTGTGTGTATATATATATATATATATATATATATATTTTTTTTTTTTTTTTTTGAGACAGAGTCTCACTCTGTCGCCCAGGCTGGAGTACACTGGCGCGATCTCGGCTCACTACAAGCTTTAAAGAGCTTTTGTGACTTAGTTTCTGCTTTCAAAGGATTTTAAGTTTGCAAAAGCTATAACAGTCACCAAACATAAGTTCTGAGTATTAAAGGTTATGGGACTGTTACAGACTACTTAGTTCTAGAGACTTCTTCTTTTTTTTTTTTTTTAGATGGAGTCTTGCTCTGTCGCCCAGGCTGGAGTGCAGTGGCGTGATCTCGGCTCACTGCAAGCTCCGCCTCCCAGGTTCACGCCATTCTCCTGCCTCAGCCTCCCAAGAAGCTGGGACTACAGGCGCCCGCCACCATGCCCGGCTAATTTTTTGTATTTTTAGTAGAGACGGGGTTTCACCGTGTTAGCCAGGATGATCTCGATCTGACCTTGTGATCCGCCCACCTCCGCCTCCCAAAGTGCTGGGATTACGGCGTGAGCCACCACGCCCGGCAGAGACTTAACTACAATAGAAACATCTGAAAGCACAGAAAACTGATGTGCAAATCCAGGTTTACTCAAGAATCGAGAGTAAATTTGACATCACCAAAATTAAAAACGTGTATGCTTCAAAGCATAAAAGACACCATCCAGAAAGTGAAAACACACCTACAGAATAGGGAAAAATATCTGCAAATCAGGTAACGGATAGGGAACTTGTATCCAGAAGACATAAAGAACTCTTACAACTCAATAATAAAAAGGTAACCCAACTTTTTAAACAGCCAAAGGATTTGGACAGATATTTATCTAAGGAAGACCCAGAAGCACAAGAAAAGAAAGACGCCAATAAGCACATGAAAGGATGCTCAACATCGGCAACCATTAGGGAAATGCAAATCAAACCCTCAAATGAGGTATCACTTCATACCCACTAGGAAGACTATAATAAAAAAAAAAAAAGACAGACAATAACAAGTGTTGACAAGGATGTGGGGAAACTGGAACCCTCCTATGTTGCTGGTGGGAAAGTAAAATAGTGCTGCAACTTTGGAAAAGTTTGACAGCTCCTCAAAAAGTTAAACATAGAGTTACCATATGACCCAGCAATTTCACTCTTAGGTATATACTCAAGAGAAATAAAAATATACACCTGGCCAGGCACAGTGGCTCACACCTGTAATCCCAGCACTTTGGGAGGCCGAGGCAGGAGGATCACCTGAGGTCGGGAGTTTGAGACCAGCCTGACCAACATGGAAAAACCCTGTCTCTATAAAAATACAAAATTAGCCAGGCATGGTGGTGCATGCCTGTAACCCCAGCTACTCGGGAGGCTGAGGCAGGAGAATCACTTGAACCTGGGAGGCGGAGGTTGTGGTGAGCAGAGATCACAGCACTGCACTCCAGCCTGCGCAACAAGAGTGAAACTCTGTCTCATAAAAAATAAATAAATAATAAAATAAAATAAAATAAAAAAATATACACCTACACAAAAACTTGCACATGACTATTCATAGCAATATTCCAAATAGTCAAAAAGTGGAAATAACTCAAATGCCTATCAACTACTGAATGGATAAAGAAAATGTGGTGCATACATAAAATGGAATATTATTCTGCCATGAAAAGGAATGAAATTCTGACACATGCTACAACATGAATGAATCTTGAAAACACCATGCTAAGTGAAAGCAGCCAGTTACAAAAGGGCAAATATTGTATGACTACATTTACATGAAATGTTCAGAATAGCAAATCAGAAAGAAAGTAGATGAGTAGTTGGCCATGGCTCAGGAGAGGGGCTGGAGAAGGTAACAGTAACTCCTATGGGTACAAGGCTTCTTTTGGGGATGATAAAAATGTTCTATAATTGAATGATTGTAGTGATGGTTGCAAAACTCTGCATATAATAAAACCATTGAACTGTACACTTTTTTTTTTTTTTGAGACAGAGTCTCCCTCTGTCACCCAGGCTGAAGTGCAGTGGCACAATCTCAGCTCACTGTTACCTCCGTCTCCCAGGTTCAAACAATTCTCCTACTTCAGGCTCCTGAGTAGAGTAGCTGGGATTACAGGCAGCTACCACCACACCCAGCTAATTTTTGTAGTTTTAGTAGAGACGGGGTTTCACCACGTTGGCTAGGCTGGTCTCAAGCTCCTGACCTCAGGTGATCTGCCCGCCTCGGCCTCCCAAAGTGCTGGGATTACAGGTGTGAGCCACCGTGCCTGGCCTGAGCGGTACACTTAAAATGAATGAATGGTATGTGAATTATATAATAAAGCTGTTTAAAAGAAAAAAAAAAACTGGCTGGGCACAGTGGCTCACGCCTATAAATCCCAGCACTTTGGGAGGCCAAGGCGGGAGGACTGCATGAGCCCAGGAGTTCGAGACCAGCCTGGGAAACATGGCAAAACCCCATCTCTACAAAAAATACAAAACTTAGCTGGGTGTGGTGGTACACTTGTGGTCCCAGCTACTTGGGAGGCTGAGGCAGGAGGATCACTAGAGCCCAGGAGGTTGTGGCTGCAGTAAGCTGTGATCATGCCGCTGCATTCCAGCCTGGGCACAGGAATGAGACCCTGTCTAAAAAAACCCTGAGGGGAGTAACCATGTCTTATGAGTCACCATATTCTCGAAAGGGCCTGCCATATAGTAGGTATAAACATATGTAAACGGCCCAGGTACAGTGGCTCACGCCTGTAATCCCAGCACTTTGGGAGGCCGAGGCGAGCGGATCACCTGAGGTCAGGAGTTCGAGACCAGCCTGGCCAACGTGGCGAAACCCCGTCTCTACTAAAAATACAAAAATTAGCTGGGAGTGGTGCTGGGCGCCTGTAATCCCAGCTACTCGGGAGTGTGAGGCAGGAGAATCACTTGAACCCAGGAGGTGAGGGTTGCAGTGAGCCAAGATCGAGCCACTGTACTCCAGCCTAGACAACAAGGTGAAACTCCATCTCAAAAACAGTATGTAAACGTTGGTAAAAAGAATAGAGATGTTGAGTCTTTTTACCAAAGATTTCATTAGAGGAATTCCCCACGGCATCCAGCGCCTTCTACAACAGTCCCAGCCTAGAGGAAACAGATCCCTCCAGCACCTTCTCCCAGCCCAGCACACCACCAATCAGGCTGATCTCTGTCTAAAGTCTCTTCTCAACTGGAGTGCTGCTATGAGGCTTTACTGGTGGATTTAAAAAAACAAAAAAAAACAAAAAAAAAACCCACAGGTTTTTTTGTTGTTGTTTTTGGTTTTTTATAATTTTTGACACAGGGTCTCACTTTGTCACCTAGGCCGGAGTACAGCACAATCATGGTTCACTACAGCCTTGACCTCCTGGGCTCAAGCAATCCTCCTGGCCTCAGCCTCCTGAGGAGCTGGGACTGTTGGCACATGCCACCACACCTAACTAATATTTTAATTTTGTATAGAAAAGGGGTCTCATTATATTGTCCAGACTGGTCTGGAACTGCTGGGCTCAAGTGATCCTCCCACCTTGGCCTCCCAAAGTGCTAGGATTACAGGGGTGAACCACCGCACCTGGCCCCCAGCAAGTCTTTCTGAAAGTGGGTAATATGAGCTCTTGAGGAACAGGAGGAAGCATGGGATGTAGCCCTCTCTAGCAGTCTGGCTAGAGGCCGAATTAGCATTCGTGAAACAGCAGCAGCTCAGGGCAGGGGAATGGAGATAAACTGGGAAATAAAGACGGAAAGGGCCTTTGGTGGAAGGAGGGATATTCTTCTGGGCTTCCAAAAGGAAATTGCTGCAAACTACTTTCCTGCCTTCCCCATTCCGCAATCAGAATTAACGGCCTCCTCCACAGCATTTTGTTCAAATCCGCCTGCTATCACAGCTGACTGCACACACATCTGGCTCCCTACCATGGAATACCCTCCTAGTGGGCAAGGACAACTTTCAGCTCCTGGAAAACCATCAGCAGAGTCTTGAACACAGGAATTGGACAGTCTGTATTTGCTGAACTTAAGTATTTACTTCACAACAATTACTACTTTAACACCTCTTTTCTGAAGCCTATAAGTATTTGTGGCAACGGAGAAAAGGAGGCAGAATCCTCAGGCTGTCAACATGCCCTTCATGCAACCTACAACGAGCAGCTGTGCACTCCAGCCACACCCACTTTCTCCAGAGTGCCACAGTTTCCGTCTTATCATTCCGCCCGTCTTATCATTCCGCGGCAGCAAACCAGCTGCCCGTCTGCTCCTCTGCCTCAGCCTCGCCCAGATGCGGCTGTGCTGGCCCGTCACCCTCAGTTCCTGCTCAACTGCACCCTCACTTCCGACTAAGTGCCAGGTCCTGCACTTTCGCTGGGCCTGCCCCGGCCCCCACCAGTGCCCTGCACACTTGGAGGTGTCTGTGATCATCTGTCTATTGGTCCCCTCCAGACACTGTGGACTGCAGGAGGGCAGTATTTACTTCACCCACTGCAGTACTGTGCTGGCAAATGCTTAACAGACTGGTCTCCAAAAACATGTGCATGTATTTATATGGACACATTTATTTTCAATTTTACTGATATAAAAGATATGCAGCACACAATGGTAATAACATATACAATACAGTAATAAATATATATCATAAAATACACAATTATACACTTAATAAAGCACATAGGAATAAAATCTGTAATACTCTTCATTGTAAATTCCACTGAGCCACCTGATTCTCCCAGAATGCTTTCCTAGATTTTTTTTTTTTTTTAATTTGGTCCAACTCTTACATCTGTGACTATTGACTCTAAGGAATAAAACAAAAGTGAAAGAAAGAAGATAAAGATCAATCATGATATAAGCAACTTCTCTGCTGAACTGGACACTAGTTTCAAATACCAGAAGAATATTTACTCAATTTTCTTGTACTATTCACAATATAATGGTTACAGACACAAAATACTAAGTTTAAACTGCAATGTTAAATTTTTTTTCATCACTTTCTCAATGAACAAAACAATAAACCCAGCCCTAATGTGTTGTGTTTGCGAGTGTCCATGGTGTAAATGCTCCCACCAAGGCTAATGTCCAGCCCCCAACATGACATGTGAGCGCAGACACAGTTGGGAACAGATGCGCATGCACAGCACTACCTGGTGTCTCCACCACAGACACAGCAGGTGTGATGGCACAGGCGATGCTAAGGTCAACAGGAAGTGATGAGTTTTGAGTATTTATTACCTTTGCCTTTATTATAATTCATTTAATTATAATGGCGGCAGTTAACAACCAACTTGCAAAATTCCTTAAGAGATGGGTGAGGTAGCCCACACCTGCTGAGGTACAAGGATCGCTTGAGCCCAGGAGTTGGAGACCAGCCTTGGTAACATAGTGAGACCTTGCCTCTACAAAAAAATTAACGAAATTAGCAGGGAGTAGTGGTGCTTGCCTGTAGCCCCAGCTACTTAGGAGGCTGAGGTGAGAGAATCGCCTGAGCCTGGGAAGTCGAGGTTACAGTGAGCCGAGACTGCACCACTGCACTCCAGCCTGGGCAACAGAGCAAGACCTTGTCTCAAAAAATAAAAAAAAAAAAATTAATAAGAGGCTAAGAGCTGGCTCTGGTAGGCCACGGCTCACTACTGAATTCCCAGCATTCAGTACACGAAAGGTGGTGACGGCACTTGTGGAAACACAGCACAGCCCCGCAGTGGCTTCACTCCTGAAGTCTGTGCTCCAAAGGGAATGCAGGCTTTCCCACAGCCGGGCACTGGAGAAACTGCACGTGCAACACGTTATCTTTTCAAAAACGGGGGAAAATGCCATTTTAAAAACTCAGCATACGCTGAAATATAAAATGTTTTCTTGGCCAGGCACGGTGGCTCATGCCTGTAATCCCAGCACTTTGGGAGAGGTGGGTGGATCACGAGGAAAGGAGTTCAAGACCAGCCTGGCCAAGATGGTGAAACGCCATCTCTACTAAAAATACAAAAATTAGGCAGGCGCAGTGTCAGGCACCTGTAATCCCAGCTACTTGGGAAGCTGAGGCAGGAGAATCGCTTGAACCAAGGAGGCAGAAATTGCAGTGAGCCAAGATTGTACCACTGTACTCCAGCCTGGGCGACAGAGTAAGACTTCATCTCAAAAAAATTCATAACATAACATAACATAACATAACATAACATAACAAACATAACATAACATAAAAATAAAATAAAATAAAATAAAAAAGTAAAATAAAGTAAAATAAAATAAAATAAAATAAAATAAAAAAGTTTTAATACATTCTCCCTGAGGTACTTCTTCCACAGAAACACTTAGGTAGCAGGGAAGCGCATTTTAAATCCTTCAACAGTCTGACTGGGTTTAGCACCCTGGGTGGCGTTAGTCACAGGGTATTCCTTAAAGCTTGTGAGCTCGGCTCCTCATCTGGAAAGGACAGAGTCCAAAAAGTACCTCAGAAACGAAGGACCTTGGGCTGAGGCCACAGCCTGGGAATGCCTCTGGGCCCCATGGGTCTCTTCTAGCTCAGCAGGTCTCTCTCATTCTGTCTACTGTTTTTTCTTTTTTTAGAGAAGGGGTCTCACTTTGTTGCCCAGGTTGGTCTCTCCCGCCTCGGCCTCCCAAAGCGCTGGGATTACAGCTGTGACCCACCGCGCGTGGCCAAATCTGTCTCTTCTCACACTGCTGCACCACCTTCCCTTCAACCTCCTTGGGTCTTCACCCCTCCCCATTTCCCTGGGACCCTCCCTGCACCCCCCTAGGCTGGCTTTGGCCCTTGGCTTCCCAGCATCCTTCCCACTCTTTTAACAACCAAGGGTCTTAATTTCACCTGCTGCTGTCACTAGTAACTCCTAAGTCCACACAGGACTATGGGCACACTCATCTCTACCTATTATCCTCATGACAGAACCCTGTGCGCCCCAAGGATGGAGACCATCTCTACCTATTATCCTCATGACAGAACCCTGTGCGCCCCAAGGATGGAGACCGGCAGTGTCCTTCAGACTCAGCTGCACCTCCAAACTCTGACTCTGTACTCCCAAGTACAAGGCTGAAGCTAAATCTGCCTCCTCAGAGTCTCCACATGGCTTACCTCCCTAGAAGGCAGTGCTGCTTGTCCCACACCAGGTCTTCTGGTCCACGCCTCTTCTCCGTCCCCAGTTAGTACCCTGTCCTCACCACCCCACCCTCCAGTGGACACCATTCCACACTGCCCGCCACACCTTCATCCTCTCTGGACACCTTCACACCATGCCACTTCCTATGGAAGAACCCTATGCTAAAGGTGCCCTATCAGACTCCGAGAGAATATTCTTGTTCCCAGGAAACAGACACTGAAGGATTCAGGAGTCAAGGGAGACACTTTCACTAATTTACAAATTGTTCTGGGAAAAAAATTCAAAGAGAAGAAAAAAATATGAAAAAGTAAATGGGGCAAAACGCAAATCATCGTGACTCTAGGTGAAGGGTAAATAGGAACTCGTGTACTATTCTCAAACTTTTCTGAAATTATACCAAAATAAAGCTATCCCCAAAAAATCCAAACCCTCACCTTATCGTCAAAGTTCAACAATCAACAGCTCTTCTTAGAAGCCACTCCTGCCAGGCAAGTTCCATCTATCTGACATCTTGTTTCTGCCCCACTCTCAACACCTAGACTCAGGATTTCCCTGGTCCCTCCCTGCCAACCCACTTCCTCCACTGCCCTGAGAGCCAGTTCCTGACTCACTTCTTCCAGGGGTGCTGAGGAAGGAAAGGAACTAACATTCCCCAACCACCTGCTGCCAGCCAGGCCAACACTGCGCTCGACACATACCATACAGTGTTTCACCTAATCCTGCGAACGCCTCTGCGAGGAAGGCCTCCCTGGAGACTCGGAGAGATAAAGACACTGGTCCAAGATTACGCAGACACCGATGCAGAGCTGGAACAGGGACCCAGTGGCCTGTGCCACCCACAGCATTGACCCACACCTCACTGCTCCCTGACGCCTTCCCAGACCTCCCCCCCACCCCCCACGCCCCACCCAGTCACTTGGTCAGTGAACACAGATGGGCTGCTTTGCCCCAGGTCCTGCTCTAAATGCTTAGGGATCTGTCAGAGAACAAAACAAACAGGGTTTCTGACTTCATGAAGCTTCCATTTTTGTGGGAGGAGATGGACAATAAAAGCTGTATTTATTAAACGCTTATAGCACTGACTCCATGGCAGGTGTTATGCTATGCATTTTATAAATATAAATTCATTTGATCCTCACAAAAATTCTGAGTTAGGTATTGTTCATACAAATGAGGAAACCAAGGCAAAGGGGTTAAATAATCCACCCAAAGCCACACGAGTAGCAAGTGGTGAAGCCACAACTCAACCCCAGGCAGCCTGGCTCCAGAGCCCAGGCCCTCCACCTCTCAGTAAGCATGAGTGAGCAACACAGCATGCTAGAGGGTGAGTGCCCCGGAAAAATGGAGAGTAAAGCAGAGTAAAGGGAATCCGGAGCACGGAGGGAAGGAGACACACTGACATTTTAAACTGGGAGGCATGAGGATTCCCAGAGGAGCTGACATCTGAGCAAAGCCACGCAAGAGTTGAGGGAGTCTGCATGCAATATTGCAGGAAAGAGTGTTTCAGGGAGGGGGAGTCTGTCCCACAGTCCTGAGGCAGGGTGTGCCTGGAGCACGGGAGGAAGGTCCGGCCAGGGAGGGGACAGCCCCTGCCTTTTGTGCAGCAGAATGCCCGAGCGTGCTGCGTGCCCGATTCCCTGCCTCCCTGGTGGGCCGTGCTGCTCTTTCAGTATTCACCTTGACTTCCAACATGAACCGTGAACTCTGAGAACAGAGCCCGTAACCTCTACTCCCTCTGCTTGTCCCTGGTACTTTCAAGCTGATGTTTGCTGGATCTGTCTGCCTTGCCTTGCAGATTCCACAAAACTACAAGGTCCGGGAGGATGAGCAGGTCCTGCCAGGGAAGCTTCTGACACCTCTGTCACTGGTCCTCCTACACTAGTGGTGAGCAGTAGCCTCTGCCTGGGGCGGGGAAGCAGAAGTAAATGGCGCTTGTATTCTGTATTTTCAAAGCATGCCTGCCCAATTCTATATTCAAATTTTATTCCCAGTAGGCCCCTTTAAACTGGTAGGCAGCCAATTCCACCCTACTTGACAAATGGCAAAATCATCAGGTAACTCACCTGAACTCACTGTGCAGCAGCAGAATCGAGGCTTTCTCATCTAGACTGGGAGATCAGAGTCTGCAGAGGCCACTCGCATCTTCACCCTCCTTTAGGACCCACCCACCTTCTCTCAGGCCCAGCCCCAGGCCCTGCAGAACTCATGACTCTTGAATTTCAGATGTGCTGGGACACAAGAATCACTCTTGTTTTTTGTTTTGTTTTGTTTTGTTTTTGAGACAGTCTCACTCTGTCGCCCAGGGTGGAGTGCAGTGGCAGCAATCTCGGCTCACTGAAACCTCCGCCTCCTGGGTTCAAGCAATTCTCTACCTCAGCCTCCCAGGTAGCTAGGATTACAGGCACCCGCCACCATGCCCAGCTAATTTTTGTATTTTTAGTAGAGATAGGGTTTCACCATCTTGGCCAGTCTGATCTTGAACTCCTGACCTTGTGATCCACACACCTCGGCCTCCCAAAGTGATGGGATTACAGGCGTGAGCCACCTCGCCCGGCCACAAGAATGACTCTTAAGAGGTCCGTAATGACTGGTCCGGGCACAGTGGCTTATGCGTGTAATCCCAGCACTCTGGGAGGCCAAGATGGGCGGATCACCTGAGGTCAGGAGTTCGAGACCAGCCTGCCAACATGGTGAAACCCTGTCTCTATTAAAAATACAAAAATTAGCCAGGTGTGGTAACACACGCCTGTAGTCCCAGCTACTTGGGAGGCTAAGGCAGAAGAATCGCTTAAACCCGGGAGGCAGAGGCTGCAGTGAGCCAAGATGGTGCCACTGCACTCCAGCCTGGGCAACAGAGCGAGAATCTGTCTCAAAAAAAAAAAGAGGTAAGTAATGACCGAACAGTACAGGGTCCCGATCCCATCTAAGTAGGCTGAAGGCAAAGACTGAGCATTTAGTTAAGTCACAGAGAATTTAGCTAAACGCAGTGAGTCACCCACTTCACACAGAGAAAAATGCATCCCTCTACTCCTGTCTCATCACGCACAGAATGCCCAGATTTCTTTCCCATAGTTCCCCTTGAACTATGCAGGCTACTCATAAGGAATTAAGGAATATGCATCAGACACTTCCCTATTTCTAGTTTCAGTCTTTTAAGTAGCCAAAAGAAAATGCCTTTTTGTCCTACATCAGAAATGGTAGGATACCTCTTTTCTCCCATTTATTTCCAAAGTAGATTACACCAATTTAATTCCATTTTATTTTCTAGAGTAAGCATACAAAAAAATCCATCCTGGAAGAATCATTTTCGACTGGCGTGGTGGCTCACATCTGTAATTCCAACGCTTTGGGAGGCTGAGGCAGGAGAATCATTGAGACTAGGAGTTCGAGGCCAGCCTGGGCAACACAGCGAGACCCCATCTCCACTAAAAATAAAAAAAAAATTGTCCAGGCATAGGGGTGCATGCCTGTAGTCCCAGCTACTCAGGAGACTGAAGAAGGAGGATTGCTTGAGCCCAGGAGTTCCAGGCTGCAGTGAGCTATGATCATGCCACCGCACTCCAGCCTGGGTGACAGAGCAAGACCCTAACTCGAAAAAAGAAAAAGAAACAAGAATAATCATTTTCCACAGACTGACAGGCAATGGAGGAGAGGAAAGCTGAAAGAGAAGGTGTTTGGAACTGTAACTGAGCGGCTGTTCTGTTCAGGAGATGGCCTTCCTCCTGGAGGCAGCAGGGACTGGCAGGAGCTTTGTGAAGGAAAGTACGGTCCCCGCCCTCTGCAGCTTAGATGCTCAAGACAAGTGATCGGTGAGCCCTAGGCCTGCTCTCCCTCTAGGCCACTGCTGGGCCTTCTGCCCCCTGGGCAGCCTAGCATGCGTGCTGGGGAACCGCTGCAGGTGTGTGGGTGCAGAGACGGGCAGGTACCTACCCACCTGTATGGAACAGCTGCCACGTCACTATTTACCTATGGCAGGTACTCCGAGCAAGAGCAATTGGAGAGATGCTAGCTTCAAAGACAGAAACAGCACTGTCACTGGGAACTTTCTCGATCACTGTCCTGTGGTGTGGACAAGAACATCCTTATTCTTCATAAACCCACACTGAATTATTTAGGGTAAAGGGGCACAATGTCTTCAATTTTCAAATTGGTCTGAAAAAAATGCATCTACACACTGGAAGAATGATAAAGCAAATGGGGTCAAACGATCAAATCTAATAAATCCAGGTAATAGATGGGGAGTGCCTGCACTCCTCCTGCAACTTCTCTGTAAACAGGAAATTATATCAAAATAGAGTTGCCCTAAAGGTGGCTACCTGTGGCTCCACAAACAGGCGGGCAGGCTGCCCCAGTCACAGCAGGGGGCACCTGCTGCCCAGAACACCCGAAGCCAAGGCAGCAGAGAAACCGGCACAGCACTGCCCCCAGGGAGACATGGGGACAGCTAACAATGCTGATGGAAGTCTGCGAGCATCCGATATCTCTTGGGTTTTTCTTCAGAACCAAGTCATACTCCTGGCACTTGGAAAACAAGGCCAGCTTTACCAACAGGGGGCTGGAAAGGCACCTACCCAGCATTATCCGGGGCGCTGCCCTCTCCTTATCCTTTCTATCTTATCAGTGTCCTCTTCTCAAAATGTATCTGGCATCAGGTCCCTTCCACTCCACATCCACTGCCAACATCCTGTTCCAGTTCCTTGTCATGTCACACCTGAATCATCCCCATCTGCCAGGGGTGGGCACACCACCACCCACACGCCAGATCCAGCCTGCAGGCCAAAGAATGGTGTTTACATTTCTGGGTTTTTTTTGGTTTTGTTTCCTGAGACGGAGTCTCACTCTGTCGCCCAGGCTGGAGTGCAGTGACGCGATCTTGGCTCACTGCAACCTCCACCCTCCGAGTTCAAGTGGTTCTCCTGCCTCAGCCTCCCAAATAGCTGGGACTACAGGCGCCTGCAACCGCGCCCGGCTAATTTTTTTGTATTTTTAGTAGAGACGGGGGTTTCACCATCTTGGCCAGGCTGGTCTTGAACTCCTGACCTCGTAATCCACCCGCCTCAGCCTCCCCAAGTGCTGGGATTACAGGCATGAGCCACCGCGCCTGGCCTGGTGTTTACATTTCTAAAGGGCTGGGGAAAAAAATTAAAAGGAAGCTATTTTGTGACATGTAAAAATGACATAAAATTTAAGTTTCAGAGGCCACAAATAAAAGCATTACTGGAATCCAGCCACAGCTATCCACTTCTGTGCTCTCTGTGGCTGCCTTCACACAACAGCAGAGGGGAGCAGCCGCGGAGTCCAACCAGCTCATGGAACCTAAAACATTTACCTTCCGGCCTTTTACAGAAACAAATTTGCTGACTCCTCCCCGGCTGATCTTGCTTGACTCAGTTCTCCCGCCTCCACAAGATTAACTGACCTAAAACTCGACTTCCGCCGTCGCTCTGTGTTCAAACCCCCGGCAGGTTCCCCGATGCCCATAAAGCCCACACTGTACCCTGACATCCATTTGACCAGGAGAATAAACAAGAAAGCCCTCAACGCCATGCCTTTGCTCATGCTGTTCTCTGCCTTTCAGGAAGCCCTTCCTGCCTTCCACCGCTAAGCCTGCCGCTACCTTACCTTGCCCTTGCAGTCAGGGCAAGGCTCTGGGAATGCTCCCAGCTCCCTGTGCTCTGCTCCCACAGCTCCCTATACTTACCCTCATCATAGCTCTTACCACACAGCGCTGAAATCAACTATTTGTGTGTCTGTCTTGCCAGCTGCAGCAAGATCCCAGAGGGCAAGGAATACATCTTATTTATCTCCCACCACCCAGACAGAACCCGGTACAGCAGCTCATCAATGCTGAAGGCAACCCCAGCCTGGCCAGGCTGGCCTCCTCGCTGCCCCTGAATGCATGCTGCTCACGCTCAACCCTGAGCCTGCGCTCACCCCAGCACCCCCACATCTCACTTAAGACAATCCTACCATGGCCTGAGCACAGTTCAAATTGCATCTCCTCCGTAGGCCCACAGAAGTCAACATGGTCACAGGTTCAAACCCCCAACTCCTCTCACCCATGTGCCAAGTGCCCTTGCACAAGATGCTTCTGTCTCTGGGTCCTCATCTGTAAAGAGGGAATGACTCAGTATCCCCTAACTTGCAGGGCTGACAACGCATATAAAGCTTCTGAACCAGTGCTTGGCATATAATAGATTTTCAAGAAGTAATAGTTAGCATGCTTGTTTTCCCGAATCACACCATCTATGCCTATTTCATCCCTTTTCTTCCCCATAACTGTTGTGTATATTACCCTGGCTCTCCTGAGGCAGGTTTGTCATGAGCAGAGACAAGGTCGTAGTACACTTTCATGAAGCCGCCCCTGCCCTAAAACCCAGGGCAACACAACACGTGGAAAAAGGGACCAACGGATACAACTTTAATAAATAAGTTATTTCAGGAGGCTTAAAGAATTGCTAATAAAAAAAAAATGCAAAGCCCCAGGGGATCAGGAGTGAGCTAGAGAGCAGGCTTTTGCAGATGCTTTCATATTGATGAGAAAGGCAGTTAGAGAGCGGGAGCAAGCGGGATGAGGAGGGGACCAGCAAGATAGGAAAGAACTCCCCCTTGGAGGGCACTGTTCATTCTCACCCATCCAAACACCGCAAAGAAACCTGTGCTGACTCACTGGATAGTCTGGACCCAGCATGCTCCCCTGAAGACTGTCTCTGGATGACAGGAAGCCCCAAGCCTCAGAATTCCATTCCAAGTTTCATGAGCACCAGTCAGTGACAGTACCAGCTGATGCGTGGGGTGCTCACTGGGTGCTTACCACGTGCTGGGAGGATTCTAAATGCTTGTGACCATACAAGGTGAGTAGGACTGTTACGCCCTTCATTGCACAGATGAGGAAACTGAGTCTCGGGAGGATAAGGAACACACTCCCGGTCACACACTCTAGTAACCGGTATAGTACAGCACAGTCGGGTTCCAGAGTCCAAACTCTTAACCACAACACAGTTTGAGTGTCTTACTCTGATTTAGCTCCACCATTTACCGGGTGAGAGATCTCAGGCAAGTCATCTAACCTCACTGCGCCTCATCTTTCAAGTGGGCCTCATACGGGTAACTCTGTAAGATTGTCATGAGGATTGAAGGCGATCATGCCATGACACATATTATGAAGCGGACTCCTGAGAAATCAGTTCTCTCCCACTTTTCCCATATCCCAATATAAGTGAGGTTTTTAGCCAAACCCCTTGACCTCTTTTACTACTGGGAATGATCTATATGCCCTGCTGGATTTTCTTGCCTGCCTGTGCCTAAGCATTTGGACCTCATAAAAGCTTACAAAAATGGCCTGGAGACAAGCATTAAAGGAAAGCAACTGCACACGGAGCTGAGTGGGGCAGCGCAGCAGAGATGGTCCACACGGCTCCTGGCGTGCAGATGAATACTGCATGAGCAGAGGCTGGGCCAGCCAGGCCCTGCCAGGACGTGCCACAACTGACAGCCCGTGACAGCACCTAGATCCATGTGCCGCACCAACAGGCCCAGATGACAGGCCTGGGAGGCTGCAGGCAGAGCCAGGAGCACCTGTGCCTCTGAGCCTGCGTGTGTGTAAGTGCTGTAGGGGGACAAAGAGGGGCAGGCAGGTGAAAGTGACAGGCAGTCATTCCCACCAATGGTGGGATATCAGACTGCCTAAAATATTGTCTATAGCAAGGTAAATTTTTAAATTCCTACAGAAGGAATTGTTGCAAAATTCTTTTACTGTGAAGAATTTAATTTCAAGTCAAGACGTACAGATACACACTAGTTTATTTTGAAGATAAATCCACGTTTCCATACATCAATTTTGCCTGAAGGGTAAGAGACACCTTAAAGCCATGAACCCTTCCCCTGGGCTGGTGGTCATGCACAGAAGGAACTTGTCATAAGCAGCATGTAAAAGTGTCCTTCATGTTAGCCAGTCAGCTATATTAATACAGCAGGAAGCAGAGATCAGGTGTTTAACTCATTTATAGAAGACATAAGTAATTTCTATTTGAATGGACCTGATCAAATGGAACCAAAGGTCTTAGAAAATAAAAGGTTAAAACCCAAGCAAAACGGTATCTCACTCATCATATCCAGTAGTAAGAAGTCCTATTAGGCCTTTTCCCACAACACGTCAGCTTCCAAATACAGCACATGACAAAGAAATACTTCAGGGAGATGGAGGAATGGGGGGCTCGCTACTGTGCTGGCTAATGACATTATTACAAGGCTCCAACCAGCTTCGAGGCCGTGGTAGACACAGCACCGTGGTCCTAGGGTTAGAAAGGAGCCGTAGAAGCAGCATGAACAATCTAATGCCCAGAGCATGGATGAGGCGCCTCCATGCCCAGGACTGCTCCCACCCACCGTTGCTAGAGCACCTAGGAAAGGGCACAGACTGCAAAACCCTCCTCTAGGAAGGGCTGCCCAGTCCACTTGGGGCACCTATATCTCTCGATGAGTAGCTGGGCAAGGACAAGCACATTGAGAGCACCAGCTCCAAAGTGGTGACGGGCCCAAGGGCAGCCTGCAGGCAAGGGAAATGGTCCCAGCCTTTCCTGCAGCCAAAGTGCAGGGCTGGTCCTCAGGAAGGAGTTGCAAAATGATCCTGTTTGCAAAACACAAACATTCCACAAACAGCAGACACAGGGGGTAGGCAAATTCTAGAAATTCTCAATCTTATGTGCAAGAAATAAAACCAAATCAAGAATATTTTACTAGTTGGCATAAATTTGCTTAGCACTCTACGTCCAGGGCTTCCTGGCCAGTTAAATCCAGGTTACTGCACTTGCATGGCTGACAATGCATCCAACCCCTTAGAAATATCAACCTCTTGCAGACACAGGCTGTCTTACCACGTGGCACTTACATACAACAGATGCTCAATAAATGTGCTGAAAAAAGTCAGTGTGTAAAGGATTCCTGAAGTAGGAATCCCCCCTGCTCCCTGGCTCCCTGAGGGTGGTTGAGGCCCAGGGGCTTGTTTGTATCCCCACCCCTCACTAGGGCCTAGCACGGTGCTCACTAAACCCGGAGGCCGCCAATTCAAGCTACCACCTGTGAATTTCTTCCCTGCCTCATACTGTCTTTTTCTGCCCCATTCCTCTTCCTTTTGCTCCCTGAACATTTATCTCACGGGATTTGGAGTCATTAGCTATGCAAATTATTGGGTTTATGGCCCTTTACCTCACTGGAACAGCTTCCCTGCTGTAAAATGGGGTGAAAGGACTCTACCTGAAGACTAGAAATGATGTGTGCGCAGTCTGGCCACGGTAAGGCGAAGCGATCACTGTTATGACTTTCTTATATAATTGTCCACAGGCCCCACTGTCTAAAGGTACTTAGAATACCAAAAGCAGAAAGTTTATTTGTTTTTCCTACCCATGCAAGGGTGGTTTTGAGAAAGCCTATCTGTTTTGGAAAGAAACTGACCCAAGCCCATGTCACTAGTTAAAATATTTCCTTTTTCCTTTTTCACAGGGAAATGAATGACTCTGACTACTCATGGCCAAACTGGGTAAAAGGTTCTGTTCCATAAGTTCATGTGCCAATTATACACAGTGATTAGGATTCCCAGATGGCTTTTTTTTTTTAATTTTACTTTAAGTTCCGGGATACATGTGCAGAACGTGCAGGTTTGTTACATAGGTATACATGTGCCATGGTGGTTTGCTGCACCTGTCAACCTGTCATCTAGGTTTGAAGCCCCGCATGCATTAGGTATTTGTCCTAATGCTCTCCCTCCACTTGCCTTCCTCCACCCCTGGCCCAGCTCATTCTCTTAAAAGAATCATCACAAAGGAGTTTAGCTGGGGCAATAATGGATCTGCTTGGGTTCCACAACTTGGGAATCAGAAGGAAGAGAAGGGCTTCTTCATCTTTTCCAGGAGCAGGGCAGCCCTCAGCACTCTCTGGATTCCCAAGGCACAGCCCCCAGGTTCCTGAACACACAGTGTCTTAAGTGCCCCCCGGGAAGCCCCCCTGCGCCCACACTCTCCTCCCAGTGCTTCAGAATTACCTCCTGACTCTGCCCCCTGAGAAGCAGGCCAGGAATATTTCAAGGAATATGCCAACTAACCTCAATGCACCTCTCCTGGCACTTCAGAGAGAGAACTCAAGAGTGAAGAGAGGGAAATATGGAGGAGGGGTCTGAAGACAGGAAGCGGTGACCCCCCAGGACGGAGGTAACCCCGTGGAATATGCCCAAGTCAGTTGCCCTCAACTGGTCTGTGACACCACAAGTCCAAAACCCAATGCCTTCATCTAAATCCTGACGCCACCACTTGTTTTAGCCCTCTGTGCCCCACTTCCTAGTGTGAAAAGCAGGGATCATAACAGCACCCCGTCTGTCCGCTGTGGTGAGGACTGAGCGCGTTAAGACACGTGGGCACTCAGGACAGTGTGGCATGGCCAACAGTCTCTAAGCATCTCTGATGCTGCCATCGCTGCTGTGCTCATCAGCGCCAGGTGCTGCTCTCCCACCCCTGTCCCTGTCCCATCACAGCCTGACAATTCTCAGCCACAACAAGGAGCTTTGTTGGTGGAGGAGGGAGGAATATGGCTAGAACCTCTGTAAGCTGACTTTCTGTGGGCTGGGGACAGTCCACGCTAAAGGGTAGCTGCCATTCCCCTGGGGGCTCCAGGTGCCAGGAGTGAGCACTCTGCATCTTCCCCCTGACCAAGCTGCTCCTCCTCTCTTGGCTTCCAACACTGGCACTGGCCTCCCGGGACCCATGCTACCTCCAGACTTCAACTGGCAACAGAAAAGAGACAGAGGGCTGGGTGCAGTGGGGTGCCTGTAATCCCAGCACTTTGCAGGGATCACCTGAGCCCAGCAGTTCAAGACCAGACTGGGCAACACAGAGAGAGCTTGTCTCTCCACAAAATTTAAAAATTAGTCGGGTGTGGTGGTGTGGGCCTGTAGTCCCAGCTACTCAGGAGGCTGAGGTTGGGGGATGGCCTGGCCCAGGAGGTCAAGGCTGCAGTGAGCCGAGATCATGCCACTCCAGCTGGGGCCACTCCAGCCGGGGCCACAGAGTAAGACTCTGTCTCAAAAAAAAAAAAGAAAAAAAAAGAAGCATGGGCAGGAGAGAAGAGAAGCCTGGGACCCACTAAGGTTTATTTCGCCTTTACACAGGAAAAGTCAATAAAAGCCACTAGTTAACCACAAGGCTGTGCTGTCCATCCCTCTCCTGCCAGAGTTAACCAGACCGAATCTCCTGCCAGAGTTAACCAGACTGAATCCTTCAACAGATATACAATTCAACAGACACCTGCAGACGTGCCTAATGCAGGAAGACTCCTCACTAGATTCCCTCACACATAACACACATGCACTCTGAGCTGGGCGCTAGAGAGACACGGCCTAACAGAACACGAAAAAGATACTGTTGTCCTTGCCAAGGTCCTCACTACTTAGCAGAAGCTCTTGCCCTTCCGCTTCCACCTTTCATCAAGGTATAAGCCAACAGTCTCACTTCTTCTCTCTTCTTTAATCTGATTTCTGTCCTCCCTTTTTCTTTTAAGAGACAGGGTCTCACTCTGTCACCCAGACTGGAATGCAGTGGTGTGATTATAGCTCACTGCAGCCTCAAACTCCTGGCCTCAAGTGATCCTCCCACCTCAGCCTTCTGAGCAGCTGCGACTATAGGTGTACACCACCATGCCCGGCTAATTTTTAAAATTTTTGTAGAGACAGGGTCTCACTATGTTGCGCAGGCTGGTCTCAAACTCCTGGCCTCAAGCAATACTCCTACCTTGGCCCAGCCTCTCAAAGTGCTGGGATTACAGACGTGAGACATTGCACCCAGCCTTTTCTTTAATTTTTTTTTTTTTTTTTTTTTTTTTTTTTGGGACAGTAGGGTCTTGCTCTATCACCAAGGCTGGAATGCAGTGGTGCGATCTCCGCTCACTGCAGCCTTGGCCTCCCAGGCTCAAATGATCCACCTACCTCATCCTCCTGAGTAGCTGGGAATACAAGTGTGCAACACCCACACCTGGCTATTTTTTGTATTTTTTTTGTAGAGACAGAGTTTCACCATGTTGGCCAGGCTGGTCTGGAACTCCTCACCTCAGGTGATCTGCCCACCTCGGCCTCTCAAAGGGCTGGGATTACAGGCATGACCCACCACACCTGGCCTCTTTTCTTTTTTAAAACTGCGGCAATCATCTCTCCTCTGTTGAACTCACCAATGAGAAAAAGTCAATGGGGCCAGGCATGGTGGCTCACACCTGTAATCCCAGCACTTTGAGAGGCTGAGGCAGGCAAATTGTTCGAGCCCAGGAGCTCTAGACCAGCCTGGACAATGTGGCAAAACCCCATCTCTACAAAAAATTTTAAAAATTAGCCAGGCTTGGTGGTGCACGCCTGTAGTCTCAACTACTCAGGCAGTCAAGGTTGCAGTGAACCATGATCGCACCACTGCACTCCAGCCTAGGTGGCAGAGTGAGATGCTGTCTCAATTTAAAAAAAAAAAAAAAAAAAAAAAGGCTGGGCACAGTGGCTCACACCTGTAATCCCAACACTTTGGGAGGCCGAGGCCAGTGGATCACAAGGTCAGGAGATCGAGACCATCCTGGCTAACACGGTGAAACCTTGTCTCTACTAAAAAAAAAATACAGAAAATTAGCCGGGCATGGTGGCAGGTGCCTGTAGTCCCAGCTACTCGGGAGGCTGAGGCAGGAGAATGGTGTGAACCCGGGAGGCGGAGCTTGCAGTGAGCCGAGGTCGTGCCACTGCACTCCAGCCTGGCCCACAGAGCAAGACTCCATCTCAGAAAAAAAAAAAAAAATGCAATCAACTGCAAGGCTTGGGGTGACAGTTTCCTGGTCATTCTTCCCAGTTTTTTTGTGTCTTTATAGCTAGAGATGACTAAAGCCCACCTCCAAGAAAACAGCAAGTCACGTACAACTGAAGCCCATGGGGGCAGGATGCTGTTCTCTCCACCGGGGCAATCCAAGCACCTGAGTGTCTGACACCACCCATCACCCAGGGGATCCGAGCTGAATTCTAAAGACTGGAACCAAAGATGACAGAGTGCGTGGCTGGAGAGAGGGGGAAGTCCACAGAGTTTAGGTAAATTTCTGAACCACATCCCCACCACGCCCACAATGTACTGCATTGAAGTACACCGGAAGCTAAAGACCAAAAAGGAATCAGATTTTCAGCTCTGCCACCTAAAGCAGAAACTGAGGGCCTTATTCACCGCACAGACTTTAGCCCAAGTGCCATGCCTCCAGTTTCACAGTTTCACCAGCAGCTCAAGCAAAATGGCCTGGACACTAAAGATGGCCTCTGGGTCAGAGTATCACTCATTTCCTCTGTCCACAAACCACTTTGATTCTCTTTGATTCTCTCTGTCCCTCATCTCCCCATCTAGTCTTTTTTTTTTTTTTTTTTTTTTTGAGACAGAGTCTTGCTCTGTCACCCAGGCTGGAGTGCTGGAGTGCAGTGGTGTGATCTCAGCTCACTGCAACCTCGGCCTCCTGAGCGCAGGCAATCCTCCCACCTCAGCCTCCAGAGTAGCTGGGACCACAGGTACACACCACCACGCCCAGCTAATTTTTGTACTTTTTGTAGAGATGGGGTTTAGCTATGTTGCCCAGTCTGCTCTCAAACTACTGGGCTCAAGCAATCTGCCCACCTCAACCTCCCAAAGTGTTGGTATTACAGGCATGAGCCACTGCGCCCGGCCCATCTGGTCTTATTAAATACTTCATTCTCTGCAAATGCAGACGTTTTCTCAGCTCTGATTATTTTTTCTAAAGTAATGACCCCCCACCTGGCTAGATGAATGCTTCTAGCAAAGGAAAAGACCAGAATGTGAAAATTGTACTGCAATAGAACATAAAGCCCGTCCAACCCCACCTCCCATCAGACCTGGGGTGGTGGCAGCAGCAGGCGTCAGGGCTCTCAGGCCTGCCCATTAGTCATCCCTAAGGCCCGTTAGCACACGGGTTAGGAGGAGCACACACTCTGGAATCAGAAAGCCCAGGATTGAACCCAGCCCTGCTTTCAGTCAAGGCTTTGTCACTCACTATCACTCCCTTGACCTAGGACCTCACAAAACCTTGTCATCCGTAAAACTGGGGATGATAAGTTCTACCTTGAATGTTGTTGTGAGGAATAAATGAGGTAATGTCTATGCAGCACCTAGCACAGATTCCTGCAGATAAACACTCAATAAATGTTAACTATCATCCACTACCTAGTCATCAGAAAAGCACAATGATCTGGTATCTTTAAGTCCTTCCGCTTCCAAAAAAAAAAAAGAAAAGAAAAAAGAAAAAGATGTGTGGATTTTTTCCCCCTAAAGGTCTCAGTGAAGTGAAACTTAAGAAGGAAAACCTGGGCCGGGTGTGGTGGCTTACGCCTGTAATCTCAGCACTTTGGAAGGCCAAGGAGGGTGAATCACCTGAGGTCAGGAGTTCGAGACCAGCCTGACCAACACGGTGAAACCCTGTCTCTACTAAAAAATACAAAAAATTAGCAGGGCGTGGTGGCAGGTGCCTGTAGTCCCAGCTACTTGAGAGGCTGAGGCAGAAGAATCGCTCGAACCCAGGAGGCAGAGTGCATGAGCCAAGACTGCGCCATTGCACTCCAGACTGGGCGCGACAGAGCAAGAGACTCCGTCTCAAAAAAAGAAGAAGAAGAAGAACCCAATTCAAATCCCAGTTCAGGGACCAACTCATTTGCAACTTAAAGCAAATCATGTTACCTCCATTTCTTTGCCTATAAAATGGGAATAATAGACTCTATTAAACTTTAACGACTTCAGAGACAATTAAGAATCAATGAGATAACAGGTCATGAAAAAGCTTTCACTTCCTCAAGTAAAAAGCAACTAAGTAGTAAATCCAGAGCATAATAATAATAATAATTATTATTATTATTATTTTTTTTTTGAGATGAAGTCTCGCTCTGTATCCCAGGCTGGAGAGCAGTGGCGTGATCTTGGCTCACTGCAACCTCCACCTCCCAATTCCCGGTTAAGCAATTCTCCTGCCTCAGCCTCCCCAGTAGCTGGGATTACAGGCGCGCACCACCACGCCCAGCTGGTATTTTTAGTACAAACAGGGTTTCACCACGTTGGCCAGGCTGGTCTTGAACTCCTGACCTCGTGATCCGCCCGCCTGGCCTCCCAAAGTGCTGGGATTACAGGTGTGAGCCACCGCGCCGGGCCCAGAGCATAATTATTATTAAAATGCCAGGCCCCATAATATTATGGAACATAAATAAGCCAATGATGGCTCTTATTTTTTCTAGAACATTAGATTTGATGCCCTTTTCGTCTGTTCACATGGAACCTGCTACAAGACGGAGAAGGCAAATGGCTGCTCCTAGCAGATCCCAGTTCAGAGGCACGGCCCAGCAAAGCTAGCACTCTGCCAATGGTCAGGCTTCGACCATCTGGGCCACTTCCCAGAAGCCAGTGCCAGGAGAAATTAGGTAATTCATCTGGTTCCACCTGGACATGTGAAACCAACGACAACCAAAATCCTCACCTGCAGGACTACTCGACAGATGCAGGAAAGGGTCCCCTTTGACCCTCTGCTCTTCTGTACTGAATGGTGTACCACTCTTCCAGGGCATGTGCCATCCTTCCTTTAAAGGGCAACACATGATCCAGGAAGAAGAGCTCAATTTTTCCTTATTTTTACTTCTAGGACCAAGACGTGAGTTTCATTTTTAATCTACCACAGAAATGTCTGGAGAGCTGGAAGTTTGAGTGGGAGGAGGAATGGGGGGGACCTCATTACCCTAATTTAAAAACGGAGCATGCAACCAAAACTGCATCCAATATCATCATCCCCAGGTCTCTCAAACCCAAGGAAGAGAGGAAAAATTTACTTTTATGTTTATTGAACATCTGCTACGTGCCAAGGACTGTGCTAAGTTCTTCACGTACATTATTTCCAAAGCCCATTTTCTCTTCCACACCTAGTAACACCATGGAATAACCACCACGGAACAGGATCATCCCAGGTGGGGGTTTGGGGGGAGGAATTACAATATGCAGTCAAGTTTAAGACGTTTCAAATGTTAGCGCTGTAAACACAAATAAACAGCCTTGACTGAGGAACCAGGTCTGAGTTCTAAAGTATCCTTTACAGGAGGAACACACAAACCATGTCTTTCCTATAATTATGAAATTAACTCAAGCTGTTGAATACACTATAAAAGAGATTTAAAACTTCTAAACCTGGAGCACAAGAAAAACTCACTATAAGACTTGAACAATCTGGGGCTGGATTTCTGACCTGAGAAGTACATCTGGCAATCAAATATGGAATGAACGGCATCCTCTGAGAGGGCTGCAGAGATGTGCTCACGGGAGAAGGTAACCACAATGAACTGGCCTGTGTGCGGCCAGGTAACCAGAAGGCGGGGCTTTCCCGCAGGCGGCAGCGACTGTAGGAAGATGTCTTTCTCAGCTTAAAACCCAGTTCATCCTCATCCCTGGAGTACAACGACTGTCTATGGAGCAAAGTGTCAGATGGGACCAAATACACATTGGTGGCCTGATATTCAAATGTCATCCTCTCCATGCACATCCCACTAAAAACAAGCTTAGGGGGAAAAAAAAAAAAAAAGCTGTCCACCTGTCCACAGTTGACCTTCATTCCTCTACATCAACCCGTTTCACATAAATCACAATTAACATCTGCATTAAACACCATTAAAAGAACACAAATGTGGTTTGAACTCTTGGACATACTTTCTCTGCATTCAGAGTCAGGAAGACCAGCCAAGATACGGGGCTGGTCCCCGCCCCTTAACGGGATGCGGCACAGAGGCCTTGCCTGAGGGGCCTGCCAGACCCCTTCGTCCCGGCTACCTACTGAGCAAGCGGGGTGGCGGCTCACCAGTGCCGCATGCCAGGCGGAGGGTCTCGCTGCGGCTGGCTTTCTGCTAGGCCAGGCAAGCCCGGTTCCGTGTAGGGCTCCTCAAGATGGTTTCTTAGCTGGGAATTTCCCATGTGCCCCGGAGACCTCCAAAAGCGCGGTCCCCTCGGAAGGCAGCCAGGGAAGGGGCATCACTGAGACTAGAGGCGAAGGCGGCTGCGATCGCCCGGCCGCGCCCACCGCCCCCACAAACGGAAAGGCGCGCCGGGGTCCTCTCGGCCACCTACCTGCCAGGGTCGCAGGAGCCCACGCTTGGCGCACGCTAGCTCCAGGCCGGGGCAGCGGGACGGGGAGGCCCCGAGGGCCAGGCCGCGGAGGCAGGACCCGGCGGAGCCTCGGCCCGGAGCCTGCGGACTCCGGTAAAGACAGAGACCTCCCCCGCCCCAAAAAGCACCCCCCGACCCCGCACCCAGAGCCGGGCTAAGCCCCCACCCTCCGCCTCCCGCCTGAAGCGGGCAGCCTCCCCGCGCTTCCCCGCGCCTGCTGCCCCGGAACTCAGGACCAGCCGGCGCACCTGGCCACGCATCCTCCGGCGGGAGGTGACCACACGGGAACGCGAGGCGGGGGCTTCCTCGCGCCCCGCCGGCCGGACGCAGGGTTATAAGCGCAGCCGGAAGGAGGCGCCCGCGCCGCGGCGGCTCCCGGCTTCGGCACTGCCCGGGCGGGAGGCTCGGCGCGCGTCCGCTCGCGGGGCCACCCGCTCCAGAACCGCCCGCCGGAACCAGCCCGGTGCCCGAGACCCCGAGCTCGGGCGCGAGCAGGATGCGGCTCCCCGGGGACGGTTGGCGCGGGTCGGAGTCCCGAAGCCCCGTTCTTACCTCTGCCTCATACTGCGGTGTCCCTCGGCGCCGGCGTCGCTGTGGCGGGCCAGTGCCGCCCTGTTCCGCAGCCCGAGCGTCCGGCGCGGTAGGTAGCAGCCGGAGAAGCGGCGCAGCCGGGGGATGGGCGGGCACATGGAAGGGCGGGGGTTGTGGCCCTCGGGCCGGACCACGGGACCCCAGCCTCGGGGGCGAGATATCTCAGTACACCTCGAAAACTGGCAAGCGGCCCCCGTCCTCAGGGACTCCATTGCTACTTGCACGCTCAGTCTTGCCAGAATCTCACGGGATATGTGCAAAAGGCAAAGAAATAAGCTGTCGCCACGCCCTTCGTCCTCTCCGTCCCCCTGCAGGATCCATATGGTACATTCCTCAAAGCCCAACGGGAGACGGGAAAGAACTGATTGGTTGGGAATCTTGGAAGGGGCGAGAAGCCACATGAAGTGGCCAATGGAGAAACCCGGTGGGCATATCAAAGCCTGCCCCCGGAGAGAAGAGAGGATGTATTTAAAGGGGACTTGTTGGCCGGGCGCGGTGGCTAACGCCTGTAATCCCAACACTTTGGGGAGCCGAGGCATGCGGATCACTTGAGGTCAAGAGTTCAAGACCAGCCGGGCCAACATGATGAAACCCTGACTCTACTGAAAATACAAAAATTAGCCGGGCGTGGTTGCACGGGCCTGTAGTCCCAGCTACTCTGGAGGCTGAGGCAGGAGAATCACTTGAACCCGGGAGGCGGAAGTTGCAGTGAGCCGAGATGGTGCCACTGCACTACAGCCTGGGCAACAGAGCGAGACTCCATCTAAAGAAAGAAAAAATAATAATAAAGGAGACTTGTTTGTTGCTCTTAGTTGCCGCAAAATGAAACTAGGATTTTCATTCTAGTTGGGAAGCAAAGAGGTTAGGGGGAATTTCAAATTTTTGGAGGAGGGCGCTAAGAGAAAATATAGAGCAGAGGGCGGGCGCGGTGGCACACGCCTGTAATCCCAGCACTTTGGGAGGGAGGCCGAGGCGAGCAGATCACAAGGTCAGGAGCTCGAGGCCGGCCTTACCAACATGGTGAAACCCCGTCTCTACTAAAAATACAAAAAATAGCCAGGCATGGTGGCGCGCGTCTGTAATCTCAGCTACTTAGGAGGCTGAGGCAGGAGAATCGCTTGAACCCAGGAGGCGGAGGTTGAACTGAGCCCAGATCGTGCCATTGCACTCCAGCCTGGACAACAGAGTGAGCCTCTGTCTAAAAAAAAGAAAACGAAAATATAGAGCGAATTGAACCAAATATATCTTGTATGACCTTGAGCAGGTAAGTACAACCCTCGGCCTCAGTTTCATCATCTGGTCCAATGAGGATACTGGAATGCACTTGGTGTCTGATGGCCTTCACACACTTCATGTGTGATCCTATCATCCTTTGCACAGGAATAGCAATACCTGCAAATATTCTTCAACTTTGAGCATTATCCACTATCTTAAAGAACTTTAGGCTGGGCGCGGTGGCTCACGCCTATAATCCCAGCACTTTGGGAGGCCAAGGCAGGCAGATCACGAGGTCAGGAGATCCAGACCATCCTGGATAACACGGTGAAACCCCATCTCTACTAAAGATACAAAAACAAAATTAGCTGGGCGTGGTGGTGGGCGCCTGTAGTCCCAGCTACTCAGGAGGCTGAGGCAGGATAATGGTGTGAACTCGGGAGGCGGAGCTTTCAGTGAGCCAAGATTGCACCACTGCACTCCAGCCTGGGCAACAGAGCAAGACTCCATCTCAAAAAAAAAAAAAAAAGAACTTTAGTTGAAAGTCGATAGACTTTCTGACACCTACTTTCAGCGACAGTATCAACCCCACCTTTGGTAAAGATGAATCCTGTCTTCTTTCTGGGTCCCTCATCTCTTAGAGAAGAATATTCTTCTTATGTGTGGGGCCCTCCACCTCCAAGTAGTTCATAATTTCTACTTCTCCAGGAAGCACCCCTTTCTCTTCCTTCTCCCTTCCTTCTCATAATCAGACAAAACTTCGATTAATAATTCATTCACCCAATGAGCTGTCCACAATTCCTGCCTTCAGCAACAAACCCCACTGCTCACCCCTCCCTAGAGCTGCGAAAGTGCTCGTCCCTAACTCAATCTGTGACAACCATTCAACCACACATGGCCAATTGTGCTTTCATCCACACTACAAGCCAAATTTCAGACTTTCTAACCACTCCTTGGGGTCTGCTCTGTTTTAGAGCTTTACACCAGCCTGCTAGGCTTACAATTTGGCTACCAAGCTTCAGCTCCATCTTCTTTAGTTCAGAACTTTTCAACCTCCCAACAGCTGGTCACCCCACTGCCACTCAACCAGCTTCCAATCACGCAGGGAGTCTGGGATACCCTTTCTTTATTTTTTTTTTTTTAAGATGGAGTCTCGCTGTGTTGCAAGTCTGGAGTGCGGTGGTGCCATCTCAGCTCACTGCAACCTCCGCCTCCCGGGTTCAACTGATTCTCCTGCCTCAGCCTCCCAAGTAGCTGGGACCACAGATACCTGCCACCACACCTGGCTAATTTTTGTATTTTTAGTAGAGACAGGGTTTCGCCATGTTGGCCAGGATGGTCTCGATCTCCTGACCCTGTGATGTGCCTGCCTCGGCCTCCCAGAGTGCTGGGATTACAGGCATGAGCCACTGCGCCTGGCCCCTGGGATAGCCTTTCTAATACCTCCAGATAACTCATCTTCCAACTATAATCCAAAGAGCTCTGGAAAGTGCATCCCTCCATGAAGCCTTCCAGATTGATTGCCAGAAGCTGCTAGCTTACAGAGCTTCCATTTCTACTCTGTGCCTTGCCATAACCCAACTGTCCATGCTCTCTGCCCCAATATACATTTCTTTTTTTTTTTTTTCTTTTTCTTTTGAGACTGAGTTTCGTTCTTGTTGCCCAGGCTGGAGTGCATGATCTCGGCTCACCACAAACTCCGCCTCCTGGGTTCAAGCGATTCTCCTGCCTCAGCCTCCCGAGTAGCTGGGATTACAGGCATGCGCCAACACGCCCAGCTAATTTTGTATTTTTAGTAGGGACGGGGTTTCTCCATGTTGGTCAGGCTGGTCTTGAAATCCCAACCTCAGGTGATCCACCCGCCTCGGCCTCCCAAAGTGCTGGGATTATAGGCATGAGCCGCCGTGCCCGGCCAATATACATTTCTTATTGACATATTTCCCTATCTCCCTGATGGCCACAGCAGCAGCAGCCACAGCTTACATTTATTAAGTGCTCACTATGTGCTAGGTACTGTTGGGAAGTGCTTTGCCCGCATTATTTAACTTCACCCTCATATCAATTCTGTGATGTTCCTTATTATTCGCCTTAGTACCGTTTTGCCTTCCTGAGGAAAACACAAGAGCTTAGTGAAACTGATCTGCCCGAGTGCACACAGAGGTCTGACATCTAGTGCCCCCACCATAACTCCACAACGCAATACTGTCTTGAGTTTCTTAAGAATCTACTGCATGCCAGATGAAAGATAATCTCATATATTTACTTATTTATTTTTATTTTTATTTTGTTTTTTTTTATTTTTTTTGAGGCAGAGTCACACTCTGTCACCCAGGCTGGAGTACAGTGGCGCAATCTCGGCTCACTGCAACCTCTGCCTCCTGATTTCAAGCGATTCTCATGCCTCAGCCTCCCAAGTAGCTGAGATTACAGGCTCGTGCCACCACGCTTGGCTAATTTTTATATTTTTAGTAGAGATGGGGGTTTCGCTATCTTGGCCAGGCTGGTCTCGAACTCCTGACCTCAGGTGATCCACCTGCCTCGACTTCCTAAAGTGCTGGGGTTACAGGCGTGAGCCACTACGCCAGGCCTCATACATTTATATTATGTTTACATTTATTTCTATACCTATAATATCATTTCAGTCTCAAAACAGTCATGTGAGGAGAGTTGGTAGAAGTCTATTCACAGATGAGGAAGGAAACTACAGCTCAGAGAGCATGACCGTTTGGCTAAGGTAGCAAGGCTGGTAAGTAACTGAGCCTGGCTTTCCACACTGCATTCTTTCCATTGCAATTCCTGCCCCCTGCGTGAACACAACCTTTTTACATGTAACAACCAGAGAAGGAGGAAACAAATACAAAATAGCAAAACCTAAGCCACAGGGTTTAGGGAGTGTGGTACAAGGAGTGCTTACAGGGGGCCAGAAAACAAGTCAAAGAAGACTTCTATGAAGGGTGAGATCACTGTGGACTTCTTTATACTGGTTTGTTGTTTATATTCTGCCCATGAGAGTGTGTCTTGGACACATCTGGCAGATTCAATAGCAAAAGGCCACAAAACTGCCCCGTACCGCTGGAGTGCTGGTGGCTAGAATTAGCCCCATGTCAATGAAGAAGGGACTTCTGTGTGCAATGCTGCTGCCGACCAGTTTGGGAAAGTTCTCAACTGGCTGTTTAGCAAACTATCCTGCTCCACCGGCAGTTTTAACACTCCCCTGCAAATACAGGCTGGGCTCATTATTTCTTCTTTTTCAACTGTTGACATCCTCACAGGGTTGGAGAGCCTAGCAAAATTGTGTGGGAGCAGCAAACTTTTAATATTGATTAAGCAGCCTGAACAAGGTGATTGTGAGGCCAATACTTCTGAGTTGTTCTTTGCCAGGTCCAGCCATAGTCAATCAAGTTAATTCTCACTCCCATAGCTCTCTCTTTTCTCATCCCCAGAGAGCTCTAAAATGTCTCTGCTTATCTGAGTGCTTTCTTTATGCATTCAAACATTTATTGGGCACCCACTACAAGCAAAGAACTGGCAGCTTGTGTGGGGTTATCCTGATGGATCCGCACATGAAGTGTGTACTTAGTGCATGGGGTGATTAAATATCAGACCCCCTTCCGTAAGGAAGGAATCTGCCTGAGAACCTCAGAGAGTGCAAGTGGATCCCATCTACGGCGAAATGTAGGTGCTCACGTTGGGAAGTCTGCCCCCCTAGTAGGAGAAGGAGCACTAGGTTGAGAAATGGCCCTGGGTTGGGGAGATGGGCAGTGTCCTGCGGAGGTGGAGAGTGCCCAGAAATAACTGGACACTTAGTAAACAATAGGGAGAATCATCTAATTCAATCCGCAATGGAGCCGGTAGAAGATTTGTGGAATATGCTATCTTATTTTCAATTTAAAAAATATTTTCTGGGCTGGTGACGGTGGCTCATGCCTCTAATCTCAGCAGTTTGGGAGGTCGAGAAGGGCAGATCACCTGAGGTCAGGAGTTTGAGACCAGCCTGACCAACATGGAGAAACCCCGTCTCTACTAAAAATACAAAATTAGCCAGGCGTGGTGGTGTATGCCTATAATCCCAGCTACTGGGGAGGCTGAGGCAGGAGAATCGCTTGAACCTGGGAGGTGGAGGTTGTGATGAGCCGTGATTGTGCCATTGCACTCCAGCGTGGGCAACAAGAGCGAAACTCTGTCACACACACACACACAAAAAAATTCTGATTTCTTTTTTTGTTTTGAGACGGAGTCCCTCTCAGCCACCCGGACTGGAGTGCAGTGGTGCAATCTCTGCTCACAGCAACCATCATCTTCTGGGTTCAAGCGATTCTCTCGTCTCAGCCAACTGAGTAGCTGAGATTACAGGCACCCGCCATCATGCCCGGCTAATTTTTGTATTTTAGTAAAGACAGGGTTTCACCATGTTGGCCAGGCTGGTCTTGAACTCCTGACCTCAGGTGAACTGCCCTCCTCAGCCTCCCAAAGTGCTAGGATTACAGGCGTGAGCCACCGCGCCCGGCCAATTTTCTGATTTCAAAAGTAATACATGTTCATTGTAAAAGAATTTTTTAAATAAAGTACAAAAAATAAAAATACCCATTACGTTCACCAGCATATCATTGTTACCATTTTGATGTATGTGTTTTCTTGTATTTTTCTGTGTACATGTGTCATATATCTTCTTTTTCTGTATTATCTTTTTAACAAAATTTGATCAAACTGCTTTGCAATCTACTTTTCTACTTAATAGGCTAGGAATTTTCCTATGCTATTCTACATTACTTAAAACATGATGGTTTTTTTTTTCTTTTTTAGAGTCAGGGTCTTGTTCTATTTTCCAGGCTGGAGTGCAGTGGCACAGTCATAGTTCACTGCAGCCTTGCACTCCTGGGCTCAAGTGATCCTCCCACATCAGCCTCCCAAAGTGCTAGGATTCCAGGCCTGAGCCACTATGCTCAGTTTTGTTTTTGTTTTTGACTTAAACCAGTTTTGATCAGCTATCTACCACTGGCTAGCAAAGTAAAAAATGCATGATGGGGCCGGGTGCTGTGGCTCACGCCTGTAATCCCAGCACTTTGGGAGGCCGAGGCGGGTGGATCATGAGGTCAGGTGATCGGGACCATCCTGGCTAACAAAAAATTAGCCGGGCATGGTGGCGGGTGCCTGTAGTCACAGCTACTCGGGAGGCTGAGGCAGGAGAATGGCGTGAACCCGGGGGGTGGAGCTTGCAGTGAGCCGAGATCGCACCACTGCACTCCAGCCTGGACGACAGAGCGAGACTCCATCTCAAAAAAAAAAAAAAAAAAAAAAAAAAATGCATGATGGGCTGGGTACGGTGGTTCCCGCCTGTAATCTCAGCACTTCGGGAGGCTGAAGCAGGTGGATCACTTGAGGTCAGGAGTTCGAGACCAGCCTGGCCAACATGGTGAAATACTAAAATACTAAAAATACAAAATTAGCCTGGCATGGTGGCAGCCTGCCTGTGATCCCAGCTACTCAGGAGGCTGAGGCAGGAGAATCGCTTGAACCCAGGAGGTGGAGATTGCAGTAGCAGAGATCGTGCCATTGCACTCCAGCCTGGGTAAAAAGAGCGAAACTCCACCTCAGAAAAAAAAAGCATGGTGCAATAGGAGCTCAGTCCATCCCTTCCAAGCATTCCAAATAGCACACCCGTGACTGCCACCAGTTCAGTTTATCATGAACCCCAAGGGCATTCAGCTTTAAGCAATCTCCAGGGAAATCCCAAGCCATGTGTAGTCTAATGGCCCCCAGGATGCCTGGACTGGCTCAAAAGCCCATCCCATCCTATCCATTGGATGAGAGAGTCAAGAAGGAAGAACAGAGTGGTTTAGAACAAATTGATTCCTGGGCTGCATTCATAGTCCTGTGGACCTACTGAAGACATGAAAGGCTCCATGTTCTTGCCCCTCTTCTACACGAAGGGACTGGTTTGGAACCAACTTAATCTTCTGTAGAAAAGCTAAGAAGATCCATGGATTGGGATGTCTTAGAGCTCGAAGACATCATTCTAGGTTCTGGGGTTTATTTCTAGGCTAATATCTCATAGTGAGGTTTAAGAAAATTACATATCTTTTACTTTTTAACTAATTCCAGACTGATTTGCATGTTTTCACCCTGCCAGGAAGAAGGAAATTAAGATTGGGTGTGGTGGCTCCACCCGTAGTCCCGGCACTTTGGGAGGCCAAGGTGGGAGGATCACTTGAGCTGAGGAGTTTGAGGCTGAGCACCACTACACTCCAGCCTGGGCGACACAGCGAGAGGCTGTCTCTTCAAAAAAGGGAAATTAAAACGCAACTTGACAAAGTTGCAAATCTACTTCTGCATTAGTTTCTCACAATATAATGGTTCAAAATTGGGTGATTTTTCCCCTAACTGATTGGCATGTGTATGTTCAGCAGTAGCCAGAAATTCTATGCAGTGGAAACAGACAAAACCAAGATGGGACTATGCAGAAGAAATCTCTAGTTACCAAGGCACTGCAAAATAAAGTCTACAATTGCACATCACAATCATCACCAAAACAGAGATTTCTAGAGTCCTTCTGTAACTCGCAGAAGACTCCTTCCCTAAGCCAATTTGGCCTGGATTCTTGAAAGTCTCTGGGAAACACGGCAAATTTTATAAACAGGGTTTTTCTGGACTTATATTCTCATATTCACTACATCTAAGAAAAATTTATAAAATATATATTATATATAAAGATATATTAAAATACACACACACACACATTCTGTAGGACTTGATTCTTTGAACACAGACCTTAGAGCTCTGTGCTCTGCACTAGACAGGAGTAAATGCTATACCTCTGCAGAACTAAAACAAGTAAACTTGCCCTTGTCATTGGTTCCTTTTGCAGTGAGGAGGGGAAGTCTTTCTAGTCCTACCTTCCTCCACTGCTCAGACATGTTGCTATTAAAGATAAAAGCAGTAGGCTAGGCATAGTGGCTCACGCCTGTAATCCCAGAATTTTGGGAGGCCGAGGCAGGAGGATCAGCTAAAGCCAGGAGTTTCAGACCAGCCTGGGCAACAAAGCAAGAGCCTGTTTCTATAAAAAACACAAAACTTAGCTGGGCCTGGTGGTGCATGCCTGTAGTCCCAGATACTCAGGAGGCTGAGGCAGGAGGATTGCCTGAGCCCAGGAGGTGGAGGCTGCTGCGAGCTATGATGAGGCCAACTGCACTCTTGTCTGGGTAACAGAGTGGGACCCTGTCTTTAAAAAAACTAATAATAAAAAAAAAAAACACTGGCTTCAAAATTACATGTGGTCAAATTCAGCCCAATTGGGTTCTATCTGAATATGACTTATTTTACACAGCTCTGTTTTCAACTGTGAAACAGAAAATGACAGAGGGAAAGGACTGAGGGAAGGGAAGGGAGGGGAGGGAGGGAAGCAGGGAGAAAGCATATGATACTTCCCATTTAGGAAGTGGAATAGCGGTAGAAGAGGCCCTGATAAAGCCTCAGAATGGAACTAATGAACTTGAAACCGCCAGCATGCACATCGGCATTTTCAGATTTCAGAGAAGATGCACCTGAGGGGAGGAGCCTCTTGTAGGGAAGGGAAAGATGTCAAGCCTTCCTTTGTCCTGTGCACAGGACAGACTCCAAATCCTTCTCTTCGCTCCCATTTGAGATCATGTGAACTTCTGTTTGATTTAAGCATCTGAGTCTTTTTCTTTCATTCATCCCTTGGTGTCTGTGATGGGCAAGGCACTTGTCTGGTTGCTGAGAGCTGTGCAGAGGACAATTAGACATGGTGTCTGACCTTAAGGAGCTAACAATAGTGCAGGGAAAGTGAGACTTGGATAGAGAGAGTCTTTGTCAGGTGGAAAGTGCTGTCTCAGACTGAGAAGCCTTCCATCTAAGAGAGCAGGGAACGTTCTATAGAGGAGGGGGTATTTGAGAGGTCCCTCAAAAGAATGGTAGGATTTCATGGGGAGATGAAAAAGGTATTCTAAGAAGTGAGCTTCCCCTTTTCTTTTCTTAGCTCCCACTGGCAGAAAAGGAGCAGAGTTCCTTCCACCTTGAGCCAGAGATTTTCAGGCAAAGCACCTCACTGCCGGGAGGTGGAGACCTGGAGGGTTAGAAAGAAGGAGAATTGAGAAGGATAAATACTAACATGTTCATAGCCAGGTGAATAGAGGGATGGGTGGGGAGTTGGGTGTTTCAAAATTATATTCATTTTGCTTATTTGTACTTTTTCATTTGGGAAGAGAATGGGGTATGCCTTTCCCCATACTTTTGTAATGGGGAAAAAATAAACACAATTGTAAAATAGCAGCCCTTCCCTGGCAACAAAAAGAAAAAACAAACAGGAAGAAAAGAAAAGCGATTGAGAAGAACCTGCATATCTCTTTGAGACTGAATGTCTCCTCTGTGCTCTGGCAGCCTCAGCGATCACAGGCCTGCAGTGCTGCTTTTGGCCCTGCTTGGAAACCCCCATGTGAGCACCAGCAATTGCAGCTCGGCCTCCAGGGACTGTATCACACCACAATCATTGATTTTCATAATCAATGCCATCATTGACAAGTAGGCAGAGAGATAAATGCTCTAAAATCATCTAGGCCCCTTGGGCCAGATGTTCCCAGCCTTATCAAGAAGAGAAGCTGGCTGGGCGCAGTGGCTCATGCCTGTAATCCCAGCACTTTGGGAGGCCTAGGAAGGCGGATCACCTGAGGTCGGAGTTCGAGACCAGCCTGATCAACGTGGTGAAACCCCATCTCTACTAAAAAATACAAAACTAGCCAGGCATGGTGGCACACGCCTGTAATCCCAGCTACTCGGGAGGCTGAGGCAGGAGAATGGCTTGAACCTCCCAGGAGGCGGAGGTTGCGGTGAGCCGAGATCACTTGCAGTGAGCCGAGATCACGCCATTGCACTCCAGCCTGGGCAACAAGAGTGAGACTCCGTCTAAAAATATATATATAAATAAAGGCCAGGCGCGGTGGCTCACACCTGTAATCCCAGCACTTTGGGAGGCCAAGGCAGGCAGATCACGAGGTCAGGAGATCGAGACCATCCTGGCTAACACGGTAAAAATATTACTATATTATAGTAAATATACTAATTAAATATACAAAAAAAAAATTAGCTGGGTGTGGTGGTGGGTGCCTCTAGTCCCAGCTACTTGGGAGGCTGAGGCAGGAGAATGGCGTGAACCTGGGAGGTGGAGCTTGCAGTGAGCCGAGATCGCACCACTGCACTCCAGCCTGGGCGACGGAGCGAGACTCTGTCTCAAAAAATAATAATAATAATAAAATAAATAAATAATAAAAAATTTTTTAAAAAAGAACTTAGAGCAGGGTCTGGTGGCTCACACCTGTAATCCTAGCACTTTGAAAGGCCAAGGTGGGCAGATCACCTGAGGTCAGGAGTTCAAGACCAGCCTGGGCAACAGGGTGAAACCCCGTCTCTACTAAAAATAGAAAAATTAGCCAGGTATGGTGGCGGGAGCCTATAATCCCAGCTTCTCAGGAGGCTGAGGCAGAAGAATCACTTGAACTTGGGAGACGAAGTTTGCAGTGAGCAGAGATTGTGCCACTGCACTCAATCCTGGGCGACAAAGCAAGGCTCTGACTCAAAAAAAATTAATAAATAAGAAGAGAAGTTACTTTTTGTTTCCTGAAAAGCTTCACTTCCTGACAATGAAGGCCCTGAGGAGCGAGTGGACAGCTGGCAGCTGGCAGTCATCAGTGGGGAAAGGCAGAGGTACCACTGTTGACTCTACTGGGCCTCAGGCCTCGGCCCTCATGGGGAGGGACCCTCTTTCAAACTTTTGGAGGGGTAAGGGAGGGCCAGACAGTGCTGAGACCAAGGCGATAGTGGTGGGCGGGGGGCCTGAAGTTCCATCATCTAATTGGGCTTCTTCACGGGTGCATTGCCCATAAGTGCCATATTGATTCCCTCAGCTCCCAGGGCTGCCAGATAGGGCCGGGGCGGCCAGAGCCTCCCAGCCAGTCTCCTCCTGCAGGAGCACCTTGTCAGTTTACCTCAGATATTTGCTGCTCAAATACCATCTTCTGTGTGTATCACAACATGACACGCCTACGAAGAATGCTGAGCTAGGATTTCTAGATGTACTGTTACATGGTGATTTACTGGTCTGGAATTGCTGCCTTGCAGGAGGTCAGGTGAAAACACTACCAGCAAAACCAAGCATTTATGGAGCCACTCCCTTGTACCAGGTCCTGGGCTGGGATGTCTGACTGCATCAGCTCCACGGTGGTAACTGTGGCTTTAGCCTGCCCAGCATTCAGACCCCCTTGCTTGGTAACAGTGCCTACATCTTAGCTTCTATTGTGGAAACTACCTTTCCCCCACTGCATGCAGGTCTGGTGGGCATGGGGATGGAGGCACCTTGCTCTCCATCCATGAGGAAGGCAGCACATGGTCCAGCCTCATCTAGTCTGACCTCTCTTCCTGGAAGTTGAGTGTCAAGCAGGGAGCCGCAGAACTGAAAACAACCGGAGCTGCTTCATGCAGTCAAGAATCCCCTGAAGAAAGAAGGCAGTTACCTCCCTATTCTTGAGATCTCTTCAGCTGGCCTGGCTCTCATCCTTTCCAAGACCTGGCTGTTTGCTTTGCATTCAGTTATATGAGCTAATTCATATCCTTCTAATAAATGTCTTCCATCCTTCTCCAAAGTTAGCCCTAGAGCATATTGCTGTTGTTTACAATCAGAAAGCCCTAGAGGTGTACTCTCTAATTCTCTTAATAACCTCATTTTTCTGTCATTACTCCTGTTTTAGTACAGGTAGCTGAGCTTCAGAGAAGTTAAAAGATGTGCCCAAGGTGGCACAGCTAATGAGTGTCACAGTCAGAATCTGAACCCAAGTCTGTCTGATGTGGGGTCATGACAAGAGCATGGGTTTTCTTGGGAGAGAAAAATGACTTCAAATCCCCACTTCCCACATAAAAATGCACAATGGGTGTAGCAATGCCGAAGCCACAGAGCTGTTGAGGGTGGATGGAGGTGACGCATAGGAAAGCACATGGCCTAGGGTATGTGCTTAGTAAACAGAAATGCCTGTCCCTAAGAATGAAAATTATTTTATCTGCATAGTAAATTAAAGCAATTGGCACTTTTAGTCCAAAGATTACTGCTTCTGAGTTGATCCAAATACAATCTCTCTATCTCCCTCCCCCTCTATTTTTTTAAAAAGAGAAACAAGGTCTTGCTATGTTGCCCAGGCTGGCATGCAGTGGTACAATAACAGCTCACTGTACCCTTGAACTCCTGGGCTCAAGCAATCTTCTCACCTCAGCCTCCCCAGTAGCTGGAACTATAGGTGTGTGCCACCACACCTAATTTTTAAAGTTTTTGTAGAAACGGGGTCTTACCATGTTGCCCAGGCTGGTATCAAACTCCTGGCCTCAAGGAGTCCACCCACCTCAGCCTCCCAAAGTTCTGGGATTATAGTCATGAGCCATCATGCCCGACCTCTCTCTCTCCCTCTCTTAGACACACACACACACACACACACACACATTTCTTGGTTTCCTGTCTGTGGAAGTCCTACCAGAAAATTCAGATGCCCTTAGGAAAAAGAGCACAGGGTGCGCATAATACAATCGAATTCTCCCATCCAACATGCCTTGGGAGAAGGAATAGAGTAAGAATTTTCATTCCTGTGAAGGATGATGAAAATGAGGCACTAAGACACTAAATATTTATCTCGAGGTTATGTAGCAAACCAAAGGTTCAGGAGAACCCAGGAACTGTATATTAGGCCATTCGATCTGAAAATACCAGAGCCTGGAAGGAAGAGAACAGCTTTTCCAAGTTGTTGGATTTGTTCCTTCTCTTACCTTCTTCCCCTTCCCTGTTTCCCACTTCAAAAGAAAAAGCTCCATCACTTAAACATCTACATTAGGCACATTTCTAAAAAAGCTTCCCCAGAGCTCTGTTCATTACATACCCTTCTTTCCCCTAGGAGTTGTGACCTACTTAAAATATTCTTACAATTCTCTTAATGGGGGAAAAAGTCCCCAAAGATATGTTCCCTATGCTGGAAAAATTAAAGTCCTAAAAATAAGCAGTTAAAGAGAAAGTGTTAGGCCAGGTGCAGTGGCTCATGCCTGTAATCCCAGCAATTTGGGAGGCTGAGGCAGGTGGAGCACGAGGTCAGGAGATCGAGACCATCCTAGCTAACACGGTGAAACCCCATCTCTACTAAAAATACAAAAAATTAGCCAGGCGTGGTGGCGGGTGCCTGTAGCCCCAGCTACTCGGGAGGCTGAGGCAGGAGAATGGCATGAACCCAGAAGCTTGCAGTGAGCCGACATTGCGCTACTGCACTCCAGCCTGGGCGACAGAGTGAGACTCCATCTCAAAAAAAAAAAAGAGAAAGTGTTGCTTGTACTAAGATTTCTGATGCTTTTTCAGAGATAAATTCAAGTTTTCCCAGGCCTGTGATTGTGAAAAGTACAACTAAAAGATGGCCTTGGCATTTATTCAGCAGTCAGTAGATATTCACAAACTACCTGCCGTAAGCAAGGACTTCACCAAAGTTAAATGACAGCAAGAGGAAAGAAAACCCACACAGCTTGGATTTATTCAACATAATTGTGACTCTTGGGATTCTTCTGGTTTCTGGGGCTAATAAAAAACATTCTACTTTGTAATATATCATAATTTCTGAGATTTCTCTTTTCTTCTACATTCATTTCTTCCAATCTCGAAGGTTTTATTTGAGGGTGCTTTGTTATTGAAAAGGCAGTATAATAACAGCAAGAGAATTTTACAAATTTAAGATTTAAGACTCATCTTTTTTTTTTTTTTTTTTTTGAGATGGAGTCTCACTCTGGAGTGCAGTGGTGTGATCTTGGCTCACTGCAACCTCTGCCTTGTGGGTTCAAGTGATTCTCCTGCCTCTGCCTCCCAAGTAGCTGGGATTACAGGTGACTGCCAGCACACTCGGCTAATTTTTGTATTTTTAGTAGAGACGGGGTTTCACCATGCTAGCCAGCTGATCTCGAACTCCTGACCTCAGGTGATCTGCCTGTCATGGCCTCCGACCACGCGCGACCCTAAGACTCATCTCTAATCCATCACTTCAGCACAGCTATGGCACAGGCACACAGATTATTACAGTTATGAACATGATGTGCTTGCTATGTTCTATTCGCTATTGTTCCTTTTATCAAAAGTATTTTCCATGTTTCTTTCTACATGCCTCTTGATTTAGGCTTTGGTTGTGAATGCAAGATATTCCATTGTATAATGTACCAACAAAATTTTAAACTGTCCCTATAATATTAGACATTTCAGTGATTTCTACTTATTTCTATTATAACCAACACAACAGAGGGTATTTTTTATGCATCTGAAATTTAAAAAACCTTTGTTAACTAACTTTATTGGGATAAATTCCTGGGTCTGGTAATTATATGGCTTTTCCTATATAGTGGTAGTAATTTTATGGCTTTTCCCATATATTATCATGTTGCATTCCCCACAAATGTTATCAATTTATAATGCAACCCACAATAAATATGGAATTTTACTGTAACCTCAATAGCATTATGTTGCGGTTTTGAAAAATTATTAACCATTAGCAAGAAGCATAACAGTATAATGGTGTTGTAATTTGCACTTTTGATTGCTATCAACAGTGAACACATATCAATGTTTTGTTCATTGCATTGCCTCATGTAGATGAATTTCTTTTTATGAACTGTGAATTTATCCCTGGAGAGTTGTTTTTTGTCCTCCAGTCAGGTTTATTCAGGTATAATTCACATATCAAAAAGTTATTCTTTTTCGTGTGCAGTTCTATGACTTTTAACAACTATAGACAGGTCACTGAATGGTTCTATGATCCTGAAAAGTCTCCCTCTGTGCCTTTGTAGTCACATTCTCCCTCCAAACAGCCCTTGGCAATCACTCTTCTATTTTCTTTCCCTGTAGTTTCAACTTTTCCAGAGTGTTATATAATTGGAATCATATAGTAGACAGTTATGCACAGAATTGTAATGTTTTAAAACTCTTTAAAATGTTTCTAGGCCGGGTGCGGTGGCTCACGCCTGTAATCCCAGCACTTTGAGAGGCCGAGGCAGGCGGATCACGAGGTCAGGAGATCAAGACCATCCTGGCTAACACAGTGAAACCCCGTCTCTACTAAAAATACAAAAACTTAGCCGGGGGTGGTGGTGGGCGCCTGTAGACCCAGCTACTCGGGAGGCTGAGGCAGGAGAATGGCGTGAACCCGGGAGGCGGAGCTCGCAGTGAACCAAGATTGCTTCACTGCACTCCGGCCTGGGTGACAGAGCCAGACTCTGTCTCAAAAAAAAAAAAAAGTTTCTTTTCTTTCTGCAGTATTCAAAATGCTTTATTAAAGGTTTGGTTCAACATCAAAAGAGCAGTATGTAGTGGGGGGAACAGAAATTGTAACTAATTTACCACTAACTTTCTTGCACCACCACACTCAGGAAAAAAGCCGTATAGAACCTGGCCTTCCAAAGGCCCAAGTCAGTCCTTGAGTCTCTGCCTCTCCCTTGTCCACAATCCCATGCCCATTCTCCTTTTTTGAAATGAATTATTGGTTTAACAGAGGTTAACTTTTTTTTTTTTTTTGAGACGGAGTCTCGCTCTTCTTGCCTAGGCTGGCGTGCAATGGCGCAATCTCGGCTCACTGCAACCTCTACTTCCCAGGTTCAAGTGATTCTCCTGCCTCAGCCTCCTGAGTAGCTGGGATTACAGGTGCCTGATACCATGCCTGGCTAATTTTTTTTATTTTTTTAGTGGAGATGCGGTTTCACAATGTTGGCCAGGCTGGTCTTGAACTCATGACCTTGTGATCCACCCACCTCCGCCTCCCAAAGTGCTGGGATTACAGGCATGAGCCACCGTGCCTGGCCTAACAGAGGTTAACTTTTAATTTGTAATATATAATGCAAATATTTCCCCCACTCTGTTCCTTTTTCATTTGATAGAATTTTTTTTTCTTGAGACAGAGTGTCACTCTGTCACCTGGGCTGGAGTACAGTGGTGTGATCTCAGCTCACTGCAACCTCTGCCTCCCGGGTTCAAGTGATTCTCCTGCCTCTGCCTCCCGAGTAGCTGGGATTACAGGTACCCGCCACCACACCCGGCTAATTTTTTTTTTTTTTTTGAGATGGAGTCTTGCTCTGTCACCCAGGCTGGAGTGCAGTGGCTCGATCTCCGCTCACTGCAAGCTCCGCCTCCCAGGTTCACGCCATTCTCCTGCCTCGGCCTCCCGAGTAGCTGGTACTACAGGTGCCCGCCACCACGCCCGGCTCATTTTTTGTATTTTTAGTAGAGATGAGGTTTCACCATGTTAGCCAGGATGGTCTCGATCTCCTGACCTCGTGATCCACCTGCCTCGGCCTCCCACAGTGCTGGGATTACAGGCATGCCACCGCGCCCGGCCGTATTTTTAATAGAGAAGGGGTTTCACCATGTTGGCCAGGCTGGTCTTGAACTCCTGACCTCGTGATCCGCCTGCCTCGGCCTCCCAAATTGCTGGGATTACAAGCGTGAGCCACTGCGCCCAGCCGATAGAAATTTTAAATTTAAATGAACACAGTTTTCCCCCATGGATTCTTTTAACTTGAAAATTATCCATAGATCTAAAATATATTGAATTCTATTTTTTTGCTAGCTCTTGAAGAATTTGACCTTTTAATATTTCATTTTGATTCAACTCCAATTTCTGTCGGTATTTGCTCAAGGTAACGACTTTAAAAGTTTCTTGACCATGATTCATAATAAGAAATATATTTTGCATCACGATTCAGTGTACACAACAAAAATATACATATACAGGCTGGACATGGTGGCTCACACCTGTAATCCCAGCACTTTGGGAGGCCAAGGCAGGTGGATCACCCGAGGTCAGGAGTTTGAGACCAGCCTGGCCAACATGGTAACCCCATGTCTACTAAAAATACAAAAATTAGCAGGGTATGGTGGTGGGCACCTGTGGTCCCAGCTACTTGGGAGGCTGAGGCAGGAGAATCACTTGAACCTGGGAGGCGGAGGTTGTAGTGAGTCAAGATTGTACCACTGCACTCCAGCCTGGGTGACAAAGACTCTGTCTCAAGAAAAAAATAAAAATAAAAAATATCTATCTATCTATCTATCTATCTATCTACACACACACACACATACACACATACACACACACACACAGTATACAAAACTGAAACACAAATCTCAGGACACAAATCTTCCCTTCACTACACGTATACACTCTGGTATTTTCTATTCTTTCTTTTTAAAATGGCCCACCTGGCCAGGCACAGTGGCTCACGCCTATAATACCAGTACTTTGGGAGGCCGAGGAGGGTGGATCACTTGAGCCCAGGAGTTGGAGGCCAGCCTGGAGAACATGGCGAAACCCTGTCTGTACAAAAAAATACAAAAATTAGCTAGGCATGGTGATGCATGCCTGTAGTTCCAGCTACTCAGGAGGATGAGGTGGGAGCATCGCTTGAGTTGGGAGTTCAAGGCTGCAGTGAGCTGAGATCACAACACTACTGCACTCCAGCTTGGGTGACAGAGGGAGACCCTGTCTCAAAAAAAAAAGGACCCACCCAAGATCAATATTCCATTATTCCCCAGACAAACTCCATAGACATTAATGGTTGTATTATTGTGTATTCTGCCACATCAATGAAAAGTTCTGAAGTGATTACAGTTATCCATGGCAAATCATTGGATATGGTGGGGAAAGTGGAAATATCTATTATGTCGGTTGGAAATAAGAAAGACCTGCATATGAAAAGGGTGATCAGATCGAGCGCAGTGTCTCACGCCGGTAATCCCGGCACTTTGGGAGGCCAAGGCAGGCAGATCACCTGAGGTCAGGAGGTCGAGACCAGCCTGGCCAACGTGGCGAAACCCTGTCTCTACTAAAAATACAAAAATTAGCTGGGCATGGTGGCACACGCCTGTAATCCCAGCTACTCAGGAGGTTGAGGCAGGAGAATTGCCTGAGCCTGGGAGGCGGAGGTTGCAGTGAGCTGAGATCGCGCCATTGCACTCCAGCCTGGATGACAGAGCAAGACTCTGTCTCAAAAATTAAAAAAAAAGAAAAAGAAAAAAAGGGTGATCAGGGAAGCTTTGGCAGAATCTTGGAATGCGGCTTTTTTGGAATTTTCTACTAGAGAAAATGAGAATGCTGCTGATTTTTTTTTTTTTTTTTTTTTTTTTGAGATGGAGTCTTGCTGTCGCCCAGGCTGGAGTGCAGTGGCGCGATCTCGGCTCACTGCAGGCTCCGCCCCCCGGGGTTCACGCCATTCTCCTGCCTCAGCCTCCCGAGTAGGTGGGACTACAGGTGCCCGCCACCTCGCCCAGCTAATTTTTTTGTATTTTTAGTAAAGACGGGGTTTCACTGTGTCAGCCAGGATGGTCTCGATCTCCTGACCTCGTGATCTGCCCGTCTAGGCCTCCCAAAGTGCTGGGATTACAGGTGTGAGCCACCGCGCCCGGCCAGCTGCTGATGTTTTTAAGAGGACAATTTTAGAGGCAGATAAAATTGACAGGGCAGCTTCCCAATGAAAATCTTCGTGCTCAGTGATATGATTCTACTGCAAAACCTGAGGACACTGGGAATATCTTCCACCTGAAGAAACAAACTCCCATCATCCTTTAAGATAAACTACACTTCTTTTTCCTTCTCTTAACCTGAAAGATATATTTTGGGTCAGAGATCCTCTCCCTTCAGATTATGTTAAATTCTGACTGTCCAAACGAGTGCACTTCCATTTTCAAATTTTAAGCAATCATATTTTCAATTTATATATGGTATTTCTTAATATTATGACCAAGAGTTTTATCGGCATTAATTTTTCAGTGTAGTTTGTTGTTTAAAATAATGTAATCATCAAAATATATTGTTACACTACTATTAACCAGGCTTCAATATATCAGTGTTTATTTCATGGTGCTAAATGTATACTTTCAAATAAAATGGCTGTAAACCTTTAAAAAGTAAAAAAAAAAAAAAAAAAATAGGCTGGGTGCAGTGGCTCACACCTGTAATCCCAGCACTTTGGGAGGCTGAGGCAGGCAGATCACTTGAGGCAGGAGTTCGACACCAGCCTGGCCAACATGGTAACCCCATCTCTATTAAAAATACAAAAATTAGCCGGGTATGGTGGTGGGCACCTGTGGTCCCAGCTACTTGGGAGGCTGAGGCACAAGAATCACTTGAACCTGGGAAGCGGAGGCTGCAGTGAGCCAAGATCTCATCACTGAACTCCAGCCTGGGTGACAGGGTGAGACCCTGTCTCAAATAAATAAATAAATAAATAAATAAATAAATAAATAAATAAATAAATAAATAAAATGGCCCACCAAGTTGATTTCATGACTCACTGATGAGTCACAATCCACAGTTTAAAAAAGTGTGAAAAGGGAATTTATTAAAGCCACACAATGTCTCCACTAGTCCCACTCTGAGTTTAGGTAGCACCCTAAAGATGAACTGATATACATGGGTTAAGCTGGATCAACTGGACATTTTCCCCCAGTGGCCTGTGCCATAAATTGCCCTTTTCAGAGAATAGATATTGGTGGTCGTGGCAGGGAGGGGTAATAGAAATGAGATATGGTTTTGGTATTCCTGGATTAGCCATCTACTGGGCTGGCAGCCCTCACATGGCTGGCCTGCCCTGTCTCGTGAGATGGATCAGCCTTGAGGTGACCTGTCAGGAAAGGACATTTGGGCTGGAAGTAGCAGAAGCCTCTGTGAGCCATCCTTCATGCAGAACTAGTCAGGAGCAGCTCCCGCTCAGCCAAGAGAGTGAAGCATGCCCATCGCCCAGCTCAGCCAGGTAAGTACTAGGGAAACCTGTGGGAGGCCCAGGTGAAATGAAGGCATTGTCTCAAGAGGTCAGGCTGACTCCAGGAAGGAACAAAATGATGCATGCATGGCTATGCACAGACTAGAAAAGCAAAGACTAAAGGGAAGGATGGAAGTTGTTCTAACTGTTTTGGGTTGCTTGGAGGGAGTGGGGCATGGGAGAGGGAGGGAGTGTGTAGTCAGTGCGTGGGAATGCAGAAAGGAGCATGCAGAGACAAGCAATCTGGTAGGCCATGTGGGAGACTGTGGCCATTCTATGGTAGGGAGACCCTTCCTGGCCACTCCCTCAGTGGCCCTGGCACATTAAGCTTTGTTGTCCACATTGGGTGGGTTGTGTATGCTTTAAACAACATCTTAATCCCCTTGCCTATTTATGAGGTGTATGACTGAGCCGTGCCCAAGAGTTTCAGAAGATATGGTACCATCATTTATACCTATCTCGCAGGAGATCTTAACCCCTTCTCTACTTAACCCAAATGAAAGCGAGGTCATTAGGAAGCTGTGCCTGGTGAAGTTCTGGCACCAGGTGGGTAGATCACATTTTCTAGTTTATGTAAAATTTTAACATTTCAGACCCCCAGTTTTAAGACCTTATCTAATTTCCTTGAGCCCCTTAGTCATTGTGAACTCGCTGTGGAGTGTCTGCCTCCACCTGCCTTGGTGTTTATGAACATTCATGGTAACTTTAGAAGGCAAGGGTTAGAGGAAACTTTTTGCCGCCCACCCCCAGTCTGCAACAGTACCTGTGGGGAAGATTTTACCCTGGGACTCCAATTTTCAGGGAGAGGAAGTTTCTAGGATTTCCCATAGGCTTACGAGGGACTCGCCATGTGGAAGGATTTTAGGCCTGAGAAGGATAATAACACTTTATAATTTCTAGGTGATCTTATTTGTTGCCTCTTCCTTCTCCAGAGTGACTACTGCATTCCGACCTGCACCCCCACCCTTTTTTTTTTCTTTTGAGACAGAGTCTTACTCTGTCACCCAGGCTGGAGTGCAGTGGTGTGATCTTGGCTCACTGCAACCTCCACCTCCCTGGCTCAAGCTATTCTCATGCCTCAGCCTCCCGAGTAGCTGGGACTACAGGCATGCACCACCACACCTGGTTAATTTTTGTATTTTTAGTAGAGACTGAGTTTCACTATGTTGGCCAGGCTGGTCTCCAACTCCTGGCCCCAAGTGATCTGCCTACCTCGGGCTCCCAAAGTGCTGGGATTACAGGCCTGAGCCTCTGCGCCCAGCCCCCTCTTCTGCTTTCTAAGTGTCCATTCTCCTTGTAGTGAGTGGGTGGTGGGGGGATATACACATGTGACTCTGGTTAGTACATAGGCAGCCATGAAGTCCACAAATGTACAGGGAGCCACAGCTTTCATGCTACAGACTTGCAAAGGTATGCATCTGCTTTCCCCTTGCCCTGGAATATAGATCAGAACACTTCATTTAGTGAAGGGACCTGTTCCGAGAGTGATGATCCCTCCCTCGTTTGAGACACTGCCTTCATCCTGAGCTTCTTGGAGCAGCCCAAGGCCCTGCCAGCTCTCTTTGCCTGTAGCTTGTAGGCATTTATGACAGTTGCATACCCTGCCCTCCAACGGCAGCCTGAGAGACTGAACTATTACCAAGTTCACCTGGAAAAATGTCACCCTGATTGATTAGAATGGTGGGTGGCCATCTTAGCTCATTAGAATCACCTGGGAAGTTAAAAAAAAAAAATCCAGTATGCACTCCAAATTTTCCCACCACCACTCCTCCCCACAAAAAGAAAATTTAAAAAATCCCAGTGTTTGGGCCATATCCCAGACCAATTAAGTCAGAATCTCCAGGGATTGGACCCAGGTAGCAGGATTTCTAAAAATCTCCCCAGCAGCCAGGCCTGAGAGCTAATGAATAGCACCACAGGGCCCAGCCTTTCAGCCTACAGCTTGTCTCGGTTTCACCCTTTTTTCATTTCTTTACAATGAAAATTCTAAATAGTTGATCACAGTGCCAGACCAATAAGAAAGCATTTTAGGGAGGAGAGAGGAGGGAAGGGGTTGGCAGGCACGGAGAGGACTTGACACACAGAAAGCATTTTGCTATGGAGTCATAACCATTTGATTCTAAGACACATGCAGCCTCCAGAAGTCATGCGGCCCCGCCCTCTGCTTCCAGGAGGGAATGAACTTGGCCGTCCTTTTGTTGCACACGCCCGGGAGCTGCGCCGGCGCAGCGCGCCCTGCAGCCTGGGAGCGCAAGCGTGTGCGCCACTGGTCCTGGGCCACCACCGCGCGCCGCGGGCGGGTGCAGGGCCCCTCTGCCGCAGGGAAACCGGCGTTCCCCGCGCAAAGCAGCCGCTGCTCCTAATGAGCTCATGGGTTCACCGCGCTGAGCTAGCCAGAGCGGACCCGGCTTCGCCAAGGGCCTGCTGGCTGTCCTGACACCTGGCCTACCTCGGGGGTGCCTGGGTACGCTCTTCCTTTGCCTGCGGGATAGAAGCACAATGAAAATGGGGTGGACGTGGCTGGGAGACAGCCCTGCTCTCTGGCAGGCTCTGGGGAGTGTGTGGTACGTGGCATCCGCACTGGTGGGTGTCGTGCGATGATCGAGACACGGATACTGGGTGTCTTTCCCACTAGGGGAGAGAGGGCTGCGTTTAGAGGGAAACGAAATAGATCCGAGAAACACAAAGATGTCACAAAGGAAACGCTTCCCCACCATAAGCAATCTAAATAAATGATTCTTAGAAGACATCCAGCAAAACACATAACCTTGTCATTTAGATTCGCTCGCCCACAGGGGGACTGGAGGGTACTCACCGACTAGGGCTTCACAGCCGCATCACCGCCGGCGGTGGGCGCCTGCCTCGGCAGGGGCAGGGTGGGTGCCCGCAGGGCACAGGTGCCGCCGTGGCTGCTCGCACAACCCCTGCAGCTGCGATCCCGCCCAGTTAGCCTCGGGGGCTGCACAGCCCAGCCCCCTCGCCCAGGGCCCAGGGGTTCTCAGGCCGCGCGGCGAGGACGGAGGGCTGCCCCGGGTGCCTGCCTACGCGGGCGCTCCCCGCCGGGACTCCGCCGGGGCTGCAGGAGCGCGCGCTGCTGGCTGGGCGGGCTGCGGCTCCGCGCGAGCGCCGTGGCAACGCGAGCGGGCGCCCCCAGGAGGCCGCGGAGCTGCGGCGTGGGACGCTTGGGTGAGGCTCAAGCCAAAACCAAACCCAAACCATTTCTCCTCCTCCCCATCTTTTCATTTTCTCCCCTTCTTTTCATTTTCTCCCCTTCTCCAACCCCTTCCTCGACACACGTTACTAGCACCTCGAAGGTTGGAAATTCCAGCACTCTCCTGAGGCCTCTTCCCCAGCGAATCCTGCTAACCACGCAGTCGGTGTTCGCTGTGTGTTCGAGCACACACCTCCTTGCAGTGGCTTCAGCACCCAGGTCTCCGGGAGCCAGTGAAGGAACCAAGTGTTGGATACTGAGCAAGTCGCGTAACATCTGAGTAGTCGTGAAATTGAAATTTCAACGGTATAAAGGACACGACGTTGTCTTACAGATTGAAAAATGCTATAAAATGAAGTTCTTACTGTTACTATGATGATGACCCTGGAGATCAGCGCAGAGCCCTGGGGGAGGGCTACAGTTGCAAGCGCTCCAAGGATCAGATCGCGCACTCCTCCCCACCGGAGAAAACCTCTTGATGCCGGAGCCCGGGCAGCCTCTTCCACACTTCCAGCCAGCCCCTTCCACACTTCCAGCCAGCCCCGGCATTGCCACAGCCCGTGGAGCTGGACAGAAATCCACCAGGCACTAAAATAAGTTAGATGGAAGACGGGATGGATTTGACCAAATTCCTATCAGCATCTGCTCAGTATAATTGCAACATTATAATCAGAGCAGAAAGAAGCCCAGAGATTATTTTGTCTTCAAGGATCATTGGCCTCAGTATTATCTCCATCTGAAGCTGTGTTGTCCAAAGCAGATTGACTCCAGCCGGCCAGCTCAGAAGAGGGCCGACTCTGGGCTGGCGACTCCTTGAGAAGGGCTCTCTCTGGTCCCAGGTGGTATTTACTTAACCGTATCATCATCTGCTTCATTCGTGTTCCCTTCATGTCCATCATGTGAGGACGGGAACTGACAGGGCCAGGGTGTCGGCTCAGAGGCAATCTCTGCTCATCCTCTAGAGCCCCACTTCATCACCCAGCCACTCTGTCCACTGTCTCCCCACCTACAAACCTGCAGGTGTTCTGCCCCAGTACTAGAATAAGGGAACACATTTTTACTGAGCTCTGACAATGTGACTGGGCTTTTCAGGAGCTATTTCATTTAATTTTTAATGTAAAACATTGTTTTACATATTAAGAACCTAAAAGCACAAACAGTAAGTAACTTGCTTGTGGAAGCTTATGCAGCGAGATAAGTGGTAAAGCTGCAATTCCCAGTTTTGTTTGATGCCACAGCTGAAGGTGCAAGGCCATCTGGGCACGGCCTGAGTGGATATTAGGGAAAAATGCCCTAAAAGGTCCAGAATCTCTAATAATTTCTCCTACTTCTCATTTTATTTTATTTTTGACGCTGGAGTTTTTTTTTTTTTTTTGAGTCAGGATCTTGCTCTATTGCCCAGGCTGGAGGGCAGTGGTGCAATTTCAGCTCACTGCAACCTCTGCCTCCCAAGTTCAAGCGATTCTCCTGCCTCAGCCTCCTGCATAGCTGGGACTACAGGCATGCACCACCATACCCAGCTAATTTTTGTGGAGATGGGGTTTTGCCACATGGCCCAGGCTGGTCTCAAACTCCTGAGCTCAAGCGATCTGCCCTCATCAGCCTCCCAAAGTGCTGGGATAACAGGCATGAGCCACTGCACTAGGCGAAAACGTTTATTTTAGAAAAACTGAAAAATATAGAAACATAAAGGAAGAAAAGCATTCATAATCTCATCACCTAGAGAAAGCCATTAGTAATATTCATATTTCTTTCCAGTCTTTTTTCTAGCTTTCTAGCTTTAAACTAAGTTGAGATAAAACCACACACACACACACACAGACACACAAGTGCATCCTGCTTTTTGTTAAAAATAACTTTGTGGGAAATTCTTCCTCCTTTGAGGATTTTTAAAAAACATTAATTTAAATGTCATACAATATTTTTATCATATGAATATCTCATAATTTCCCTTTTATTGAATATTTCCAACTTTTATTGATTGTAAATAATGGCAATAAAATTTTTTCTTCATAAATCTTGCTCCTATGTGTGAATAATTTCCTTCCAGGTGAGTCCCAGAAGTGGAATATTGAGTCCAAGGGTATTAACATTTTAAAGACTTTCCAATCCTCTCCAATGGGGATATCCAACTCACCCAGCCCCGTTCCCCACAGGACCTGCACGGTCCCACTCCACTGCCCTCCACACATCTGTTGTGCCCTCACCTGGTATATAGCATTTAAATTATTTAGCTCACAAACTCTTTGGGAAACTAGGGTTAGTTCTTTGTAGCTTTTTGGTTGATTATTTTGATTTACTCAGAAAAACGCAGTATCTCCTTTACTATTTTAAAATCCTCAATAAGTAAGAATAGGGAGAGAAAATAAGAGAAAGGGGTGAGCTTTCCAAGGCCCTGGGTTAAGCCAGGGATGCCGGAGCTTGGAGCTCACTTGATACTGACCCTGCTGATGGCCTCAGCCTCAGTCCTGCTATAGAAAAGCTGCCCTGTCCCTCTGATCCTCACGTTTTAATCTCAGCATTTACTGCTGATGGGATGATTGGGTAAATTGAAAAACTTGTCAGAGAGGGTTAGGCTTTGATGGGTGGGGTAGGGGAGACCTCTCAGGAAAAGCAACTAGAGTAATAGAACTGTCAAAGGTTGGCAATAAGGCTGTGTGATCTCGCTGATGGTTCTCCAAGATGAAATGAAACCTAATGCTGCTTTCTTCTTCCTTGAGAGAAGATAGCAAAGAGGGCAGAAGGTGAGGGCTGGGGGCTCAATGTCAACTCTAGAATCTCTTTAAACCTTTTCAGCGTTTGTTTTTTTCCCCACTGAGAAAGTTAAGTGTGATGGGAGGGAATCTAGTCCTTTTGACTATTTTAAAATGTACCTTCTAAAATCAGATCAGGCCAAAAGGTTTTTTACTCTTGAATAAATTTAGGGCTAAAGGCTGTTGGAAAATTAATAGGAGTGGATTCAACGTGGCAATAGATCTTTTATAAATTCTCTTATTGAGTGAATTTCTGAATACTGAAAACAGTGTTTAGCACCTATTGCATTAAAGTGAGTATAAGACTAATACTTTGTATTAGTGACTTTGGCTGGGTGCGGTGGCTCATGCCTGTAATCCTAGCACTTTGGGAGGCCGAGGCGGGTGGATCACGAGGTCAAGAGATCAAGACCATCCTGGCCAACATGGTGAAACCCCATCTCTACTAAAAATACAAAAATTAGCCAGGTGCGGTGGCGTGTGCCTGTAGTTCCAGCTACCCGGGAGGCTGAGACAGGAGAATTGCTTGAACCTGGGAGGAGGAGGCTGCAGTGAGCTGAGATCACACCACTGCATCCCAGCCTAGGCGACACAGTGAGACTCTGTCTCAGAAAAAAAAAAAAGACTAATATTTCATCAAGCAGTTTTAGATAACGTACTGAATTTAGGAACAAATTTACTGCAATTAAATTGACAAAATACCTGTAAATTTTGCAGCTTTTCTCCCCCACAGACTAGCACTATGCAAAAATTGAATGTTTAATTATGAATGAAGGTATCTACCATGTTGTTCACAGAGTTTAATTACCTGAAGACAATGCCTGAGGTTTAAAGTTAAAATACATATATTTGAACATAGAACATTTACTTGACCACTTTATACCATGAGTGAAAGGGGTCAGTCTATGCTTTTTTCCCCTTCCCTGTCTTTTACCAGCTGGCCATTTTATTTGCATAAGGTACACTGAAATTCCTAGAGACCTACGAGGTCATTCTCTGCTCCCTTGCTTTCCTCAGATGAGGAAACAGAGCTCTACAGAGGTTAACTGTCTAGTTCAAGGTCACTCTGCATCTCATTAGTAATCTTGAAGTCTGAAGGCAGGCTGCCTACATTTGTAAATGACAGAAAGCTACCATAGCTAGCTAATCAAAAATAGATGAAAATTTAGTTATAATCTATAGTTGACAGGATAAACATTAAGAATGAGCTTGTAATCCCAGCTACTCCGGAGGCTGAGGCAGAAGGATCCCTTAAGATTAGCAGTTTGATCAGCCTGGGTGACATAGCGAGAACCTGTTATTTTATTTTACTTTTTTAAAGAGTCAGGGTCTCATTCTGTCATCCAGGCTGGAGTGGAGTGCAGTGGTGCAATCATAGCTCTGCAGCCTTGAACTCCTGGCTCAAGGGATCCTCTCACCTCAGCCTCCCGAGTAGCTAGGATTACAGGTGTGCACTAGGACTCCCAGCTCAAGACCCTGTCTCTAGGAAAAAAAAATAGAAATTAGCCAGGTGTGGTGGTGCACAAGAGTGGACCCCTTAAGCCTAGGAGTTTGAGGCTACATTGAGCTATGATTGCATCACTGCACTCCAGCCTGGGCAATGGAGTGGGAGCCTGTCTCTAAAAGAGAAAGAAAGGTCTTCCTAGAGTTTTTGATAGACTAAAACCACTAAGTTCAGATTTAGCATGAATAAATATAATGGCCTGCACTTTTGGTTGAAAATATATATTGCACAGTAGAGGCCTGACTTGTGCATGTGAAACAGAAGATAGGGAGTTAAGTCAACCAACAGGTTCAGTAAGAGCCCCACGTGGGAAGCAGCTGGTGAAACAGCTAATGAAACCTCAGAGCTATATTAGTAGACAGAGAGTAACCTGATGTTTCACGGAGTAACTGGCCCAGGAATCTTGGTGCTGGCCAGGTCATATTTATACCACTCTGTAGCACAAGGTTCCAGGAGGGACCTTGATAAACTAGAGTTCATCCACCAGAGGAGGAGGCTGCAGGCCTTGGGCACTGCTCAGCAGGATGAGGGGCCACTGCAGTTGAGCATGTCTAGCCTGGAGTCTTCTGAAGAACATGATTATTGACTTTATGTATAGGAATGGCTGCCAATGAAGAAGAGGTACGTGGCTTGTTCTATGTCACTCCGCAGGGCAGAAGGAGGATCATTAGGGATAAGGATGAATGGGAGATAGATTTCTGTTCAAAGAATTTTCCAAAATTGCGGACTCACCACAGAATGGTCTGGAAGTCTGCTTAGGGAAATGCTGGGATCCAAGCATCTGAGAGCTTATAGGATATCTACTTTGGGACAGGAGTTGACTCCATGACTTCCAAGTTCCCTTTAACTCAAAGATTCTGTGAGTCTTCATCATGGATCTTTCTTTCTTTATTCCTTCCTTCCTTTCTTTTTCTTTTCTTTCTTTCTTTTTTCTTTCTTCTTTCTTTTTCTTTCTTTCTTCTTTCTCTCTTCTTTCTTCTTTCTTTTTTCTTCTTTTTTTCTCATTTTTCTTCTGTCTCTTTTCTTTCTTTTTTCTTTCTCTCTTCTTTCTCTCTTTCTTTCTTTCACAAAGTCTCACTCTGTTGCCCAGACTGGAGTGCAGTGGTATAATCACAGCTCATTGCAGCCTAGAGCTCTCACCTCAGCTCCCTGGGTAGCTGGGACTACAGGCACATGACGCCACACCTGGCTAATGTGTGGTGTGTGTGTGTGTGTGTGTGTGTGTGTATTTTGTAGAGACAGAGTCTCACAATATTGCCCAGGCTGCTCTCGAACTCCTGGGCTCAAGCAAACCACCCACCTTGGCCTCCCAAAGTGCTGGGATTCCAGGTGTGAGCCACCATGCCCAGTCAGGTTATTTTTCTTGTACTGCTAGTTCATGCCAGTAGAAAAGGTTTTAGTGCTTTTGACCTTCTGATTCCCAAAACGATTCAAATGATTTGTCATTAGAATATGTATCTTAAAAAAGAAACAAATAAAACTCGTAATAAAAAATTGAATCCAGGCCAGACACAGTGGCTCACACCTGTAATCCCAGCACTTTGTGAGGCCGAGGCAGATAGATTGCTTGAGCCCAGGAGTTCAAGACCAATCTGGCAACATGGCAAAACCCCGTCTCTACCAAAAAATTAGCCAGTCTCATAACCAGATCTCAAAAGTAAATAAATAATTGAATCCAGAAGGACTCCTGAGAAAAAGTGAGTTGCTTCAGAATTTGGGCACTGAATTTAAATATAAGCTTTGCTCAAAGTCTGGGCAAAGAGAGAAATGTGTGAAGTTATAGATTCTTACTGTTCAAGAAGAAGAAGATTATACTTTCATCTGTATCAGTATTGACCTTGTCTTCCCAAAGGGATTATAAGATCCTTAACAGCAGGGAACAAATCTTTTACTTCATTTTAACTCCTATCATCATTAGACTATTTTATGCAGATAGGTGCTCAGTGTGTCTTGAATAATTTGACTTTCTTAAAGATGAAATAGGAAAATATTTTTGCTTTATTTTTTTCCTGGAGTCTGATAGAAAGATTAATGGGAGATGGATTTCTTCCAGCCTGCTGAAGCCGGAAGTCACAGTTCTGAAACTACATTATATTATTCCAATGAGGTAGCCTAAACTTGGCCTATAGAAAGCCCCAGGCTGCCATAATTGCATCTACTGGTACCTCTTCCTCTTTGCAGAACAGGTTTCTGTCTTAAATGCATTTGTGTTGCATTTTTTTTTTTTTTGAGATGGAGTTTGGCTCTTGCAGCCAGGCTGGAGTGCAATGGCGCCATCTTGGCTCACTGCAACCTCTGCCTCCCAGGTTCCATTGATTCTTCTGCCTCAGCCTCCCAAGTAGCTGGAACTAGAGGTGGGTGCCACCACGCCCAGCTAATTTTTGTATTTTTAGTAGAGACGGGGTTTCACCATGTTGGCCAGGCTGGTCTCAAACTCCCGACCTCAGGTGATCCACCCACCTCGGCCTCCCAAAGTGCTGGAATTATAGGCATGAGCCACGGCACCCAGCTGTGTTGCATATTATTGCCACTCTAGCACCCTGACTTTCCACTGCAGCTCTTCATTGTACTCAGTAGTAGCAATAACCAACATTAGTATTTTACTTAGAACATTAAGCACTGTTCTAGGTGATTTATATATATTTACTCATTTCATCCTACCAACTCCAGAGTTTATGGTCCTCACCCACTACCCCCTCTGTCTCTCAGTAAGCTGTCTACCTTCAATGTGTAGTTAATCAAGTCACCAACGGACCAAAATCTGAAGTGAATTCCATCTTCCTAGTAGCAAGACACCAGGTGGTAATGGGTTTCCTCTGCCTCTCCTCTTTCCATCACCCGCTCTGTTCCCTGGATACCAGCTAAAAACTACCCTGCTGTATTTCCTGCCCCCAGCGTGGCTTCCTGGGCTTGGCCACCCTCCAGCTCTGCTACCAGGTCTGCTTGGCTCAGGGGTTTGGAATGAAAGACACAAGACTGAGCTCCTCCGAGTGACTCACATCTATCTGGAGTGGTAATAGCCTGTTTTTGTGCCACTTAGCAATTCATCCTCCCCAAACCCATCCCTTCTTCATTTTCCTAAAAATGCCAGATGGTATATGTTTATTTTTAAATCGGTGTGAAGTTTGATACATTTAGCATTGAGAATGTATCAACAACACTTCCTGTCCCTTTACCCCACCCCAGGGATACTTAGAACTACCACCACGATATTGCAAAACCAGGGGGCCTGAGTTGCTGCTGGAGGGCATGGTGTTGCAGAAATCACTGCTGTCCTGCGAGCTGCAGGTAGATGCCCAATAGGAGTTTTCTGATGATGACATCTCACCTTGGGTGGAGATAGGGCTAAGACCAAACCCTGCCTATGGCTTTGTCCAGGCCGTAGAACGGGGACAGGTCTGTGCTTGGCATCCCTTGCTGCTGTTTCTGTTAGACACAGCTAAGCCCAAGGGTAGGAAGAAGCAGAGGATGTGCCCACGGGAACCTCGTCCTCTTTTCTGTGGTTTCCACACAGCCAGGAGTCAGTCCCTTTCCTTCATTCTAACCAGCAGAGTCACTGGCACCAAAGACATTGTCTCAGTGGCATAAATCCCTATACCAGTGAGGGTTCTTTACTGTAGGAGGCCCCTTGGGGCTGAAGAATTGGGAGAGGCTCCTTGGCTTGAAGCCGAGTAAGTAACTGAGTAAGTGAGTAAGAAAGTGAGTAAGTCATTACTCTCCTCCACCTGGACATAATGAGCCCGCATGCCTGGAAACAGCCAGCGCTCCTCCCTGGACTTAGCCCAATCTGCCGAGACAAAAGCCAGATGGAGGCCACACTTAGATCACACAGAGAGCATTCAGATCATTCACTTCTGATCTGGCCCTGGTACAGGATGGCAGGAAGAGTAAGGATAAGTGAACACCAGAGGTATTTCAAAAATGTCTTTAGACCTAGAAGAAGAAGGCCTGCATTTCATTTCCAGCAGTATCATTTATTAATTGCATGACGTTGAGCAAATTAATAGACTTCTCTAAAGCACATATTTCCTTATCTGTCAAATGGGAATAGTAATATCCGTTTTCCCCCATTTTATGGGGGCATGTGTGAGGATTACATGGCAATGCATATGACAACACTCTGTAAACTCTTGATCATACTATGAGAATGTAAAGGATTATTAGAAATTTCTATTTATTTTAGTAAAAAAAAAAGAATAGTTTCATCAGTTTGTTCCTCTACTCAATTTTTGACCAGAACAGTTTGTAAATAGTAAGACGGAGAGCTTTGATTTTTTTTTTCTCACCTTCCATCTCACGTTCTGTCCCAGGCAGGCAGGGGGCTGTGGTTGGGAGGTGCAGTGCAAATTTGCAGGTAATGTGTGTGAGGTATGGAAGAGGCAAGCACCTGCACGCTCATCACAATCAAGGAACAGAACCAGACAGAATTTAAGGCTGGCTGAAGGAGACCAATGTGGTCACCATAGTGGATGGCCCCAGGCAGAGCTGACCAGCAGGCAATCGAGTCAGCTTGAAGCAAAAGGTGATCTCAAGCAAAGCTGGAGGCCGAGACAGATCTAACAGATGCCAAGGATGCTAGGCTTTGACAGGGTCCCCCTAGAGACTGGGCTTCCTATCCTGGGCTGCTCAGAAATTTCTAGTGACCCCCAATCTAGCCTTGGACTGGCTGGAGGAACTGAAAGTTTCCAGGAGGGAGGATTCCTGCTTGTCCACCCCACAGCCTTCAGTATCACTGTCCACATGGAAAGCTATGTCCCGTGGCAGACTTGGGAATCGCTCCAGTCTCCACATCCCCCAAGGACTTTCTGATTCAGATTCCCAAGCAGACAATTTTGGCTTACAGAGGGAAAGACTACATTTGGGTATCAGAAACTTCATACTTGGTGAATGCTGTCTGCTTACTGAGTCTGGGACAAGAATTCCAGCAGTGAGCATGCTGCTGTTACCCAAGCCAACCTCTAGAGAGATGTTTCAGGGAAAAAAACAAAACAAAACAGGGAGCTCAAAAGAGAACAGTGCAGACAGTTCAAATCATTCCCAAACTGGCCAGTCAATCCTTGTAGTTCAGCATAATGGGTAGCTAAGGTCAGAGCTTAGGGTCTTGGGTCCTAGATTAATATTCACCCACTCCTAGAGGTAATTTTGTAGGCCAAGAAAAGCAAAAACCAAACCAAACCAGCAAAAATGGGCCCCTGAAATGATTTTCCAGAGTGGATTATCAAGAAGGCTTAGTGCTTGGAGTAAAGAACTCAATAAATAAAGACTTCCAGTCATCCTGAGATACCCAAATAAGAACACAAACTCTTAATTGGTTACTATTTGGTTTAAGGCAGGGGTTGCACATTGACCATGTGCTGTGTGCGGTTAGTAACGGTGTTTTGTTTGATCATCTCATTATGTCTGTGCCATGTTTGAAGGGCAATGTCACAGAAACTGGGGGTGACGGGTTAGAACACTCTGGACACTTAAAAGGCCTTAAAAGAAGGCTGGAGAGGGGCCTCTGGTCAGGCACACCAGAGTATCTGATGAGAACACCAAGTCTGTAATCTCATGCCCACAGAAAGCTAACCCTAAATGCCAGTACCAGATGGCCAACCTAAGAGAGGGTTCTGCGCAGGGAGAGCACACTCAGTTGGGTGGTCAGGGAAGGCTTCTTGTAGGTAGTGTTTGGAAGTGGCGGGAGGCGGGTGGAGGGGGGGTAGTGGGGGGCGTTGTTGGGGCGGGTGGTGGAACACCTGGTGGAGAGGCACATTCCAGGGTAGAAGACGACGGAGCAGGCAAAGCCCTGGGGGGGCAGGAAATCTCCAGCTATATTCAGGAAACCATGAGCAGGCTAATTTGGCTGAAGCAGAGAATTTGAGTTAGACAGAATGGAAGTGGGCAAAGAATGTGTGGAGTGAAGAAGAGCAGGAATCATGTCTCAAATCTACTGAGTCAAATATCTACTGATGGAAAGGAGAAGCTTGTGGGGTGAGAGTGAAGGGTGCCCCCGTGGCGGGGCTCCCCTGGTAGCCCTTTCTCCTGCAGACCTATCTGTGGGGTGCTCCCAGCCTGGCTCCCTCTTCGGGAGGCAGACACCTGCTCAGCCTTGCTAATCAGGCAGCAGTTAATGGGGTTCACTTCCTGCATCAGCAGGTGAGGGCCTTGGGGAAGGCTGAAGAATGGCAAGGTTACAGCTGGCGTCCTCAGGCAGTTGGAGGCCCGCAGCAGGAGAGCATGTTCACGGCCGGGCGCAGTGGCTCACACCTGTAATCCCAGCACTTTGGGAGGCCAAGGAGGGTGGATCACGAGGCCAGGAGATCGGGACCATCCTGGATAACACGGTGAAACCCCGTCTCTACTAAAAATACAAAAAAAAAATTAGCCGGGCATGGTGGCGGGCACCTGTAGTCCCAGCTACTCGGGAGGCTGAGGCAGGAGAATGGCATGAACCTGGGAGGCGGAGCTTGCAGTGAGCCGAGATCGCACCACTGCACTCCAGCCTGGGCGACAGAGTGAGACTCCATCTCAAAATAAATAAATAAATAAATAAATAAATAAGAGAGCGTGTTCACTGCACTCGGCTCGATCCTTGCCCAGAAACACAAGCAAGGGGCACCTGGGACCAGGCTCAGCTCAAAGCCCCTCCCTCTATATATCTGGGCACATGCACACAGCCTCCTCAGATGGATATTCCTGTGTGTGTATCAATCACAACATACACATCCATGGGTACATTTCCTGAGCAAGCAGATCTCTGCTATACATATACATATGTAAAAGCATATAGATGTACAGGCTTTCCTGTATATGTGTATACACATATGTTTGCTGGGTTGTTTTTCAGAATATTGAAAGTCAGAAGCATGCTATCACATAACTCTGCATTTCATCGGGCCGAGAAAGCACAGGTTTTCAGGACCACAGTTCCCATTTCTCCTGTTCTGCAGTCCTCGTCTGATTGGCCAACACTATGGGCACTCCCTGCTCTGGTGGCCACTGGCAGTGGGCCAGGGTGAGGGCAGCTCACAGCCCGTCTCCTCTCTGTTACCTTGGGACGTCACTCAGCAGTTGCATCACCGGCTGCTCTCTCCCTCTGAAACATGAAGCCCTTCCTTTCTTATTCCACCTTAGGGAAGCCTGGGCCTGCGACAGACCAGAAGACCTCACATTCCACAGAGAAGACCTCGGTTTCCCCCCAAGCTCTGTCCAGTATGGAGTGACAAATCGCTGTACTTATGAGACAAAGGCATGAAGTCCAGGTCAAGGCATGACTTTTCGGCAGCAACTTTTCTAGATGTGAGGTATCAGTAAACATTTATGGTGCTTCTGTTATGGATACAATACAAGGATGTAAAAGAAAATAAGTATGAGGCTCATCCTCCTGGGAACTCACATTTTCACTGGGGCTACAAGACCCCCGGAGCAAATGCCAGGCACAAGATCGGGGATAAAAGCCTAACTTTGAGAAGCTTGCTTTGGCTAAAACCGAAATCAATTATGAAGCAAAGGAAGTGGATTAGAGGGAGATCTTATGAAATCCCATCAGATTTGGATCATGCTACTGAGTTTTTTTCTTCCTGGCTGTATTTTAGGTTTTCTCTCCCACTGAAACTGATTAATCGTTGTCAAAATTCCTCCCTTGTACCCTTCTCTCTATGGGAGGGCTGTCCCTTGGCTGGCCTGGGATGCAGGAATAGCTTTTGTGCACCCTTTGGTGTCCACTTCTGTGTGTCTCTCTTGGTGGCACTGCTTCCCTATCTCTGCTTGCTCTGACCACCTTCAGGCTCCTAGGACCCTACCCTCTCAAATTTCCTCCTCCCCTGCGTCCCCCTTTCCCATTCAAAGCCCACAGCACATCTCAGTTAGTGCTATGGAAAAAACTAGCCTCAGAAACGAATATTCACTGACATGTCAAGGTCTAGTAGTTTGTAGAGCCATTTTATTGGAAGGGACTTCAGAAAGGAATTAGTTTACCTACTCATCAGGTGAGGAGACCCACAGAGGGGAAGTCACCTGCCTGACTCCCAGAGACAGAAACAGTGCTGGGACTAAAACCCAAGAAGGGTCCTGACTCCCAAGTCCCAGGAACTTAATTTTCCCCCAGGGAATGGCCCACCACCCACCCAGATGTAAAAACTAGAGACTCTGGGCAGCATTCTATCTCTATGCCAGCCTCCAGTCTCCTGTCTATTTTGCCTCCAAGATACATCTCTAATTTGCCCACTTTTCTTGAACTTCACATCACCGATCTGGTACAAGCCATCATCATCTCCTTGCTTGGGCCTACCAAGACACTAATCACTGTTCTTTTTGTTTTGTTTTGTTTGTTTTTGAGACAGAGTCTCATTCTTATCACCCAGGCTGGAGTACAGTGGCATGATCTCAGCTCACTGCAACCTCTGCCTCCCATGTTCAAGCGATTCTCCTGCCTCAGCCTCCCAAGAAGCTGGGATTATTGGCATGCGCCACCACACCAGGCTAACTTCATATTTTTAGTAGAGATGGGGTTTCACCCTGTTGGCCAGGCTGGTCTTGAACTCCTGACCTCAGGTGATCCACCTGCCTCGGCCTCCCGAAGTGCTGGCATTACAGGCATGAACCACCATGGCAGGCTGACTTTCATTCTTTCTCTAGTATTATTAGAATATTCCCAAATAATATTCCATTGTGTATATATTCCACATTTTGCTCATTGGTTTCTCATGGTCCGATCTGAGCTTTGGGTAGATCTGGCTATAGGCAGATAATCCCTGAGACATACTGCTAAATGGGAACAGCAGATGCAGAACAGTGTGTATGATACGCTACCACTTCTGCTGGAAAACGTCAAACAGGCACGTGTGCATACATATGTACGTGGACTTGGAAAGGCATAGACCGTCTTTGAGAATACTCAAGAAGTGGTTATCTTGGGTAGGAGAGCTGGTGGCGGGGGACAGAAATGGAAAGGAGACTTATTTTTCACTGGATATGCTTTTGTACATTTTATGGCTTATTAATAATGATTTTATAATTATATTACCATGATCAAATAAAACCCTTGGTGAATCTTCAATATTCAATAAAAGGCTTGGTTCTTTTAAGCACATATAAACTTTTTTTTTTTTTGAGACAGGGTCTTGCTCTGTCACCCAGGCTGGGGTGCAGTAGCACAATCTCTGGCTCACTGCAGCCTCTACTTCCCAGGCTCAAGTGATCCTCCCGCTTCAGCCTCCTGAGTAGCTGGGACCTAGTAGGCTGAGGTAGCAGGTGTGTGCCACCACAGGCTAATTTTTAAATTTTTTATAGAGATGAGGTCTTGCTATGTTGGCCAGGCTGGTCTCAAATTCCTAGGCTCAAGTGATCCTCCCACCTTGGCCTCCCAAAGTGCTGAGATTACAGGCGTGAGCCACTGTGCCTGGCCTAGCACATATCAACTTAGAAAGAGTTAAGAAAAGTGGGCTGGGTGAGGTGGCTCATGCCAGTAATCCCAGCACTTTGGGAGGCTGAGGCAGGTGGATCACGAGGTCAAGAGATTGAGACCATCCTGGCCAACATGGTGAAACCCTGTCTCTATTAAAAATACAAAAATTAGCTGGGTGTGGTGGTGCGTGCCTATAGTCCCAGCTATTCAGGAGGCTGAGGCAGGAGAATCGCTTGAAATGGGGAGGTGAAGATTGCAGTGAGCTGAGATTGCACCACTGCATTCCAGCCTGGTGACAGAGCAAGACTCCATCTAAAAAAAAAAAAAAAAAAAAATGACAGAGACTAAGGCCAAGCCACACATTTTCTGTGTGTGTGTGTGTGTGTGTGTGTGTGTGTGTGTGTGTGTGTGTTGTAGACAGGGTCTCACTCTGTTGCCCAGGCTGGAGTGCAGTGGTGCAATGTTGGCTCACTGCAGCCTCTACCTCCTGGGCTCAAGCGATCAATCCTCCCACCTCAGCCTCCCATGTACCTGTGACTACAGGCACCTGCCAACACCAATAACCAAATTAATTTTTTTTTTTTGAGACAGAGTCTCGCTCTGTTGCCCAGGCTGGAGTGCAGTGGCGTGATCTCGGCTCACTGCAAGCTCTACCTCCTGGGTTCACATCTCATTCTCCTGCGTCAGCCTCCCAAGTAGCTGGGACTATAGGCGCCCGCCACCATGCCCGGCTAATTTTTTGTATTTTTAGTAGAGATGGGGTTTCACCGTGTTAACCAGGATGGTCTTGATCTCCTGACCTTGTGATCCGCCTGACTCAGCCTCCCAAAGTGCTGGGATTACAGGTGTGAGCCCCCGCTCCCGGCTTAGCTAGATAATTCTTTTTTTTGTAGAGATGAGGTCTCGCTATGTTGCCCAGGCTGGTCTTGGACTCCTGGGCTCAGGCAATTCTCCTGACTTGGCCTCCCAAAGTGTTGGAATTACAGGCATGAGCCAGTGCACCCAGCCCACACGTTTGTTTGATGTTCTTGTTAACAGCTTTGTGTTTTTTTGGTACCTGGTCCCTGGAACATTAATATGTACTGTTGAATAGAATTATGTCACCGTTCATGTAATTACATAATTATTGGCACAAAGAAACTAAAGAAAAAATGGCCCAAGCACAAAAGTTAATAAAACAAAAAGAGCACAGGATTAGACGCAAGACAACTAGGAAAGAGGTTGCTGTGACTCTCCAGCCTTCATGATGCCAAGGTATTAGGGAAGAGGAGACGTGGGAAAAAAGGAAACCTGTTGAAAGAGGGAGCAAGAGGCTGGGCATGGTGGCCCACGCCTTTAATCCCAGTACTTTGGGAGGCCGAGGCAGACAGATCACCTGAGGTCAGGAGTTCAAGACCAGAATGGCCAATGTGGCGAAACGCCGTCTCTACTAAAAATACAAAAATTAGCCAGGTGTGGTGGCGGGCGCCTGTAATCCCAGCTACTTGGGAGGCTGAGGCAGGAGAATCTCTTGAACCTGGGAGGTGAAGGTTGCAGTGAATTGAGATCGTGCCACTGCACTCCAGCCTGGGCAACAGAGCAAGACTCCATCTCAAACAACAACAACAAAATAGTGGCCGGGTAGAGTGGCTCACACCTGTAATCCCAGCACTTTAGGAGGCCGAAGCGGGCAGATCACCTGAAGTCAGGAGTTTGAGATCAGCCTGGCCAACATGGTGAAACCCCATCTCTACTAAAAATACAAAAATTAGCCAGGCGTGGTGGCTACCAGCCTGGGAGTTCCAGCTACCTGGGAGGCTGAGGCAGGAGAATCGCTTGAACCTGGGAGGTGGAGGTTGCAGTGAGCCAAGATCATGCCACTGCACTCCAGCCTGGGTGACAGAGCGAGACCCTGTCCCCACCAAAAAACAAACAAACAAGAAAAATAGTGCTTGAAAAAATAACTCTTACATTTATGAGAAACTAGTATGCAGCATATATTGAAAAGGATACGGAAAGGCCACTTGTTCCTAGGGCAGAGATTGCCAGTTGCCTAACCTTTATCTACTTTCTCCTCTTGCCTCACTAACAGAACCCTGGCATTATCTGGGTGGCAATGTTCTCAGCCATAAAACTACATATCTCAGCCTCTTTTGCAAGTGAAGGTGGCCAATTAGATGTAAGAAGAAATATTTGGGTAGAACTTCCGGGGAAGCTGTTTAATGGGAGTTAGTTAAGCTGGCACTCTTTTATCCTAACCTCTTCTACTTTCTTTTTTCTTTTTCTTTCTTTTTTTTTTTTTGAGTCGGAGTCTCGCTCTGTTGCCCTGACTGGGGTGCAGTGGTGTGGTCTTGGCTCACTGCAAGCTCCGCCTCCCGGGTTCATGCCATTCTCCTGCCTCAGCCTCCCGTGTAGCTGGGACTACAGGTGCCTGCCACCACACCCGAATAATTTTTTGTATTTTTAGTAGAGACGGGGTTTCACCGTGTTAGCCAGGATGGTCTCGATCTCCTGACCTTGTGATCCGCCCACCTTGGCCTCCCAAAGTGCTGGGATTACGGGCGTGAGCCACTGTGCCCGGCCACCTCTTCTACTTTCTTTATTTTATTTTATTTTATTTTATTTATTATTTTTATTGATCATTCTTGGGTGTTTCTCGCAGAGGGGGATTTGGCAGGGTCATAGGACAATAGTGGAGGGAAGGTCAGCAGATAAACAAGTGAACAAAGGTCTCTGGTTTTCCCAGGCAGAGGACCCTGCGGCCTTCCGCAGTGTTTGTGTCCCTCGGTACTTTGAGATTAGGGAGTGGTGATGACACTTAACGAGCATGCTGCCTTCAAGCATCTGTTTAACAAAGCACACCTTGCACCGCCCTTAATCCATTTAACCCTGAGTGGACACAGCACATGTTTCAGAGAGCACAGGGTTGGGGGTAAGGTCACAGATCAACAGGATCCCAAGGCAGAAGAATTTTTCTTAGTACAGAACAAAATGAAAAGTCTCCCATGTCTACTTCTTTCTACACAGACACGGCAACCATCCGATTTCTCAATCTTTTCCCCACCTTTCCCCCCTTTCTATTCCACAAAACCGCCATTGTCATCATGGCCCGTTCTCAATGAGCTCTTGGGTACACCTCCCAGACGTGGTGGTGGCCGGGCAGAGGGGCTCCTCACTTCCCAGTAGGGGCGGCCGGGCAGAGGCGCCCCTCACCTCCCGGACGGGGCGGCTGGCCAGGCAGGGGGCTGACCGCCCCCCCCACCTCCCTCCCGGACGGGGCGGCTGGCCGGGCGGGGGGCTGAGCCCCCCACCTCCCTCCCGGATGGGGTGGCTGCCGGGCGGGGGGCTGAGCCCCCCACCTCCCTCCCGGACGGGGTGGCTGCCGGGCGGAGACGCTCCTCACTTCCCAGACGGGGTGGCTGCCGGGCAGAGGGGCTCCTCACTTCTCAGACGGGGCAGTTGCCGGGCGGAGGGTCTCCTCACTTCTCAGACGGGGCGGCCGGGCAGAGGCGCTCCTCACATCCCAGACAGGGCGGCGGGGCAGAGGCGCTCCCCACATTTCAGACGATGGGCAGCCGGGCAGAGACGCTCCTCACTTCCTAGATGGGATGGCGGCCGGGCAGAGATGCTCCTCACTTTCCAGACTGGGCAGCCAGGCAGAGGGGCTCCTCACATCCCAGACGGGGTGGCGGCCGGGCAGAGGCTGCACTCTAGGCACTTTGGGAGGCCAAGGCAGGCGGCTGGGAGGTGGAGGTTGTAGCGAGCCGAGATCACGCCATTGCACTCCAGCCTGGGTACCATTGAGCACTGAGTGAACCAGACTCCGTCTGCAATCCCGGCACCTCGGGAGGCCGAGGCTGGCGGATCACTCGCGGTTAGGAGCTGGAGACCAGCCCGGCCAACACAGCGAAACCCTGTCTCCACCAAAAAAATACGAAAACCAGTCAGGCGTGGCGGCGCTGAGGCAGGAGAATCAGGCAGGGAGGTTGCAGTGAGCCGAGATGGCAGCAGTACAGTCCAGCTTCGGCTCGGCATCAGAGCGAGACCGTGGAAAGAGAGGGAGAGGGAGACCGTGGAAAGAGAGGGAGAGGGAGACCGTGGGGAGAGGGAGAGGGAGAGGGAGAGGGAGAGGACCTCTTCCACTTTCTATTACTGGGAACACCATGTGATGACTAGGGTTCCAGCACCGATTATGTGACTGTGAGGCGATCTTAAAGATGGAAGCCATGCAGTAAGTATGGCAGAGGAGAAAGGCAGAAGAAGCTTCAGCCCCGATGACCACAGGGTTACTGTATCAGTTCCATCTGCTTATCTCCAGACTTCTTTTATGTAAAATAAAAATTATTCTCTACCTTGTTTAAGCCATTGTTATTTAAGGGTTCCGTTTCTAGTAAACCACACTTCTTCCTAAAAGATTCGTATCTTTTCCCAAAGATATCCAAGGATTGAAAAGTAACACCTAGAGCACGGGTCAGTAAACGTTTCTGGTAACAGACGAGACAGCACGTTTTCAGTTTTTCAAGCCACATAGTGTCTGTCGCAATGACTTGACCTTTTGTTGCAGTGTGTGAGGAGCCACAGAGAATGTCACTAAATATGCATGGCTGTGCTCCAATAAAACTATTTATAAGCACTGTAGTTTGGATTCCATGTAATTTTCATGTATCATGAAATCTTATTCTGCTTTAGATTTTTTGACTCATCTAAAAAATATCAAAACCATTCTTAACTTGCATTGCAGGTCACACAAAAACAGGATTTGGCCCCAGGCTGCAGTTTGCCAACCCCTACTCTACAGGATGCAATTCCTACAAACAAACCAAGGTATAAGCAATGTAGGCTTTTATATTATATTTGTTGGTTATCTTTATGTTTCAAAACTTCTTAGATGTAGCAGAACTGGGCCTATAAAATAATAATACATGCCTGTAATCCCAGCACTTTGGGAGGCCGAGGCAGGCAGATCACCTGAGGTCAGGAGTTTGAGACCAGCCTGACCAACATGGAGAAACCCCGTCTCTACTAAAAATACAAAAATATAGCTGGGCATGGTGGTGCACAGCTGTAATCCCAGCTACTTGGGAGGCTGAGGCAGGAGAACCGCTTGAACCTGGAGGCGGAGGTTGCAGTGAGCCAAGATGGTGCCATTGCACTCCAGCCTGGGCGAGACAGTGAGACTTCGTCTCGGAAAAAAAAAAAAGATACTAGCTTGGGAACAATATATCAAAAATTTCACATGTAGGCCAGGCATGTTGACTCATGCATGTAATCCCAGCACTTTGGGAGGCTGAGGCAGGCAGCTCACTTGAGCCCAGGAGTTTGAGACCAGCCTGGGCAACATGGTGAAACCCCATCTCTACAAAACAATTTTAAAAAATAAGCTGGTCATGATGGCACACAGCTGTACTCCCAGCTACTTGGGAGGCTGAGGCAGGAGGATAGCTTGAGCCCAGGAGATTGTGAGGCTGCAGTGAGCCGTGTTGGCACCCCAGCCTGGGCAATACAGCAAGACCCTGTTGCCAAAAAAAAAAAAAAATTCTCATCTAAGTGAACACTGCCTTCCCATTGATGACCTTGAGAGGTTAGAGACCAATGGCAGTGACGGTGATCACATTATTATTTGAAGCCTTATTTGAATATTTAAGACTTAGTATGTTTGTTTAAAAAAATAATCATGTTGCATCATAACCATACTTTGTAAGACCAGATTACCGGTGACCGCTCGTGATGTTAAGCTAGTGAAGACAATGCAAGGTGGCCTGAAGCAGCATGAGGCAGACCATGGTCCCGACCTGCATTGGCTGGTGCTGGCTGCAGCTGCTGATGGAGGCTACAAACAGTGATAGAAGCATGCAGAAGCTACACAGCACAGGCCAAGGTGCTGTGGGAGAGGCGGAGGAGGAACACTGACCACTGGCGGCCTGGGGACACGGGAGGGCTGGCTTCTGAAACTCCATGGTGTGAGAATTCTGATCGCAGTAGGTAACTTTTCTGATGGGAAAGGTGCAGCATTGGTGGAAAAACAGGAGATGGCACTCAAGAATTTATACTGGAGAGAGACCAAGGACAGAGATTCTAAAAGCTTAAAGAAGGATAAACACCCGTGGCATGGGCATTCGTGTGTGTGTGTGTGTGTGTGTGTGTGTGTGTGTGTGTGTGAATTGCCAGAGCAAACTCTTATCCACCATGTTGTGCAAAAGTTATTAGGTTGATTAAGTTGTTGGCTTTTCTTTCCACGGGTTTGATAGAAAGTACGCACACACATCTTTTGTGTGGTATGACAGTGTGTGTGTACTCAGGGGAGGGTGCACGGGAGGTCAGTGGAAGCTTGTGTGTGGAGGGCAGGGGAGGATTTGGGTGTGAAAAGCCCAGAAATAGGGTGAGAGGCAATGTGTTCCATAGCCAAGGGTGAGAGTCAGGCAGAGATTTGCTTTCTTGGGCTTTGAGTCATGCCGATACTCATCGCTTAGCCTCATATATGGTAAGAATGGAGCGGGTGCTCTCTGTCTCAGTCTCTCCCTCACTCTCTCTTTTTCCCCCAGCAGCTGTGCAAAGCTTAAACCATGTGACCCTGAAAGCACAACACTGAAAGCCTCTGGCTGTGCCAAGAGGAGAGTGTAGGGAGACAAAGGCCAAGGCCAGGGCCAGGGCCAGCTGCCAGGAACTCCCATCCCCAGCAGGGATACAGAGAAATAACAGCAAGACGCCATTCGCCGACGCTCTCCTCATCAGGCCAACTCTCTAACTTGGAGATGAGGCCCTCCCGACTTTCTTTCCCGGCTCCCACCCTCCTGTCCACCCACCTCCTCAGAGTGAAACCCCAGGGCCCAGGAGCCAAATGCTGTCCTCTCTCTCTCTGGAGGGCCTGGGGGGCACCTGTACAGGCCAGATGGAGTCCTGAAGAGCTCAGGGTTTTGGAGTATAGGAGAGGGAGGAGACCCTCTGGAGGGTGGAGTCTGGAAGTTCAATAAGGTCTGTAGGATTTGAATAGCAGGATCAGCTCGGTATAACTGAGACACAGTCTTTGCACAAGGCTAAGACATCTCTTCCAGTCACATTCCAGTTTATGCAATGCACCTGCTGTTGGCTGATGGCCTCTGCTAGGAGGCCTTCAGGAGGAAGTAGAACCAATTTGGTGCCCTCATCCTTCCTCTCTCTTTCTTTACTTCTCCAGGCCCACCGCAACCTCATCAATCCTTACCTGAAGTCTTAGTTCTACCACAGGCCCGAGACCTAGATATTCTGGTTGGACTTCTTACCAGATCCACAAGGCGCTGCATATATCCTCTTAAAATAGCCATTTGTACTTCCCTGGGTCTTGCTCTGTTACCCATGCTGGAGTGTAGTGGTGCGATCACAGCTCACTGCAGCCTTGACTTCCCGGGCTTAAGCGATCCTCCCACCTCCCACCTCTGCTTCCTGAGTAGCTGGGACCATTGGCGTGCAACACCACACCCTGCTAATTCTTATAGAGACAGGGTCTCACTATATTGTCCAGACTGGTCTCAAACTCCTGGGCTCAAGTGAGCTACCTGCTTCGACCTCCCAAAGCGCTGGGATTACAGGCGTGAGCCACTGTGCCTGGCCCTGATTTTTAAAATACTCACTTCTACATACCCTTTCTCTCAAAAAATAAAATGAGATTAATTAGTAATTAAAATATACTCAAAAAAGCTAATAATATGAAAGTATTATTACGTAATTATTACATAAAGTGACACATCACACATCCTGCTGATGTGTGTGAAAAGGACAATTGTTAACTATGAAAACATTGGCAGTATTTTAATGGGTACATTTAGTACACCCAATGGGTTATTTTTTGAGGTGTCAGATTCAGGTTTTGTCTTCTCACAAGGCATCCATTTGACAAGTAGCCTCTGCCTAATGTTTTTATTGGGTAACAGTGATATCAATGTAGCCTTTGCTACTTGTCAAATGTCACTGACACCCAATGAAAACATCAGACTTTTAACATTGGCTGCCATTTTCATTCAAGACAATGAATGAAACCCACATCAAAATTATTATTATTATTATTATTATTATTTTTGAGATGGAGTTTCACTCTTGTTGCTCAGGCTGGAGTGCAATGGCACGATCTTGGCTCACCGCAACCTCCGCCTCCCAGGTTCATGTGATTCTCCTGCCTCAGCCTCCCGAGTAGCTGGGATTACAGGCATGCACCACCATGCCCAGCTATATTTTTGTATTTTTAGTAGAGACAGGGTTTCTCCATGTTGGTCAAGCTGGTCTCAAACTCCTGACCTCAGGTGATCCACCCACCCGGGCCTCCCAAAGTGCTGGGGTTACAGGCGTGAGCCACGGTGCCCAGCCTATTATTATTTTCTTGAGATAGAGTTTTGCTCTTGTTGCCCAGGCTGGCGTGCAATGTTGTGGTCTCGACTCACTGCAACCTCTGCCTCCTAGGTTCAAGCGATTCTCCTGCCTCAGCCTCCCGAGTAGCTGGGATTATAGGCACCCACCACCATGTCTGGCTAATTTTTGTATTTTTAGTAGAGATGGAGTTTCACCATGTTGGCCAGGCTGGTCTTGAACTCCTGACCTCAGGTGATCTGCCTGCCATGGCCTCCCAGAGTGCTGGAATTACAGGTGTGAGCCACTGAGCCTGGCCATCAAAATTATTTTATGCGCTTTTCTACTGTGTGAAATTTGGTTACAATCATTCAATTTTATTCTTTATTATTTTTATTGTTTTGAGACAGGGTCTCACTTTGTCTTCCAGGCTGGAGTGCGATCTCAGCTCACTACAACCTCAATCTCCTGGGCTTCAGCAATCCTCCCACCTCAGTTCCCTGAGTAGCTGAGAGTACAGCCACATGCCACCATGCCCGGCTAAATTTTTTTTTTTTTTTTTTGAGACAGAGTCTTGCTCTGTTGCCCAGGCTGGAGTACAGTGGTGCCATCTCGGCTCACTGCAAACTCCGCCTCCAGGGTTCACGCCATTCTCCTGCCTCAGCCTCCCAAGTAGCTGGGACTACAGGCACCCACCACCACGCCCAGCTAGTTTTTGTATTTTTAGTAGAGACGGGGTTTCACCGTGTTAGTCAGGATGGTCTCGATCTCCTGACCTCGTGATCCGCCCGCCTAGGCCTCCCAAAGTGCTGGGATTACAGGCGTGAGCCACCGGGCACGCCCTACTACTGACTGGGTCTTTCTGAAGATGAATACAGAACCCCACCATTGAAAACGGCGCTGACTGCAGTTTGGCTTCAAGATAGGAACTTGAACGAATTGAACTTCAGGTGTATCTAGATAGCATTTGGGAGGGCATCCAGTTGGGTCAAAACCAGATCATCATTCATAGAAGGAAAAAGAAGCAGACAGGTCAACCCAAAGGGCCACATGACTGAGTTAAAACAGAGAACTTTCTTCAGAAGTTTAGTTATTATGCAGATCTCGCCACACACAACGATGATGCTTAGAAGAACCTAGGGCCCCTCGGCGGGGAACAACATGTCTTTATTAGCCTTGACAATACTTTCCAACAAACTACATTGACTTTTTAAATAACGATTTTATTTCTTAGAGACAGGGTTTTCTTGCTACTGTTGGCTGGGCACAGTGGCTCATGCCTGTAATCTCAACACTTTGAGAAGCCAAGGATGGGAGACTGCTTGGAGCCAAGAGTTTAAGGCTAGCCTGGGCAACATGGCGAGACCCTATCTCTACAAAAAAAAAAAAAAAAAAAAAAAAAAAAAATTAGCCGGGCATGGTGGTAAGCCCTTGTAGTCCCAGCTACTCAGGAGGCTGACGTGGGAGGATCCCTTGAGAATGTGAGTTGGAGGCTGTAGATGAGCCTGATCGTGCCAGTGTACTCCAGCCTGGGTGACAGAGCCAGACCCTGTCTTAAACAAAAACAGAAAGAAAGCAGTGCTAATGGCACGTACATGATCCCAAATAGCCTCCTGGAATCTCACCCCACATCGTCCGGTGCTCCGGACGTTCTCTGTGTATGGAGTCACACCTCACGTTTTGTTAGGCAGAAGGTGCGGGTGTTATGAAACATAAGTAAGCTAATGAGAATAAACAAGAATCTTTTTCTCTAGGGCCTGAGAATATTTAAGGAACATAGCTCTAAAGTCCCCCCCTCATCTGCCAGTGCATTTAAGATTCCAGAAAGCAGAAGACCGATTCCGGACCACACAGGAAGCCCGACGCCCGACGAGAACGGGCACGGAGGCGCTGCCTGCGCGCAGCTGGTTTACATTCCCTTGCTGCCGCAGAATCACGCGGTGCCTCGAGCAACTCCTTTGACCCTCTTAGAACCCATTCCTTTTCCAAGGGGATTAGTTCCTTCCGTGCAAAGGCAGACAGAAACGCGTTCTGCCCCTGTCCATTTAGGGAGCTCGGCAAACACCACGTGCCGCTCGCTGCTGTGACGAGCGCCTTCCACCCAGTTATCTCTCCGCCCTCCGCGTTTTATCTGCCTCACAGTGCCTTTAACGGATTTCCTTTCCTGTTCCCCTCCTATTCCAAGTGCTTCAGGTGTTCAAGTAATCATAGCGATTTTAAAAGCCTCTCCTGTTTCTTGCCTGGGAAGTCAGATGGACCCACAGGAAGAATTCACCTCAAGGCTCAGGTGAAGACTGCGAGAAAGGTGGCACCTAGAGCAGAGAAGGATGGCAAATTGTGATTTTGACACGTGGCCTGAGCCACGGTTCTGATTCCTGGCGTGAAAACCCAAGGAGGCCTGAGGGGGCCTCAGCACTGGCTGTGCTTCCCTCATCTTTCCTTCTGTTTAATGAATCTACTCTGCAGAGAGCAGAGCAAAGGAGACCCATGGTCCTCGATGAGCCCATCTTTTTATTTATTTATTTATTTATTTTCCGGGACTGAGTCTCGCTCTGTTGCCCAGGCTGGAGTGCAGTGGCATGGTCTCAGCTCACTGCAACCTCCACTTCCCGGGTTCAAGCAATTCTCCTGCCTCAGCCTCCTGAGTAGCTGGGATTACAGGTGCCTGCCACCACACCCAGCTAATTTTTGTATTTTTAGTAGACACAGGGTTTCACCATGTTGTCCAGGCTGGTCTTGAACTCCTGACCTCAGGTGATCCGCCCACCTCAGCCTCCCAAAGTGCTGGGATTACAGGCTTGAGCCACTGCTCCCGGCTGAACCCATCTTTTAATTTTTTGAAATAGGGTCTCGCTGTGTCGCCTAGGCTGGAGTGCCATGGCGCAATCACAGCTCACTGCAGTCTCGATCTCCTGGGCTCAAGCAATCCTCCCACCTGTCTCCTGAATATCTGGGACTACAGGCGAGCGCAACCTTGCCTGGCTAATTTATTTTTTTTTTTGTATTTTTAGTAGAGACAGGGTTTCACCGTGTTAGCCAGGATGGTCTCAATCTCCTAACCTCATGATCCGCCCGCCTCGGCCTCCCAAAGTGCTGGGATTACAGGCGTGAGCCACCGCGCCCCGGCTTTTTTTGTTTTTTGTTTTTTTTTTAAGACAGAATCTCCCTCTGTCGCCCAGGCTGGAGTGCTGTGGTGCGATCTCGGCTCACTGCAACCTCCACCTCCCGGGTTCAAGTGATTCTCCTGCCTCAGCCTCCCAAGTAGCTGGGACTACAGGCACCCGCCACCATGCCTGGCTTTTTTTTTTTTTGTATTTCTAGTAGAGACAGGGTTTCACCATGTTGGCCAGGCTGGTCTTGAACTCCTGACCTCAAGTAATCCGCCTACCTCAGCCTCCCAAAGTGCTGGGATTACAGGCGAGAGCCACCGCGCCGTTTTTGCTTTTCTAGAGCATTATTAGAGAAGTTTTCCAAATGTTCATTGTTATCCTGAGTGGGCTGAGGGTAGCTGAGAGGGCAGTTAAGGGGTTGAGATGGGGGAGAATGGACTAGAAGAACCCTGTGCCCTAGAGAATCTAGAGAAGTGTCTGCACAATGGCAGGGAGCCATGGCTCCAGGGAAAGGCAGGCCGAGGACAGGACTTGAGTTGCCTTTTAGGGAAGCAGCCTTACCAGCAATTCCAGTTTGAAAAATTACTTTGCCAGCACAGATCAAGACTTGGCTCCTTCTGTCTGGAACAGTATGAGGACGACGTCTTTGGGGTTCTACCCTGCGTCTCCCCAGTCACTCCCTAGCCCATCATTTAAGGGAGGCAGTGGAGATTCTAGGACCCGTTTGCTGGGGTAGGTCCCAGAGGCCTCAGAGGAAGCCTGGCCTCACAGTTGGATAAGGCTGGTAAATATTAGCAACAAAACGGATTACTATGCTGTGCAAGGAACAGGAAGTCTATGCACCCGATTTTTAGGGGAGAGAGAGGTCAGGCTGGGTTTTGGTGCAAACTTTCTGGTTATCTTTCTGCCAGAATCTTCCCCAATGAGCTCTTCCCCACATGCACCGCGTGTGGCAATCCTGGGCAGAGGTAAAGCGATAAAGATGGTGGGAAACCTGCTGCTGCTTCAGGGAATCAGGCCCCCAGAGAAACAAACCGACAGGAGGCTTCTGTGCTAAAGCAGGTGAGGCTGCCCTGCTTGAGCACTGGGGTGGTCCTGGGCAGGAGTCATGGTGGAGATGGACAGGACACCCTGGGGACTGTAGGCTGCCTTGTTTCAGCAGCAGAAGGGTCTCTGTCCCTCTCTGAGGCCAAGTTTCTATGGGGACTCTTGGAACCATCTCTTCTCTGCTTACGTGGCTTCTCCCTTTTCTCTCCCAAAGTTTTAACCCCCAATCCTCTCTCTTGTTATTTGTAATTAAAAAGAAAAGATTGGCCAGGTGCAGTGGCTCACACCTGTAATCCCAGCGCTTTGGGAGGCCGAGGTGGGTGGATCACCTGAGGTCAGGAGTTCGAGACCAGCCTGGCCAACATGGCGAAACCCGTCTCTACTAAAAATACAAAAAAATTAGCTGGGTGTGGTGGCACACGCCTGTAATCCCAGCTACTCAGAGGCTGAGGGAGGAGAATTGCTTGAACCCTGGAGACGGAGGTTGCAGTGAGCTGATTGCACCACTGCATTCCAGCCTGGGTGACAAAGTGAGACGCCGGAAAAGAAAAGGAGAGGGGAGGGGAAGGGAGGGGAGGGGAGATTCCCTTAACGTTAATATTAATACCAGGCAGATGCGGCGGCTCATGCCTGTAACCCCAGCACTTTGGGAGGCCAAGGCAGGCAGACTGCTTGAGCTCAGGAGTTCGAGATCAGCTTGAACAATGCGGTGAAACCCCTCTACTAAAAAAACAGAAACAACAAAAACCAAAAAACCCCCAAAACCTGAGGTGGGAGGATCACCTGTACCTGGGGAGGTGGAGGCTGCAGTGAGCCACAATCATGCCACTGCATTCTAGGCTTGGCAAAAAAGCAAGACCCTGTCTCAAAAAAATTAAAAAAAATTAATATGAATAGCACTTACATTGTGCTGTGCAAGGAACTGTTTTAACCGCTTCACACATACTCATTTAATCTTCACATAACTCCTCTAAGGGAGTAGATGCTATGATATATTTTAAAGAAGAAGAAGCCTGGACATGGTGGCTCACACCTGTAATCTCAGCACTTTGGGAGGCCAAGACAGGCGGATCACTGGAGGTCAGGAGTTCAAGACCAGCCTAGCCAACATGGTGAAACCTCGTTTCTACTAAAAATGCAAAAAAAAAAAAAATTAGCTGGGCATGGTGGCGGGTGCCTGTAATCCCAGCTACTCGGGAGGCTGAGGCAGGACAATCGCTTGAACCCGGGAGGTGGAGGTTGCAGTGTGCTGAAATCGAACCACTGTACTCTAGCCTGGGTGAGAGAGGCTCTGTCTCAAAAAAGAAAAAAAGGGCCGGGCGCGGTGGTTCACTCCTGTAATCCCCAGCACTTTAGAAGGCAGAGGCGGGCGGATCCCGAGGTCAAGAGATCGAGACCATCCTGGTTAACACGGTGAAACCCCATCTCTACTAAAAATACAAAAAGTTAGCTGGGTGTGGTGGTGGGCGCCTGTAGTCCCAGCCATTCAGGAGGCTGAGGCAGAAGAATGACGTGAACCCGGGAAGCAGAGCTTGCAGTGAGCCGAGATCGTGCCACTGCACTCCAGCCTGAGCAACAGAGCGAGACTCCATCTCCAAAAAAAACCAAAAAACACACACACAAAAAAGGCAGCAGCAGCAGAGGCACCGGGGTTTCAGTGAGTTGCCCCAGGTCATGTTGTGTCCGGAATTGGTGGGTTCTTGGTTTCACTGACTTCAAGAGTGAAGCCACGGACCCTCGCGGTGAGTGTTACAGCTCTTAAAGTGGCGCGTCTGGAGTTTGTTCCTTCTGATGTTCGGACGTGTTCAGTTTCTTTCTCCCCGTGGGTTCGTTGTCTCGCTGGCTTCAGGAGTGATGCTGCAGATCTTCGTGGTGAGTGTTACAGCTCATAAAGGCAGTATGGACCCAAAGAGTGCGCAGCAGCATGATTTATTGCAAAGAGCAAAAGAACAAAGCTATCACACTAAGGAAGGAGGCCAGAGCGAGTTGCCTCTGCCGGCTCGGGCAGCCTGCTTTTATTCTCTTATCTGGCCCCACCCACATCCTGCTGATTGGTAGAGCTGAGTGGTCTGTTTTGACAGGGCGCTGATTGGTGCGTTTACAATCCCTGAGCTAGACACAAAGGTTCTCCACGTCCCCACCAGATTAGGTAGATAGGGAGTGTGGACACAAAGGTTCTCCAAGGCCCCACCAGAGTAGCTAGATACAGTGTCGATTGGTGCATTCACAAACCCTGAGCTAGACACAGGGTGCTGATTGGTGTGTTTACAAACCTTGAGCTAGATACAGAGTGCTGATTGGTGTATTTACAATCCCCGAGCTAGACATAAAGGTTCTCCAAGGCCCCACCAGAGTAGCTAGATACAGAGTGTCAATTAGTGCATTCACAAACCCTGAGCTAGAAACAGGGTGCTGATTGGTGTGTTTACAAACCTTGAGCTAGATACAGAGTGCCAATTGGTGTATTTACAATCCCTGAGCTAGACATAAAGGTTCTCCACGTCCCCACCAGACTCAGGAGCTCAGCTTGGCTTCACCCAGTGGATCCCGCACAGGGGCTGCAGGTGGAGCTGCCTGCCAGTCCCGCACTCCTCAGCCCTTGGGTGGTCGATGGGACTGGGCGCCATCGAGCAGGGGGCGGCGCTCGTCGGGGAGGCTTGGGCCGCACAGGAGCCCACGGAGGGGGTGGGAGGCTCAGGCATGGCGGGCTGCAGGTCCCGAGCCCTGCCCCGCGGGAAGGCAGCTAAGGCCCGGCGAGAAATCGAGCGCAGCGCTGGTGGGCCGGCACTGCTGAGGGACCCAGTACACCCTCCGCAGCCGCTGGCCCGGGGGCTAAGCCCTTCATTGCCCGGGGCCGGCAGGGCCGGCCGGCTGCTCCGAGTGCGGGGCCCGCCAAGCCCACGCCCACCCGGAACTCCAGCTGGCCCGCAAGCGGCGCGCGCAGCCCCGGTTCCCGCTCGCGCCTCTCCCTCCACACCTCCTTGCAAGCTAAGGGAGCCGGCTCCGGCCTTGGCCAGCCCAGAAAGGGGCTCCCACAGTGCAGTGGTGGGCTGAAGGGCTCCTCAAGTGCTGCCAAAATGGGAGCCCAGGCAGAGGAGGCACGGAGAGCGAGCGAGGGCTGTGAAGACTGCCAGCACGCTGTCACCTCTCAATGTGGCTGATAAGGTAGACTTGGGTGGGGTAGGGGCAGCCCAACAACCCGTTCAAAGAGCTTGAGGCACGTTCCTCTTCTGCTCTCACCGCTTTTCCTTCTCCCTGGTGCTGCAGAGCATCCCACAGTTTGTGTGCACTGCCTCCCCACACTCCCTCCTCATCTCACTCTGCCTGGCTCATGTCTCCACCATCCCCTCTTGTGGCTCCTCAGGAGGCTGCCCCTGACCTCCATCTTCCCCAGGGCAGTAGGGAATCACCCCATGTCGCCTCCCCTGGCCTCTTGCATGTCTTGACACAGAGCAGCACCCTCTCTCAAAGCGCTTCTTCTCCAGGCCTTCCAGGCCCACAGCCGACCCATAAGCTCCTCTCTCAATGGCTACAGCCTCCGCCTCCTGTACTGCCTCCTCCTCCTGTTCTCTAATTGTCCTGGGTCTTTCCACCACTTCTGTCTCCACATTGTGGTCCTAGGCTCCTCCACCCCAGGGCTTTAAGAACCACACACATGCTAATGACTCTCACCTTTGACCTTCTGCTGATCTTCCAGCTGAGCTTCAGACTCATATGCACTCCTAGGCTACGTGCTCTCTTGGTGCCCAACAGGTCTCAAACTTGACATGTCTAAAACAGAAGACTTGCCTGTAGTTCCAGCTACTCGGGAGGCTGGGGCAGGAGAGTCGCTTGAACCCAGGAGGTGGAAGTTGCAGTGAGCCGAGATCATGCCACTGTACTGCACCCTGGGTGACAGAGTGAGACTCGGTCTCAAAATAAATAAATAAATACATAAATAAATAAAACAGAAGACTTGCTTCCCTACCACTCCAAACCCATTTATTCCCTAGTCTCCTCCGTCATACTAAGTGAAACCACTCTACCCTGTTGCTCAGGACGAAAACCTCACCCTGAACTCTTTGCTTTGCTTTTCTCTAACATCTCACAATGAATCCATTAGTAAGTCCTCTTCTTTTTTTTTTTTTTTCAAGACAGAGTCTTGCTCTGTCACCCAGGCTGGAGTGCAGTGGCACAATCACGGCTCGCTGCAAGCTCCGCCTTCCGGGTTCACGCCATTCTCCCACCTCAGCCTCCCGAGTAGCTGGGACTACAGGCGCCCGCCACCATGCCCAGCTAATTTTTTGTATTTTTAGTAGAGACAGGGTTTCACCATATTAGCCAGGATGGTCTCAATCTCCTGCCCTTGTGATCTGCCCACCTCGGCCTCCCAAAGTGTTGGGATTACAGGCGTGAGCCACCGCGCCCGGCCAGTCTGCTCCATTTTTTTTACATTCAAAATGCATTTCCCACTGCTAACTACCTCCACTTCCTCCCCCCAGATCTAGGCCACCCTCCTCTCTTCCATGTACCAAAACCCCTACCTATTCTTCCTATCGCCGTTCTTGGCCCCCTCTAGCCCATCCTGTACAAAGCAGCCCAAGAATGGCCTTTCTAAAGTAGATGCCACATCACAGGACTCTTCCCCTTAAAAAACCCAACAGAATCCAAACCCTTTCTGGTGGCCTGCAGTGACAGAGCTGACCCTGCCGGCGTTTGCCGCTCTTTTCCCTCCTCTCCGTTGGTCGCCGTGGCACTGTCCTATGGGCCTTCTTTTTGTCCCCTGAACACACCAAGCTCTTTTCTGACTCTGAGCCCTTCCACTCAATGGTCCATGCTACCTAGCAGCCCCCTCACCTTTCAGGCTGCAACTTTGACACCTGCTCAGACAGGCCTGCCCTAACCTTGTGGGCTAAAGGAGCCCCACATCACTCTCTAGCTGCAGTTTCATTTTGTTTTGTTTTTGAGACAGGGTCTCACTCTATCACCCAGGCTAGAGTGCAGTGGTGTGATCATAGCTCACTGCAAGCTCCGCCTCCTTCCATGATAGCCTCAAACTCCAGGCCTCAATGGATCCTCCCTCCTCGGCCTCTCAAAGGTCTGGGATTACAGGCATGAGCCACTATGCCCGGCCTCTATCTGCATTTTGTGTTCAGTGTACACTTATCAGTACATAAATTATCTTGGCTAGTCGTCATTTCTGTTGTCTATCTCCAACCACCCCCGAAGCCTTTCATCTCTAGCTCCCAGAGCTGGGGACTTGTCTTGTTTACTGCCGTATTCCCAATGCCTAGAGCTCATGTGGCATGCAGCAGGCACTGGCTATGGGTGGAGGTCTCCAGCTCTGCTCCAGCTCCTGTCCCACACGGTGAGTAGCCTTCAGAAAAGGAAGTCCTTGAAAAGTGGAGGCTGGGGCTTTGTTCGGCCTTTCCCTGCCCCTAGGCTTGCGTTCAGCCCGTGGCTGTGTGTCCCTTCCTGGCTTTGCCCCTGATTTGCTCAGTGTGGGTGAGCCATAGCCAGTCTGGTGCTGAGGAAGGGGGTGGATGGGAAGGGCGGGGCCCATATGTCAGTGAGACACAGGCCACAGTTCAGATGGATGGTATCAAGTCTTCATGACTTCAGCTGCACTTAGTTAAACATGGACCAGCCCATTGGAACCTTGTGGGCAGTAGTCTGATTTCTGCTGTCATTTCTGCTCTCTTCCAAGCTTCAATTAAGGGAGCAACAAAAGATCTCTATCATGAGCCATGTGTGGTGATCTCATCTGCTGAGACAAATATTTTTTTTTCTGGTTATATTTATAGAACACTCTCTTGTTTCCTTGAACAACCCTAGCTGGCATTATCTTGTTTACTTTCTCTTCATCTAGATTTGCATTTGCAGGGGGGCAGCTTTTATCTGTTGCTCTTAGCTGTGTGGGATTTCAAATTCCTCTGTTTTTCTTCTTTTAGCTTTCATCTGTGAGCTCTTTTAAAATCAAGCAGTTTGTAACTTATAGTTACCAAGGCAGTAATTAATATTATAAGAAAATAGACAACACCGGCTCCAGCTAAGCACTCTGTGATAATTTTTCTTAGCAGTGTCTTGTGGCCTTGCAGAGGAAAATGGAACTTGGTATTCCTTTCCCCTTTGTGCCAGTCATGTGCTTCCTGATGCCAGGCCTCCCTCCAGCCCTCCCATCACAGGGAAACTAGTACAGACCACCCCCACAGACCTGTGGACTGACACCTGACTACCTTTGGGGGCATCTGACCTTGCCTGCGGTCCCACGGTGACTCACAGTGAAACTAAGATGCACAGCTCGGGTAGGAACCTGCTGGCCCAGCAAGAGAATCTCTTCTTCGGGGACCCATTAAGCTAGGCTCTGTCAGGTGAGGAGAATGGGGACCCTGCAGGCAAGGAGAGACCGTGGGTGGGCTGAAATCTGTTCCTGCAGTCGGGGAAAGGCTGTGGGCTCAAGGAGGCATAAAGAGGCGACACCCAAGCAAAGGCAGCACTGTGCCGACTGTGTCTTTGGTGCCCCTCAACTTCTTCTTTTTTTTTTTTTTTTTTTGAGACAGGGTCTCGCTTTGTCACCCAGGCAGTGTCATGATAATAGCTCACTGCGGCCCTGAATTCCCAGGCTCAAGTGATTCTCCCACCTTAGCCTCCTGAGGAGCTGGGGCTACAGGTGTGGGTCATCATGCCTGGTTACTTTAAAAAAATTTTTTATAGAGACAGGGTCTTGCTTTGTTGCCCAGGCTGGTCTTGAACTCCTGGCCTCAAGTGATCCTCCTGCCTTGGCCTTTCAAAGTGCTGGGATTACAAGCACGAACCACCTCTCCCAGCCTAGGTTCACTTTTGCAAAAGGTGGTTATGGGTGCTTAACGGATCCAGATAGAGACCAAAGTGACTATGGGGTGCATATGTGGAGAAAGAGGAAGAGCTTTTTGTAGTCTAGATGCTCTTTCTGTACTTCCCCCTGGGCAGAAGCAGCAGCCCTGAGCCCCCACAGTGCTCGCCTTGTTCTGGGGACACACAGTGTAGTTGCATATGCCTGAGACACACTCAAATGAGCATCATGAGCAAGGCTCAAGGCCCATGACGTCATCCTCTCACTGTTCTTGGCTTTAACTAGAAACTTACTGGTGACTCATGTCCAGTTTTGGCTTTAAAGGTAAAAGAGACTGGGAACAATTGGATACAGTCCATATAAGAACAAATAAAATGAATACTTGGAAAATAGGTCCTATGCGAATACAATTAGGACTACTTAAATTAGACTACAGCAGGCAGATGGAAGAGGTTATTTATATGAGGAATAGTGATAAACTCTTCTCTTTTATGCCTTTTTGGATGTAGATGGGATAGAAATGATATTCCTGCTTTATTTATTTCTCTCTACTGAAAACCAAATAAAAGAAATTGGGCTTGATTTGCAACTGCAGAGATGTAGGGTGGATATAAGGCATTATTTCCATATGTTGTTAGACACTGATCTTTCGGGGTACTTGTTTTTGTTTCTTTTTCTAAAAAATGTGAAAAAGCAAGGCACATCAATGATAGCTTTGCTGCAGTGGAGCTAGTTAATATTTTCTAAGTACCTGAGAACTAGGACCTTGGTAGAACCCCACAGAAGCCAGAAAATATATATTCCCTGTTTTCTGAAAGGTTCTGATATTAGGATTAGCTATTCTGATTGTTTTTATTCCTAAAAGTTAAATGCAGTGGGGTAGAGGGTAGAGCAAGTGGAAGGAAGATGTTGAGCATGTGTCCTGGCTCTGACATTCACTAACTCTCTGACCTTGGGTGAACATAGGGGCCTCATTTACAATGTGGTAATGATGATAGCTTTCCTTCTTAACTCACAGGTCATTAAGTGTGTTAAACAGCATCACAAATATGACAGCGGGCCATAAACTGTTGAGTGCTATACAAAGACAGAAACTATTCTTAATTTGGATAAACCATCCTTGATCAAATGTGTTTCCAGCTAAAAATTCTTGATGGAACTTGATTCCCAGGTTTGAATTTCAAAACCTGTGTAGTCCACGCATTCGAACAACCTCCTGTCCACCCACCCACTTGCCTCTCAGAGAATGTCTACTCTGTGGTAGGCACTGTAACAGGCATGGCGATGCCACGATGAATCTCACACAGTGCCTGGCTATGTGGGAAGGCAGATGACAGTCTGGTCAGGGTGGAGAGAGAAGGAAACAGGTCATTACAGTGCAGAGCGGTGAGCCCTCTGATCTGGCCAGGCATAGGTGCTGCAGGACCTCACCTGGGGGCCCCAGATCCAGCCTGGTGAGGACAGAAGGAAACTTCTTAGAAGTGCTCGCCAACCCAGGCTTGAGTGATAGAAGTTAGCCAAATGAAGAAGGAATGGGTTGGGGAGGACCCTAGCACCCAGAAGCAAAGTGAAAGCTCAGTACACTGCAAGACCTGCTGGTAAAGTTAAAGGTTACACGTTGCCCATGCAGGAGGACAGGGGAGAAGGGAGGCATGTCAACCAGAAGCCACCCCACGCCCAGCTTGTCTGCCTTGTTAGGGAGTTTGGACTTTATCTTGAGGTCAATAGAGAGCCTCTGAGAGGTTTTAAATAGGGAGTGTTAAGATCGGATTGAAATGTCAGAGATGTCACTCCTAATGCGATGTTGAGGATGAACTGGAGTGGGCAGGACGCTGGTCAGGAAGACCAGCAAGACTGTTGCAGCAATTTTGGGAGGAATGGAGGTGGCCTGACTAGGAGACGGTAGATTGGTCAAGAGTTTCAATGATGCAAGCAGATAGGACCATTGTTACAGAAGGAAGAAAAGGAGTGAGAAAGTTGGAAAGATAGGATGTTGAGATCAGAGAGTGGAAGATAAAATAGTTTCTGATGATGGCTGGGACCAGGGTGTAGCCTTCAGAATGGAGCTGAAAAATGAGTGGAGATGAAGGTCATGTGACATGAGGTCAAGGATGTGGGAGGTTTCTCCTAGGGCTTTAAAAAAATGTGGTAGAATATATGTAACACAAAATTAACCATCTTAACCTTTTTTTTTTTTTTGGAGATAGAGTCTTGCTCTGTCACCCAGGCTGGAGCGCAGTGGTGTGATGTTGGCTCACTGCAAGCTCCGTCTCCCAGGTTCACACCATTCTCCTGCCTCAGCCTCCCGTGTAGCTGGGACTACAGGCACCCGCCACCAAGCCTGGCTAATTTTTTGTATTTTTAGGAGAGACGGGGTTTTACTGTGTTAGCCAGGATGGTCTTGATCTCCTGACTTCGTGATCTGCCCGCCTCAGCCTCCCAAAGTGTTGGGATTACAGGCATGAGCCACCGTGACTGGCCCCCCATCTTAACTATTTTTAAGTGTATTAAGTACATTGTATGAAGAACATTAAGTGTGTTAAGTGGCATTAAGTACATTCACATGGTTGTACCACCATCACCACCACCCAGCCACAGAACTCTTTCCATCTTGCAAAACAGAAACTCTGTACTCATTAAACAACTCCCCATCCCTCCCCCTCTACCTTGGCCAGCCCATGGCAACCACCATTCTCCGGATTTCTGGCAACCACCATTCTCCAGACTTCTGTCTCTATCAATTTGACCATTCTAAGTACCTCATAAAAGTAGAACCATACAATATTCGTCCTTTTGTGACTTGCTTATTTCACTTAGCACAAATGTCCCCAAGGTTCAACTGTTTTGTAGCATGTATCAGAATTTCCTTCCTTTGTAAGGCTGAATAACATTCCATTGTATATACTCCTTTCTCTTTTAGACTTTTGATTATGGCCCACAACAAGAAAAGTAGTTTACACCATGACCTATTACACATGAAGGTATTATGTCATGGAAATAACCTATTATTGGCATATGTTTTATATTATACATATAATTAAAATAAATATTTTACCCCCAAACCACCTTTCTTACATGTGAAGTACTCTAATATTTTCTTTCTACTCTGTTTCTTTAAAAAAAGATTGCTGGCCACAGTCCTCGAAATCAATTTCGTGACACATTAATGGGTTGTGATTCTGAGTTTGTAAATAGTTGGTCTGTTTGGACATTGAAGTTACCCACGATGATGGCAAGACTTGGAATGAAGTGGTGCCAAAGTCTTCAATGAATATGGAGGGGCAGAGGCACAGCTCCATGCATTTGTCCTCGTGAATGGCCTGTGATTTCAGCACAATCTATTAGGTAAAGGTCCAAACTATCAGTTTACTTCTGGTGTAAACAGGATAATTCACAGATTTGCTGTTTTTCCCCAATGGTCTCCAGCTGGCATGGGTCTTTAATTTATTCACTGCCAGTGACCATTCCCCTCCCTTTTTCCATCCTAGGGAAGAACTAAGTAAACTGCCCTTCTTCACGTGCCCCAGCTCCGTAGTCTGATCTGGAAAAGGGGCAGGGGCACGGGAACCTCAGCAGCAGGTGACTGTGGCCTCCAGACTCTGCCATGCTTCCAAAAGCTCCAGCCATCTCATGGTTGCAAGAATCTCCCAGAGGGAGAGGCCATGTCCAAGGCGACGGTGGGTGGGGTTCAGCCTCCCAGGCTAAGGCTGGGAACGTGCCTTGCCCAGAGGAGAGGGCAGGGTGGGAGGCACTGAGGGCAAGGGTCAGGGCTCCCACAGAGCCAGTGTGTGTGGGAGGAGAACGGGGGTAACTTGTTGTCCTGCCAGTCTAAGAAAGTCAAAGGGTTTCTCGTTGTCTCCCTGAGTCATTACACCCCCAGCTATTTTTGTTAAACATTAACACAAAGTGTCAGGAGAGCTTCACCATTTTTAATGAGCTAATCTCTGTGGCATCCCCATAGAATGAGGTCAGAACAATCACCATCTCAGTAGCAAGGAAAAAATAGGCAGAGGTGGGAAGGGAAATCGAAGGGAAATTCACATTTCATCAAGCAATTACTGACACCCATTCTGCACTGCACTGATATTGCAATATATGATGCAAACAAGACAGTCTCTGCTTTTTTTTTTTTTTTCTTTTTTTTGAGACAGGGTCTCACTCTGTTGCCCAGACTGGAGTAGTGTGCAGTAGTTCAATAATAGGTACAGCCTCCATCTCCTGGGCTCAAGTGATCCTCCCACCTCAGTCTCTTGAGTAGCTGGGACTACAGGTGCCTGCTACCAGGCCCAGCTAATTTTTGTATTCTTTTTGGTAGAGACAGAGTTCTGCCATGTTTCCCAGGCTGGTCTTGAACTCCTGGGCTCAAGTGTCCCACCTGCCTTGGCCTCTGAAAGTGCTGGGATTACAGGCGTGAGCCACCATGCCTGCTGGTCTCTGCTTTTTGAATGCTGACATGCTGACCTTAGATGTGGGGTAGGGATGATCAGACCAAGTATTCTGAATTATGGACTTGGAATTTGCAAAGTCCAGTGATGAGAAAGAACTTGACTTGTTTTATTTATTTATTTATTTAGAGACAGAGTTTCACTCTTGTCGCCCAGGCTGGAGTGCAATGGCGTGATCTCGGCTGACTGCAACCTCCACCTCCCAAGTTCAAGCGATTCTCCTGCCTCAGCCTCCCAAGTAGCTGGGATTACAGACGTCTACCACCACGTCCGGATAATTGTTGTATTTTCAGTAGAGACGGGTTTCACCATATTGGCCAGGCTGGTCTCAAACTCCTGACCTCAGGTGATCCACCCGCCTTGGCCTCCCAAAGTGTTGGGATTACGGGCGTGAGCCACCGTGCCTGGCCAACTTGTTTAGAAAAGTGGGACTGAGGTTAATATCAGGAGTCTAGAGTTCAAGAGTGGACAGCCAGGCAGGACTGATCTTGTCAAGATTTTGATGTGGTTGGATGATATGATCAACAGATCACAGAGAACCCTAGGGCATTGCAATGCTTAGGCTGGGCCATTTGAGCGCCAGCACCTCGCTATGAAACACACTGAGCTGGAGAGTCAATGATACAAGAGCTTAAGGATTTTATAAAACATGACTACATACAGCACTTCATATTAGTCAATGTTCTTTCACAGTAATGATTGCATTTTATCCTTATAACCCAGCAAGGTCAGTATAGTGGGCATTTCCTTATGCTAATACCTCTGTTCTTCACCACCCCACACCCTTTTCCTTGATAAAGATTCTGGGGATTGGAGAGGAAGTAACTTGTTCTGCACTAACCGGAAAAAGAACCTAGACATTCTGACCCAGCCTAGGGCTCTCTCCACTACTTCAGACGCCTCTTTAGCTCGACTCTCCCCTCCAACCCTGCTTTTTCTGCACAGCCCAGTGAGTTCTTGCTTGCTGAAAGAACCTGGCCCAGCCAGGAAAAAGGACACCGGGAGCTTCACATATGTTTGTCTTCAGAGGCAGCGCTCGTGTGCCACCAACATAAATCTGATAGGCACTGAGATCTCGGTCTTCCCTTTTATTCTGGGGAGGGAATTGTGGAGCTTAGGCTAGACCATCCCTGCCACCGGCCAACTCACTGAATCGGTTCCTCTGGGAGGAGCACTGGGAGTTGGGGTGATGTGGTATAGCCGAATTGATGTCCCATTTCTGGGTTAGGATCTGGCCCTGCCATTTACTAGCTTGTAGTGTCAGGCAAATTTCTTAACTTTTCTGAGCTTCAGTCTAATGGCAATAGCCAGGATTATTGTTAAGATTAAGCCTGCACCATAAGCTTCATTCCTTGAATAGCTAGTGTTACAAATGGTGAGCTGTTAGCCCCAGGGAGTTCGGAAGTCTCTGCGGTTTTATCCGGGGGTCCTGGTATTGCCCGCTCTGAGGATGGGTCAGGCTCTGTGGAGATTCCCCACTTAACCTACCGCATCCTGAACACTGGAGGCTGTTGTTCTGGGATCCAAAGCTGCTCCACTGTTGCCCCAGGGCATCCTGACCTAGTGAATTGCCTCCTTTAGAAGCACTACTTTCCCATCCTCCCAGACTAGCTAATTTACTGCTGATGAAAATAGCTTTAACGGAACTTGGGTCCCAGGAAGGCCACCGCTGGCCTAGAGCATAGAATTCCAGGGCAGAAAGGGATTCCAGGGGTCTCACACTCACTCCCAACTCTGATTCCAAGGAGACAATCCCCACAGTGGAAATCTGTTAAAACACTGAGTAAATCAAGATGGTTCCTGCTAATATCTGACTAACGTTTTCTTCCAGCTGTACGTTCCCAACCTGCCTGAACGAGGCCTCTAGGACGGCAGCGTCCAATCACATCTCCCCTCTGCTTTCCTAACTGAATGTTGATATTCTCAGCCTATTTTGCTTGTACAAGTCCCGTCTGTCTGCCTGCCTGCCTGCCTGCCTGCCTGCCTTCCTTCCTTCCTTCCTTCCTTCCTTCCTTCCTTCCTTCCTTCCTTCCTTCTTCCTTCCTTCCTTCCTTCTTTCCTTCCCTCCCTCCCTCCCTCCCTCTCTCTTTCTTTTTTTCTTTCGACAGAGTCTCGCTCTGTTGCCCAGGCTGGAGTGCAGTGGCGCAATCTCGGCTCATTGCAAGCTCCGCCTCCTGGGTTCACGCCATTCTCCTGCCTCAGCCTCCTGAGTAGCCTACAGGCGCCCGCCACCACGCCCAGCTAAATTTTTGTATTTTTAGTAGAGACGGGGTTTCACCATGTTAGCCAGGATGGTCTCAATCTCCTGACCTAACGATCCGCCTGCCTCGGCCTCCCACAGTGCTGGGATTACAGGTGTGAGCCACCGCACCCAGCCAAGTCCCGTTTTTCAAACTCAATTTGCTTCTTGCCTCCAGACCCTCTCTGAGGTTTTGTGTTTCCTCTCCCATTCAGGTGGGGGCTGGGGTGGGAGGCGGGCAGAGGCTGATCCAGCAGTTGGAAAGGGTGCAGCCCAGGTTCTCCTAACTCAGGAAGAGAAGGGGGGAAAGGAAGGCCTTATCCAAGGATATAGCACGTTCTCTTTGGTAAACCAGAGAGACACTTTTGTTTTCTTAGCCACAGAGTGCCCAAGGGGAGCCTCAGGGTACAGGGTGGCAGAGGTGGGAATAAGGACTGGGTGGGGGAGGCCAAGGGAGGGCCTAGAGTGCGGGTGCAGGAGTCAACACTCCAGGACGCAGATGTGCTTGATAAGACAGGTGACTGGCCTGGAAGGTTGAGATCACAGCCTTACTTCTTTATTTTACCTCGCTAGTGGAGACCTGGTTACTCACGAGGCCAAGGGATCCTGATCATTCATTCAAGAAATATTCACTGCCTAGCTAGGTAAGGAGTTAGAAATAAAATGCGCAGCAAAGCCCTGCAGGAGTTAATAGTTTGGTGTGGGATTTGCTTCCGTAAGCAGACGGTGAGCAGGCTGCAATGCAGGTAAGTACAGGGTGCCACAGGAAGATAGACAAGTAGCTCGTCACCCACCTGACAGAGGCAAGGAGAGATTTAGGAAAATCTTCCCAGAAGGGGTGATAATTGAGCTAAACTCTGGAGGGTTAAAAGGGGTCAGCCTGTCCAGGAAGCAGAGAGGGGCTTCCAAGAAGAAGGAGTCATTTGCTTAAAGTCCCAGGTTGAGAGAGGGCAGAGTGGGCCAGGACAGTGGCAGGGTGGGCTTTATGACTGCAGCTGTGGGTATGAGGAGGAGACTAGGAGTGAGAAATGAGGCCAGGAAGGCAGGCAGGGGCTGGGTCCTGAGGGACATGGGCAAGCTGCTTCCAGGAGATGGATGAAATGAGCGTGTGCTCCTTGAAGGAGTCTTCCTGGCTGTGCCCACCAACGGGCAGGCAGTGGCGGCCCCCGTCGGTCAAAGCTGTGTCATCGCTCAGAGGCTTGCTAAGCTGCAAGTCATGCAGGTGCAGGCAGAGGCGGGGGCAGGAGGGCAGAGGTTCTTAGCCAGCATGATGGGGCACAGCTATGTAATTCTCGGGTGGTTTGGGGATAGGAGGATTCTTTCCACACACTCTGACGCTGTCACTCCAAAGTCAGGCATTTCTTCACTTGACAATGGGCACCTGTAGGATGGATGGGGCATGGCAGCCATATCTGCAGCTGTATGCCAGTTGCATTTGGTGCAGAGAGCAGAGGGCAACACTGCTCTAAATTCAATGGCTCTGGAAAGGAGGTGGGGTGAGAGGCAGGAGAGGTGATGACATTGGCATGTGGGTCCTGGCTCCTAAATACCGTGGCTCGCTTTACAATCTGCCGGGTCTTGCATGTCCAAGGAAGTACGCAACCTCGATGTGATGGTCTAAGAGAATATTTTATTGCTACTTGCTATTATTGAGAATTGAAAATGGATCTGACTGGGCAGAGAACACACCAATCCCATCACATCATCCCTGCCACCCATACAGCAGTCTGCTGCTCCCTCTTCATACAAAGTCCTTTATCTGTTTGGCTGCTGGGGTTTGAGAGAAGCAGCAGCATGGCAGGGATTGTCATTTGCTTTGAATTTATTCAGCTCTGATCTATTGGGGTGGTACCATGGTCTCCCCAAATTCAGACAGAAAGGGAGTAGTGAGGATAAGACCCCTTGGTGGGGAGCTTAATGTGGACTAGCGGCTCATCCTGCATGTCCAGGAACTGGATGGCTCCAAGCCAACTGTCTTCCTCAGGGGCAGGGTCTTCTTTAGATCCCCAACACTGCAGTCTCGGCACCTTGCTACTGCCCTGATTTCCACAGACTGGCAGGACGTGATGCATGCCACATTGCACCAGAGTGATCACAGCTGTGGACAATTCTACTAAAACTACTTGCAACTCAGCCACCTGCGCAATCATTTTCTCCCTTTTTGCTACCCTTCTTCTCAATCTTTCACTTCCCTCTCACATTTTGCTAGGCAAAAGAATGACCTAAATTAAGTGCTCCTTCCCTTACCTACTCCTTTAACCCCTCTTTTCCGTTCTCCCTTTCAGCTCTCTCTCACCCGGTTCTTCTCATCCCCCTTCCTCTTCCTGTTCTGCAGCCAGCTGTGCTGGGTCGAGGGGTCAAGGGAGTGACTAAAGTGCCGTGTGTCCTTGTTGGTGGGTTTGACACTTTATCCTCCAAATGCTAAACGGTGCCTCTGCCATCGCACAGTGCCACCAGGTGCCTTGCCCTGTGGTTTACGTTATGCACTGGGGGCACCTTTCACATACAATACAAAGTCCACGGGGCCACTGGAGTTGTGCAGCTCAGCCACCTTGGTTTCAATGTGGCACTCAGAAGCCTCCAAAGCAACAAATCTCTTAGGGGAAAATGGTGGCCTCTTGGTGGAGACCAGGTTCTCAGATGGACGTCTAAGTCTGTGAAAAATGCCTCTATGTACCCAAGTCTCCCTGTTACTGTTAACCTGAGGCTCAGAGCCTTCTGACTCAAAAATCTTCCTACTTAGGCTGGGTGCAGTGGCTTACACCTGTATCCCCAGAACTTAGGGAGGCCAAGGCAGGTGGATCACTTGAGCCCAGGAGTTTGAGACCAGCCTGGCCACCATGGTGAAACTGCTTCAGAGGCTGAGGCACAAGAATCGCTTGAACCTGGGAGGTGGAGGTTGTAGTGAGCCTAGGTGGTGCCACTGCACTCCAGCCTGGGTAATAGAGTGAGACCTTGTCTCAAAAAACAAACAAACAAACAAACAAACAAACAAACACCTTCCTGATCCCCCCTCTCCAGCCTCGCCATCCACTGCTTCCCATGTGACCATGTCTCTGGACAGATGGATGGTCTGGACAGGCCATGTGCTGGCCTGGCTCCACACCCAGCTTCTGAAGGTCTTCTTGATGGCAGCACCTTCTCTCTAGATCGGAATCCATCCTCCTGTCCATCCCTGCTCAGCAACACCCTTGCACCATTCTCCAGACTCTTTTAGAGTCTGCTCCCCTCATTGGGGACAGTTCACTGGTTTCCACTACAGTTAGAAAGAAATCCCTCCTCCTGATCCTTATGAGGCCCTGTGTGCTTTGACCCCAGCCTGGCTCTCCCACCTCCTGCTCCTGCCCTTGTCCACTCTCCTCCCACCACATTGGCCTTCTGCTCGCATGCTCACCACCCTCACACCCCTCTCAAGGCCCCGCACTTGCTGCTGTGACTTCTGCTTGAAGAACTCTTCCCCCAGATATCAGGGGCTGCCAGGAAGTGAGATCTGTAAGGGCAGAAGCCTTTTCTTTTGGCAGAGTCACAATTGCATTCCAAGTGGCTTAGAACAGTGCCCGCCTGGCACATGGTGGGCGACGGGTAAATAAACACTGAATGAAAGGTGTAAGCACACGCTGCCCTATGTTGTCTGTCTCTTTCTTCCTTGCTCCATCTTTCCTTTTCCATCCTCCCCCGAGGGGAAGCCTCCTGAGGGCAGAGATCTGCTCTGTGTCAGACATCCCCCTCAGCATCCAGCCTAGTGCCTCCAGCAAAGGTGCTTCTGTCAACATTTGTTGACAGAATGGAGACCAAGCTAGTGGGAACAGTTCTTTCACGCCTTTCCCACCAGGCGGGCTCAGCAGCCTCCCAGGCAGACAAAGAGTAACCCTTGTCCTCCCAGGCCGCTGGTCCTTTGGTTCGGCAAGCCTGCCAGCAGCACAGCCTCGGGGACGTCTGCTCCTTTTGCAGCAGAGCAGATCTTCACCTGGGTTTCCTTCCCACCATCACTTTCTGAGCTGCTCAGCGTCAGAAAAAGGGTATCTGGCCTCCTGGAACTACAACTGTCCCATCATCACACACCTAATCCTAGGAGAAAGCAGTGTTCTGCTGAAGTAACTGCTGGATTTAAAAAGTGAGATCTTCTAGAAAGATGTATTAAAAGATCATGACTTTGGCTGCTGTATTTCAAAGACCAGGCAGGCATTTAGGTGACAGAGTTAAATATTCCAAACTTACCTCATCCTCTCTCTCTCTGTCTCTCAAGGGTAAACATTCCATTCCTCTTCCAAAACCCAGTGCTTCTCCATATTTGGGAATCTGGAATGGGTACTAGGGGCACAGCCCTGTCTCCTCTCGGTGTCTGCTGGGAGCTGTAGTCACCAGAGAATGTCGGCTGCTTTTCTCTGGCCAGCAAGCAGGCTCTCCTTTCTCAGGAGGACATCTGAAAGCAGGAAAGCTGTACACAGTGAGATGCGAGGGTGCTATTAGGAGGCTTGCCTTCTATTTTCAGCTCTCCATGAGCTAGTTTTGAGCAAGGCCTCACTCTTTTCATGGCTCAGTCTCCCAAACTGTAAAATGGGCATAATTCTCTCTCTCTTTTCCTGGCTGCCTGATTGTTTGTTGGGTGGAGTAATTAGGCAGCACCCATTCAGTGCTTTGAGTTCATTCTAGAAAAGAGTGCTTTATAAATAACACTTGTTATCTCTAAAGGGGAAAATATTAATGGCCTAGATACCTCCATAAACTGACACTTTGCCTATAAGTCAAAAAAGATGCCGTGGAATTCCTTGTATGTGCCTTCCACTCACCCTGGGTTTAAATGGTTTCCCTGCATCTCCTTCTATTTTGTATCATCTCTAGTTTCATATCCTCAAGAATAAACAGTCTCCCTCCTTCCTCTCTGAAAAAAATAAAAAAAGAGTAAGACAGACCAACTCTGCCCTATGCCAAACACACAAGAACATTGTGAAGAAGAAACCACCTAGATCAGACTGGAGCTCCGAGAACTTTATCTCCTTCTTCCCAACTAGTGCATGAGAACTCAGTCTCCACGCAAGAGGCTGACCTTTGTTCCCATAGAAAAAGGCACACAGATTTCATTGCAGCAGGAAGGATTTTTGAAAGATCTTAATAAGGACTCCCCTTTCTGGAGACTTGAGAGAAGAGTTTTGACACCCAGCACCTTCTCTTTGAGGAGAGAGTCTGGTACAGTGCAGTGGAAACAGCAGCAGAGGTGGAATCAAACTGGTTAGGATCCCAGCTCTGAGACTCAGGCAAACATGTAACCTCTCCGGCCTTAGTTTCTTCAGCTATAAAATTGAGACAATAATATAATCTAGAGGTTTTTTTATAAAGTACTGCACAAAGATCAGTCGTTATAAGAGGCAGTATGATGCAGTGGTTAATAACAAGGAATTTTCAAGTCAGAGATACCTGGATTAGAATTCCACCTGGATTAGCTGTGGAAATGTGATCAAACTACTCAGCCTCTCTAAGCCATAGTTCTATGATGTTTAACATGGGGATAATGAGCATTAAATGAAGCAATGCATCAATGCATGTAATGGACCTAGCATGGAGCCTGGCACACACTAATTTCTCGATAAATATCGTTATGACTATTATCATTGTCACTGCAATCATTTTTACGTATCTTATGCTTGATCATCTCACTTCATGATAATCAAATCAAATAATGTGAAAGTGCTTTTTAAGTTGTAAAGTACCACACAAATGTGAAGGATGAGGAGAATGAAGCATACAAAGGAGGGAGCTGGGCACCCCAGAGTTCTCCTTGCAGCTTCAGGACTATATGGGATCAAGGACGTATACTTGCTTTTTAGCTACAGAGAACTGTAAACAGCTAAGTCATTATTAGTAACAGCGGGATTGTTTGATTTCTTGTTTTAGGTAGTAATTCCAATATCCAATTGAAGAATAGAAAGGACTCCCCTGACGCACCATGGGTAAGTCAGGGTGCAGAGTGGCATAACTCTGTGTAGCTACGCATGCTCATTGTGTGTGCTTGTGGAGGGATATGCAGCACAGTGCTAAAAGTTCTTATTAGGAGTGGTAGGATTTCAGATGATTCTCATTCTCTTTGTACTTTTGTGTCTTTGAATTATTTTTACTTTAGGTATGTATCATTTAAGCAAAAACAAAAGACAAAAGACAGTGGATACTGAACAACCAGATTCCCGTTTGTAAAACCTTGGATCCATAGTTTCCTCTAATCCCACAGAAGGTTTTCTCAGGTATGGAAAATGGAGTTTCTGAAAACCAGGAGCAGCTGGCGAAAATCATAATGACAAATGCCTGTGACAGGAAGTCAGAGGGGAAGGAGTCCCTTCAAGATGGCCCTGGGAAGGGAAGAAGAGAGATGCCTTTTCATCTCTGTTTATTTCATAGGCTATAATAACATGGTGGTTTCAATCATAGGCTGTGTACACATGAGTTTCCTTGTTTGCTATGGTAACATGTCATTCCTGTTTTTCCATCTCTGTTTTTCTGATCCCTTAGACTCTGGCTGTCAGAGAGGAGAACTATGAACTCACCTACTCATTCATGCTGCCCAGGTAATCACCTCTGTCATGAGCGATTAGGGGAAGGGTGTGTGGAGTCTACCTGTAATATATTTCCACTGTCCCGCTACATTTCAGAACCAGATGCACAAAGAACAAACAAGTTTCCCAGCAGGACTCAAAATAGAAGGGATGGTGACTGCATGCCTTACCATTCGGGATCCTCTTCTTCCCGGAGAACTCCGCGCAGGCAGGTCTGTACCTGCTTAGAGGCAGCCTGTCTGTTGAGCAGCCCATCCTCAGTGAGGGACGATAAGAGACTGGGGCTGGGGGGATGGGCAGAATCTTTGCTGTTGCCACAAACTGGGAGTGTCCGCAGAAAACTGAATGTGTCTGGACTTCGCCATCAAAACCCATGTTAGTGTGGCGCAGGAACAAGGTAGGCTGCCACATCCGGCCTGGCACACTGTAAAACTGCACACCTCCAGGGGGCGCCACCCCCACCCACACGATGTGCGATATGATTAACACCTCCAAGAGTTGTGCCCTGTGAATCCCAGGAAGGGTCATTCTTTTTTCTTTCTTTCTTTCTTTCTTTTTTTTTTCTGAAACAGAGTCTTGCTCTGCTGCGCAGGCTGGAGTGCAATGGTGCAATCTCAGCTCACTGCAACCTCCGCCTCCTGGGTTCAAGTGATTCTCCTGCCTCAGTCTTCCGAGTAGCTGGGATTGTAGGCACCCACCAACATGCCCAGCTAACTTTTATATTTTTAGTAGAGACAGGGTTTCACCAGGTTGGCCAGGCTTTTCTCGAACTCCTGACCTCAGGTGATCCACCCACCTCAGCCTCCCAAAGTGCTGGGATTATAGGGATGAGCCACCACACCTAGCTGGAAGGGTCATTTTTCCTGAACATCCTAACTTGCAGAGAAAGGTCTTTACAAAACCAAGTAGACTGGAGCTTGGCTGAGTAGCCCTTAACTTTTGAAGTGAACTGAAATGTCATTGATTAAAAATATACACAGACACCTGTTTTCCTCACTTCACCGACTTTTAAGTGTTGCATCTGGTGTCCTTCTTACTCTACTCCGGAAACAGATGCCGAGTGGGGCCTCAGTTTCTCCTTGACTGTAGTATAAAGCTCCTTCCAACTCTAAAATTCTGTGGCTCAGAGTGACTGAGTTTATTAGATTATTTCTAGGAAATAAGGAAAAGAACTCTAGTTGCAAATTGCTCATAGACAAGAAGTCAGGCTGGGCAGATCAATATCTGGAAACACCTGCCAGTGTCTGTCTTTTTGCAGGCCTGGGCCAGGGCACGGACCTTCTCAGCTTCCAACCTTTTCACACAGTGCTTACCAGCAAGGGTGCCTGAAAGTCAAGGCCATATGACACTGAAGAGCACAAGGGAGGTGGGGTCCCTCTGCAGCATTACATGCTATTATTTCACACCAAGCTAGATGGCACCAGGATCCCAGAATGAGTGGGACCCTGTCCCTGCCCACAGGAGAACACAGTACAGTAGGGGAATGACACAAATAACTATAAGGAACTGTGGAAACTTGGAAGGACCCACAGGTGAGGCATCAAGAAAGCAAAGCACAATTGGGAAAGAGTGATTTGCCTGAATCAGGTAGGATCAGGAAAGACTCTGGGAGGAGAGAGCATCTTTATACCCTTCCACAATAGAGCCAGGGCTGAATTATCCCCAGTGCACACCCATTACTGGTTTCGTTTTTCAGGCTTGGAGAGGGAATGAATTGATCTGGCATCGTGAAGATTTGTTCAGCCTTCCCTGAGTGCATCTTCTGACTCCTGGGGTAGGTAAGAAATGGAGGGGCTCCTGGAGTCACCTTCAAGGCAGATGAAGAGGAGCTATGGAGGCCCTTTGAAGCATGGCCCCTGGGCATGGGATCTGGTGAGAAACCTCCTTCCCAGCTTTGCCACTGAAACCATGGATTTTAAACTTCGGCAGAGTTTCCAAGCTTTCATTTCCCATCTATCAATAGGGATAATAATAATAATATACCTGTATGACCTTGTTCACAGGTTTGCTGTCAAGGTCAAATAAGACAAGCAAAAGTACCTTGTAGATCCAGTATTATACTAGTTAAGAAGAAAGACTGGAGCCCAGTGGTCCGGATTAAGTCCGCACACCTCCCCCAGCTCCACTATGCACTTGTTGGGTGACCTTGGACAAGTTATTTAACCTCCCTATAACTCAGTTTCTTCCTTTACAAAATAAGAATGAGACTAGGACTTTCATCATATGGTTATGAGGATTCAAATGAGTTAAATGTAAAGCACTCAGGCCAGGCGTGGTGGCTCACACCTGTAATCCCAGCACTTTGGGAGGCTGAGGCAGCAAGATTGCTTGAGCCCAGGAGTTCAAGACAAGCTGGTCAACATAGTGAGACCCCATCTCTACAAAAAATTTAAAAATTATCCAGGCGTGGTGGCATGTGCCTGTAGTCCCAGCTACTTAGAGGCTGAGTTACAAGGATTGCTTGAGCCCGGGAGGTTGAGGCTGCAGTGAGCTGTGATGGCACCAGTGCACTCCAGCCTGAGCAACACAGAGAGACCCTGTCTTAAATAAATAAATAAATAAATAAACAAATAAATAAAGCACTCAGAAAAGCACCTAGTGCATAGTTAATATCATACCATATAAATTGAGCCATCACTATTATTGTTGTAAAGTACTATACAGGATGATTATGATGGTCACTTCTTAGATACAGAAGCAGAGTTCTGCTGTGTCTACAAGGAGAGGAACACTATAGGAAGCATTGAGTTCTGCCCTGAACTCCTAGTCCAGGCTTTAAAAAAGAGCCATAAAAATGCCATCCCACTGATGAGCCTCTGGAGCAAGGGAGGTGTGCCTTGACCATCCTGGAAAAACATCATCTCCACCCTACCTATACTTATCTCCTTGGCTCGCTTCTGGCCAAAGGTCCACACTTGGTCTGAACCTATTGCATGCAGAGCTTTGCCACAGATGTCCCTGTACTGAGGGGCTCTGGCTGGTTGGGATGTTCGAAGGGACAGCTGTGGATGCTGTTTATTGGCCTGAAATGTGGAACCAGTGTGGAGAAGGCAAGACAGGCTAGGTTGACGTCAGATGTAGGCTTTTCATTTTTATTTTTTGAGAAAGGGTCTTGCTCTGTCACCCAGGCTTGAAGGATTGAGTGCAGTGGCGCATCATAGTTTACTGCAGCCTTGAACTCCTGGGCTCAAGCGATCCTCCTGCCTTAGCCTCTCAAGTAGCTGGGACTATAGGCACGTGCCACCATGACCAGCTAATTAGAAAACATTTTTCAATAGAGATGGGGTCTTGCTATGCTGCCCAGGCTGGTCTCAAAGTCCTAGGCTCAAGTGATCCTCCTGCCTTGGCCTCCCAAAGTGCTAGGATTACAGGCATGAGTCACTGTGCCCAGCCAGATGTGGGCATTTTTGATTTTTGCATGGAAGAGTCAATAATTGGATTCCAGGGCTGGGCACGGTGGCTCACACCTGTAGTCCCAGCACTTTGGGAGGCTGAGGCAGGTGGATGGCTTGAGGTCAGGAGTTTGAGACCAGCCTGGAGAACATGGAGAAATCCTGTCTCTACTAAGAATACAAAAATGAGCTGGGCATGGTGGCATGCAACTGTAATCCCAGCTACTCGGGTGGCTGAGGCAGGAGAATCACTTGAGCCCGGGAGGCAGAGGCTGTGAGTGAGCCGAGATCGCACCACTGCACTCCAGCCTAGGCGACAAAGCGAGACCCTGTCTCAAAAAAAAAAAAAAAAAAAGAATTGGATTCTAGGTCAGAAAGTAATATTACAGAACTTCGGAGTGCTATGAGATTCTTTCTTCTTCTTTTTTTTAAATTGAGGCAGAGTCTTGGTCTGTTGCCCAGGGTGGAGTGCAGTGGCCCAATCTTGGCTCACTGCAACTGCGGAGGCCTCCCAGATTCAAGACATTCTCATGCCTCAGCCTCCTGAACAGCTGGGACTACAGGTGGACACCACCATGCCTGCCTAACTTTTGTACTTTTAGTATAGATGGTTTTTCACCATGTTGGCCAAGCTAGTCTTGAACTCCTGGCCTCAAGTGATCTGCCCACCTCGGCCCCCTAAAGTGCTGGAATTACAGGCATGAGCCACCGCGCTGGGCTGAGATTCTTTCTTCTTTCTTGCCTTACATCAGCCTGAACGAGTCCAGTGATTGACAAGTGTTCAATGGGCTGTCACATGGTTTCTTCTGCTCTTCACAGCCACCCTATGCAGCAGGTGTTAGTATTAGTGTCCTCAGATGAGACAACTGAGGCACAAAGAAGTATGGTGACTTTCTAGAGGTCACCTGGCTTTGTCACTGAAGGAACCAGGATTCTTTTTTATTTTTTAAAAATTTTTATTTATTTTATTTGAGGCAAGGTCTCACTCTGTCGCCCAGGCTGGAGTGTAGTGGTGTATCTCAGCTTACTGCAGCCTCGACCTCCTGGGCTCAACCCATCCTCTCACCTCAGCCTTCTGCGCAGCTGAGACTATAGGCGTGCTCCACCACGCCTGGCTAATTTTTGTAGAGACAGGGTTTCACCATGTTGCCCAGGCTGGTCTTGAATGCCTGAGCTCAAGCAATCCTCCTGCCTTGGCCTCCCAAAGTGCTGGGATTACAGGCATGAACCACTGTGCCCCACCTGAAGGAACCAGGATTCTAGCCATGCCTCTCATCTCCAGTCCAGTGTGCTTTCTGCTACAAAAACAACAACTCATCCCCTGCTACAGCAGGCTGAGCAAATCTGCCTCCTCAGGCAAGGAGCCACACTGAGCCCTCTGCCAAATGGAAGGAACAACCCCAAGTTCCAGAGCCTAGGTAGGGCTAGGGAAGGGGTTGTAACGAGGATACTGGCATCTCAGGTGCTCTGCCAGTTTTCCCAAAATAAAACTATTCAAACAATACAAATATTAATATGGGCCTGGCCTTATACATCTGAAAGGACTGTCCTTATTTCCACTGTGTTTTTTGTCTCAAAGATGAGGAAATGACAGAAGAGATGATTTCAAAGGCTGTCCCATGAGCTCCAACTTAGAGACAGAAGTTTGGCTAAGTAAAGACAATACGCATTTATGTTCCCCCAGAGGGAATGAATTCGCTTCTGTTTAGGATTTCTGTGTCTTCGCTTGAGAAAGTCTAAGTACTTGTAGACATAGAGGAGATGATGTGTCCCACTGGATGTGTGTTGAGGAATCCATTTGTGGGCATAATAGTGCTAAACAGTGGTTACATACGGACTGATATGAAGCCCGGGAATAGTTGAAAATTGGGTGAATCAGAAATGGAATACAATCATATTTTTATATGGTTTCTAGCTCTCCTCTCTCCTGCCTTAAATATCTTGACCTCATTCTGGCTGTCTCACTACTAAATAGGCAAATTTACTTTTAGCAAGGCTGCTTCTGTTAAGACTGTGCCTCCATCTCCTGGACAAATTTGGAATAGCAAGAAATTTGTTAGGAAAGGGACTTTTCCAGGCAGCAGCCGCTTAGAGCTGGCCGCTTCTGAGCATGTTCGTCTTCCCAGGCCTGGCTCACATTTTCAGTGCTTAATGCGCATGGCGCTTTATGCGCAATATTACTTAATTCTTCCCTCAGCCATTGGGAGCTAAGGACAAACTGTTATCCCAATTTTACAGGTGAGGAAATCAGAGCTTATTTAAATAAATTGCCGAGGTCACACAACTAGTAAGCGACAAAATCTCAGTCAAACCGAGGCTCTTTTGGTTCAAAGATGTGTATTGAGCTCTACTCTGCTCTGCAGGGACAGAACTAAGTATGTTTGCTATTCAGGGGATACACAGTCATTCCATGAGCAAGTTACACAATGTAAAATAAGGACATTGTGAAAAACAAAACCATACCGTACATAATGCACTTTATAGTAAAGTACTGGGAACAGAGTATTTGGTAAATTGTAACTATAATAATAATTTTAAACAGATCCACAAATCACACTTATTATTATATTCTGTTTCACCCGGGCTTTGCCAAGCTTCCCACATTTGTACTAGATCCTCTTGGCTTTAGTTTCTCCCCAGTTCTCTACCCTTTGAATTCACTCCAAAGCTTCCCTAGAATCTTTGCTCTCCTAGAAATTAGATTAAACAGGCACCTGCTCACATCATACATCCCCTGCCCTTGTCACCAGACATGCACACATCCATCTTCTGGGATTTCCGTTCTCTTGCAGAAAAGTCTGCATGGGAAGCTGAGGCAGAACCAAGTCCACCAGACTCCGAGGAAAGAGAAGTCTGGACCCTGTAACCAGATAAAAGTGAAACCAGGACTTCATTTATTCCACAAATACTTTTTGACTACCTATAGATGACAGGCACTGTTCAAGGCATTGAGGTTCCCACAGTGAACAAAAGAGACAAAAACGTCTGCCTTTGTGAGTTTATATCATAGTGGAAGGAAATAGACAATAAAAATAAGTAAAATATAGACATTGGTATGTAGATGGTGATAAATGATAAGGAGAAATATAAAGACAGATCGGAAGTGACAACAGTGGGGAAGTGGAATTGGTATCTGCATTTAACGTTGTTTTTTAACAGCAAATTCAGGATGGGGCAGAGAGCAGTGAGAAAAATGAGGCCCTTATGCTCAGCGCCCCCAACCCCGCCTCGGTGGGGTCACTATTCATTTTGGAACATTGCCCTTGGGACCAACATATTCTCAGTGGTCCTTGTGAAGGTTTCCACCCTAAGTCCCTCATCCTCACCAGGCAATATTCATTACCCTACAGCAAACTCCGGAGGCAACGCGGAGAAAGTGTGAATCAATTCAAGACTAAGGTTGCCAAAATGTTTGATCAGCTCTGCGTCAGCCTTGACATTACATTACATTACAGATCCCCTGATCGCCACCGTCGCAGAAGCTCTGAATTAAAAGCGTGCATGTAGCTGCACATCCATTGCTGGCACTTCTTCCGTTAGCCTCCGCTGGAACTGGTTAGTGAGGACCCCTCCATTTCACAAGACAGCTTCGGTTTTGCTTCGTTTTGACTTCCGCACCCCGAAGCTGTAGCACCAGTTTGTTTTCTCACGGCACAGGGGCGGCTTCCGGGGCGCGGCGTGCTGGGGGTTGTAGTCCGCGCTCTGCCTCCTACTTCCATTACAGAAGGCGATGGGCCGAGAGCTGAGGAACTACAACTCCTAGAGTACTCCGCGCCGCCGGGACGCCGCGCGGCTGCGGGGCTGGGCGAGCGCAAAGATGTCCGCGCCCGCTGCCGGGAGGCGAGGTGAGTCTTTGATCGTAACCAGGAGCCCGGAGCTGAGGCAGTTCCTGCACGTGTCGCGGGGCCGGAGAAGCTAGGGCCAGGTATTCCAGGGATGCAAGAATCCTGCAAATCTGACGTGTAAACTGCTTCCCCAGCCTCCAGGCGAGCCCAGCTTTTGCCTCAGATAGGCCCCTTCCTTTTCCTTCTCGGGGAATCGACCTCGGGAAGGGGTGTGGGCAAAGAGATGAGGACTCTCCCTCTTCGCCCAGGCCAACTCGGGATATCCCGGAGCCTCTGGGGAGGCGGTCACTCCGACGTCTGAGGACCTGGGCCTTGGACCCGGACTCGTTATGAAGAGCGATTCTTCGACCTCTGCAGCCCCCCTCAGGGGGCTCGGGGGACCCCTGCGCAGCAGCGAGCCGGTGCGCGCGGTCCCGGCCCGGGCGCCGGCCGTGGACCTTCTGGAGGAGGCGGCCGACCTCCTGGTGGTGCACCTGGACTTCCGGGCGGCGCTGGAGACCTGCGAGCGGGCCTGGCAGAGTCTGGCCAACCACGCCGTGGCAGAGGAACCCGCGGGCACGTACGTGCTGGGCTCGGAAATGAACCGATTTCCGGGCGCTCTTGTGGTGGGGCTCAAGGTCTCAGGAGTTCTGTCCTTCCCAGATTGCCCACAAGGAGCTTTACACCTCGCTTTCATCAGTGGTTTGTCTCCGAGAGGGTGGTCGCTCATCGTGTGCCCATTCTACAGAGAAGGGAAGTCGTGTAACAAAAACTTAGTGGGGATCCCACAGCCAATTATTTGCTCCTTGTTCCAAGGTACAATGACATGATGGGAAGGCTGAATGTGTATTAAGTGCTAAGTTCTGTCAGTAAGCAGGTGGTAAAAGTCCTCTCCCAGGTACCTCCGCCCTCCCCGCCCCGCCCAAGGTTGTTTATTCCTGACCTTGGCTGATGATGGGGAATGGGGGTCATGGCAGGAGCAGCGTTCTGGTCCAATTAGAGGACTGGATTAAAGAATTAATTCAGGGCCGGGAGCTGGGGCTTACGCCTGTAATCCCAGCACTTTGGGAGGCCGAGGCAGGAGGATTGCTTGAGCCCAGGAGTTCGAGACCAGCCTGGGTAACATAATGAGCCCTCTTCTCTACCAAAAAGAAGAAAAAGAAAAGAATCCGGAGAAAAAAACCTTGGGCTTGCATTGCTCTTTCTAATGCCACCAGCCTCGTCTGGCAGGTGAGGGAGTCATTTCTTTGCATTGTAAACTTGGGTTAGGCCACGCTAGGGAGGTGGTAGGTAGAATAGCTAAAGTTGACCACAAAGAAGGATGATCTGGAGAGCCCTGGCTGTGTTTTAGGGGACTGGGTGGGAGCTCATTTCAGTGAATGCAGAAGGCTTTGCTTCTGGGTGTCTGGAGGAACCTTACTAGGTGGTGCCTTTTAGCCAGCTATGGAGTCTATACCTCCACTCAGCCAGAAACCTTGCTCCAAGCCCATTTGTTCACAGAGCAAACTCTTAGTTCCAGCTCTCTTTTCAGCCACACACCGGTGCTGTGTGTTATTTCCCCCTCAGGATTACCCTTCCTCTTCATTTAAATCTGATTTCACCTGGATACAAAGATGAACGTTGAGCAACAGCTGACTTGCCTCTTGAAAGAGGGTTACAGGAACTTTTAGTTCCTGGGGGAAAGGGCAGCCCATGAGACCAATTGTGAAGCCCATCTAAATACTAACAGGGATGAGAGAGATGATGGCTGCTGAGTTGGGAGCTGGAGAGGAACAGTCCCAAGGTGGAGGTGGGAATGGAAATGGAGGGGAACCACTTCTAACTGAAATTGGTTTTTCTGCTGACAGCTCATTGGAGGTGAAGTGCTCCCTGTGTGTTGTGGGGATCCAGGCCCTGGCAGAAATGGATCGGTGGCAAGAAGTCCTCTCCTGGGTCCTTCAGTATTACCAGGTCCCTGAAAAGCTACCCCCCAAAGTCCTGGAGCTGTGGTAAGTCTTCTTTGCTGACTCATCAGATCGGTTCAGAAACGAGAGGATTTTCATCTCCTCTCCTAAATACCTACTCTTTTCCCCTTCCCTACTATTGCCCTCCAGATCGGATTCTTTCCCTTCACTTTTTTTTCCCCAGACTTCCATACATAGCAATAAAGAATAAGGGGGAGGAATTTAGGAGTAGAATAGATATAAAGAAGGGAGGAAACAGGGAATAGGAGCGACGTGGGATGACAGAGTGGACAGAGCTGAAAGAGCAGCTTGCTACGTCCTAGGAATTCCTAATTCTTAAAAAAAAATTTTGTTTTGTTTTGTTTTGTTTTGTTTTTTGAGACGGAGTCTCGCCCTGTCGCCCAGGTTGGAGTGCAGTGGCACAGTCTCTGCTCACTGCAAGCTCCACCTCCCGGGTTCACACCATTCTCCTGCCTCAGCCTCCCGAGTAGCTGGGACTACAGGCGCCTGCCACCACGCCCGGCTAATTTTTTTGTGTTTTAAGTAGAGACAGGGTTTTACCGTGTTAGCCAGGATGGTCTCAATCTCCTGACCTCGTGATCCACCTGCCTCGGCATCCCAAAGTGCTGGGATTACAGATGTGAGCCATCGCCCCTGGCCAAAAAATAACAAAGTTTTTAAAATTGACACTTGTACATATTTATGGGGTAAATTAGACATTTCAATATATGCTGTGTATATGTTGTATAATGATCAAATCAGGGTAGTTAGCATATCCATCACCTCATGCATTTATCATTTGTTTGTGACAGGAACATTCAAAAGCCTCTCTTCCGGCTATTTTATATATACAATACCTTACTGTTAACCATAACCACCCTACCGTGCAATAGAACACCACAACTTATTCCTCCTATCCCACCGTAACTTTGTACCCATTGACGAACCTCTTCCCGTCTTCCTTTTCTTCCTTCCTTTCCCAGTCTCTGGTAACCACCGTTCTACCGTCTGCTTCTATGATATCAACTTTTTTTTTTTTTTAAAGATTCACATGAGTGAAATCATGTAGTATTTATCTTTCTGTGCCTGGCTTATTTCACTTAACATGATGTCCCCCAGGTCCACCTGTGTTGTCATGAATGACAAGATTTCATTCTTTTTTATGGCTATATAGTATTCCATTATATATATATATATATATATATATGCGTGTGTGTATATATATACACATATATAAACACATATATACACATAATATACATATATGTACACATATACACACACACACACACACACACACACACACACACATTATCCATTCATCTGTTGTTGGACACTTAGGTTGATTCCATATCTTGGCTGTTGTGAATAGTGCTGCATTAAACAGGGGAGATAATGGATTGCTAGATCATGTGGTAGTTCTATTTTTATTTTTTTCACCTGGCCATTCTTAAGTTTATTTTGATGACACCCGGTGACAGTTCCCTGTACCTAGAAGAAGGTGTTGGGACTCTTGATGTTGGAGTGTGGCTTGTGCTGAAGACACAGGACCTGGTAGGGCAGCAGGAACTTGATCTTGGAATTGTGGAACTGCTTGACTGTCGGCCGGTGGCAGTACCAGAAGCGGGACTTGGCACAACTTGCTTAGGTGCAGAGATTTGCTGGCAGTAGAGGGGCAGCATGTGGCATTTGGGGGTGGGCAGGCAGCAAATACTCTCTCAGTGTGCCCCAGGCCTTCATGGCATTCTCTCAGCACTTGCCACCACTTACAAAAAGGAAGTGCCGTCTTTCCTATTTTGAATTTTTTAAAGGAACCTGCATTCTGTTTTCCATAATGGCTGTACTAATTTACAGTCCCACCAACAGTGTGTAAGTGCTGCCTTTCTCCACATCCTCACCCGCACCAACACTCGTTTTCTTTTGTCTTTTTGATAAGAGCTGTTCTAACTGGAGCGAGGTAGTGTCTCATTGTGGTTTTGATTGGCATTTCCCTGATGATTAGTAGTGTTGAGCATTTTTTCATATACCTGTTGGCCATGGTACGTCGTCTTCTGAGAAATGTCTGTTGAGGTCTTTTTCCCTTTTGAATCAGGTTTTTTTTTTTTTTTTCTGCTGTTAAGTTCCTGATATATTCTGGATATTAACGCTTTGTCAGATGGATAGTTTGCAAATATTTTCTCCCATTCTGTAGGTTGTTTCTTCACTCTTAATTGCTTCCTTTGCTGTGCAGAAGTTTTTAGTTTGATGTCATTTCATTTGTCCATTTTTGCTTTTGTTACCAGTGCTTTTAAGGTCTTACTGAAAAAAACACTTGCTCAGCCCAGTGTTGTGAGGCATTTCTCCTGTGCTTTCTTCTAGTAGTTTCATGGTTTTGGATTTTACATTTAAGTCTTGAATCCATTTTGAGTTAATTTTTGTATGTGGGGAAAGGTAGGGGTCTGGTCTCCTGCATATGGATATCCGATTTTCCCAGCACCATTTATTAAAGAGACTGTCTTTTCCCCTGTGTGTGTTCTTGGCACCTTTGTTGAAAATCAGTTGGCTGTAGGTGCATGAATTTATTTCTGGGCTCTCTGTTCTGTTCTATTTTGTCTGTTTTTATGCCATAACATGCTGTTATGGTTACTGTTATAGCTTTGTGTAGTATGGTTTGAAGTCAGGTAATATGATACCTCCAGCTTTGTTCTTTTTGCTCACAACTGCTTTAGCCATTTGGGGTCTTTTGTGGTTCCATACGAATTTCAGGATTGTTTTTTCTGTTTCTGAAGAATGCCATTGGTGTTTTGATAGGGATTGCATTAAATCTGTAAATTGCTTTGGGTATTTTAATAATATTCTTCCAATTTGTGAATGAACACGGGATATCTTTCCATTTTTTGTGTGTCCCCTTCAACTTCTTTCATCAATGTTTTATAGTTTTCAGTGTAGAGATCTTTTGCCAGCTTGGTTTAATTTATTCCTAGGTATCTTATTTTTTTGGTAGCTATTGTAAATCGAATTGTTTTCTTGATCTCTTTTCCAATGGTTCACTGTCACGTATAGAAACGCTGTTTTTTGTACATTGATTTTTGTATCCCACAACTTTACTGAATCCGTTTATTAGTTCTGTCTGCAAACAGGGATAACTTGACTTCCTCCTTTCCAATTTGGATACCTTTTATTTCTTTCTGTTGCCCGATTGCTCTGGCTATGACCTCCAGTACTATGTTGAATAAAAACGGTCAAAGTAGGCATCTTTGTCTTGCTCCTGATCTTAGAGGAAAGGCTTTCAGCTTTTCCCATTGATTATGCTGTTAGTGATGGGTGTGTCGTGGGGAATTCCCATGAGCATCATCATTTCATCGGAAAGGGCTCGAGGACACAGTGAGGAGGGGCTGGATAGGAGAAGCATAGTGGTCATGGGAAATGAACCAATCATTGAGCACTGACTCTTCTTTTGTTGGGATTGGGTTTTTTGGGGACTGCAGCATTCTTTTATACAGCAAAATGCAAGAGCCTGGAGCTGTGCTGGATGTGGTGGGTGCCTGGCTCCAAGACCCAGCCAATCAAAACCTTCCAGAATATGGAGCCTTGGCAGAATTTCACGTGCAGCGGGTGCTGCTGCCTCTGGGCTGCTTATCGGAGGCTGAGGAGCTAGTGGTGGGCTCTGCAGCCTTTGGTGAGGAGCGGCGACTGGATGTACTTCAGGCCATTCACACAGCGAGGCAGCAGCAGAAACAGGAACACTCAGGCTCTGAGGAGGCCCAGAAGCCAAACCTGGAAGGTAGGACATTATCCCTCTGCGACCTCTGTAAAGTGGACTTGCGGGCTTGCACTGTACCTCGGGGTCTGTCGTGAAACTCCTGCGAGCTTAGAAGCAGTTCTTTGTATGAATAACTCTTGAGTCACAGAATAGGAGGCCTGTTGATTTGCTTCACAAAGTGAAGGCCAGACCCTCTGAAGTTGGCAGTGGAAGGAGAATCTCCACATGGGAAGGTGTTGCTGGGTCTTGGGACCTTGACTTGTCTTTTGAAAGTCATTTTCCCATTGGAGTCCTCTGATGAGGTCTCTTGCTTCCACCATACTGGTCTGGGTGGGATGTCCTTCCTCCTTTAAATGCTGGCCCCAATACAGACACAGCTGAGATCTGCTGGGATAGCCAAAGGAATATCAGAAACTAATTTGCAGACCCTTTCCCTGGTCGCTGAATCTTTTCCGCCCTTTTCCTTGAGTGATGATCTAGTCTAGTTGTGAATACTTCAAGGACAGAAAGTCACCATCTCTCTCTCTTTTTTTTTTTTTTTTTTTTTGTTTGAGACGGAGTCTCGCTCTGTCGCCCAAGCGGGAATGCAGTGATGCGATCTCCGCTCACTGCAAGCTGCACCTCTCAGGTTCACGCCATTCTCCTGCCTCAGCCTCCTGAGTAGCTGGGACTACAGGTGCCCGCCACCACACCTGGCTAATTTTTGTATTTTTAGTAGAGACGGGGTTTCACCGTGTTAGCCAGGATGGTCTCAATCTCCTGACCTCGTGATCTGGCTGCCTTGGCCTCCCAAAGTGCTGGGATTACTGGCATGAGCCACTGCGCCTGGCCTGAAAGGTTCTGAAAGGTTTTAAAAAACTTTTACAAAGATGCATTCAATATAGTAAATAATATATAGTCAAAATAAGTAATAAACACGAGGAAAACAATTTATATTCATGAGATTTGCAAGAGTATGTGCAGTTAAGGAATGAAGGCTTTAGCCAATACCTAATACCCTTTTACTAAACTCTTTTTTTTTTTTTTTTGAGACGGAGTTTTGCTCTTGTTGCCCAAGCTGGAGTGCAATGGCACGATCTTGGCTCACTGCAGCCTCCACCTCCCAGATTCAAGTGATTCTCGTGCCTCAGGCTCCCAAGTAGCTGGGACTACAGGCGCACACCACCACGCCTGGCTAATTTTTGTATTTTTAGTAGAGACGGGGTTTCACCATGTTAGCCAGGATGGTCTCGATCTCCTGACCTTGTGATCCACCTGCCTCAGCCTCCCAAAGTGCTGGGATTACAGGCATGAGCCACTGCGCCTGGCCTGCTCAGGTCTTAGAAGCAAGCACAGAGGTCGGGGTCAGGGAAGCTGATTCCCATGACATCCCTGAAGCTGTGCTCTGTCTCCCTGGCCAGGCTCTGTCTCCCACAAGTTCCTGTCACTACCGATGTTGGTTCGCCAGCTTTGGGACTCTGCGGTGAGCCACTTCTTTTCTCTGCCCTTCAAAAAGAGTCTCCTGGCTGCCTTGATCCTCTGTCTCCTGGTGGTGAGATTTGATCCAGGTAAGAGGTGGAGACTCTCCCCTGTCCTTCCTGGGAAGGGGTTGTTGCCAGGGCTGGGCCTGTGGGAGTGGGTGTTTGTCAGAGTCCTACTGGGGAGGGGAGTCTCTCCTATGACATTTCCCCTGAGTCTGTTCCACAAGGAGGAATTGCTAGACTGGGCATGAGCCAGCCCCACCCATAAGGAGAGGCCAGTCCTGGAGTCTATGAGAGCAGCCAGGAGAAAGTCCACTTGGCCCTGCTGACTCCTGAACATGGACTGAGTCATAGTCCTCCACTTTTTCTAGGGCTGAACTCTGACTAGAACCTCAGAATTTAAAAAAACTTCCTCTTGGCCAGGCACGGTGGCTCACGCCTGTAATCCCAGCACTTTGGGAGGCCAAGGCAGGCAGATCACAAGGTCAGGAAATCGAGACCAGCCTGGCCAACATGGTAAAGCCCCATCTCTACTAAAGATACAAAAAAAATTAGCCAGGTGTAGTGGCACATGCCTGTAGTCCCAGCTACTTGGGAGGTTGAGGCAGGAGAATAGCTTGAACCCGGGAGGCGGAGGTTGCAGTGAGCCAAGATCGCACTGCTGCACTCCAGCCTGGGCAATAGAGCGAGACTCTGTCTCAAAACAAAAAACAAAAAACAAAAAAACTTCCGCTCATCAGAATATCTACAAAAGTGTTAATTCAAGTATTAATGTCTCATGAAGTGTTAATTCAAAGCAAGTTGTAAATGAAAAACTCATACATTTTAGAAAATGTGGAAAATAGGCCGGACATGGTGGCTCACACCTGTAATCCCAGCACTATGGGAGGCCAAGGAGGGTGGATCACCTGAGGTCAGGAGTTCGAGAACAGCCTGGCCAATATGGTGAAACCCCGTCTCTACTAAAAATACAAAAATTAGCCAGGTGTGGTGGTGCGTGCCTGTAATCCCAGCAACTGGGGAGGGTGAGGCAGGGAGCATTGCTTGAACCCAGGAGGCGGAGGTTGCAGTGAGCCAAGATTGCACTGTTGCCCTCTGGCCTGGGCTACAAGAGCGAAACTCTGTCTCAAAAAAGAAAAAAAAATGTGGAAAATAGAGAAAAGTATAAAGAAGGGCATAGAAATCTGCTACTCTGCTGTGCTTTCAGTCTTTTTCTATGGATATAGAGATTGTAGGCAGTTACATGTCACACATATGCTTTCAAGCATGGCCTTAAATCGCTAACTATTCCAGTTCACAGGAATGCCCCTAAGTAATTTAACAACCCCTATTATTGAACATTTGGGTGATTATTCTGTTTTCTGCCTCGCTGTGAAGAAGGAATGAGCTCCCTAAGTGATATTTGGGAACAACCCCAGTTATTTCCTGAGGATTGACCCCTCAGGTGCATGAAGCCAAACTTGGCACTCGCTCTTTTAGATTTTTTTGTGTTACTCAGTGTGAGTTATGTTCTAATCTCTACTCTTCTCATGAATTTAGACTTAGAATATGATTAAATAAGTTTCAAAATTTAAGAGGAAATCAGAAACCCTTATACTGGTCCCTTCAAATGGTTTGTCTATTTTGAGAAGTGCCATTTGTTAACTTAGTCTTTAGATTCTCCCTGTTTCCCCATTTCTCTTTCTCTTATTCAGTGAGCTTTTTTAAAATATTTATTTATTTATTTTTATTTTTATTTTATTTTATTTATTTAGTTTTTGATACTGGGTCTTTCTCTGTTGCCCAGGCTGGAGTGCACCGGCGTGATCTTGGCTCACTGCAACCTCTGCCTCCTAGGCTCAAGCGATCTTCTCTCCTCAGCCTCCCAAGTAACTGGGACTACAGGCATGTGCCTCCATGCCCGGCTAATTTTTTATTTTTATTTTTGAGACAGAGTCTTGCTCTGTTGCCCAGGTTGCAGTGGCGTGATCTCGGCTTACTGCAACCTCCGCCTCCTGGGTTCAAGCGATTCTCCTGCCTCAGTATCCCAAGTAGCTGGGATTACAGGCACACACCACCATGCCAGGCTACATTTTGTATTTTTAGTAGAGACGGGGTTTCGCCATGTTTGCCAGGCTGGTCTCCAACTTCTGGCCTTAAGTGATCCTCTCACCTCAGCCTCCCACAGTGCTGGGATTATAGGCACAAGCCATCATGCCTGGCCAGCGAGGTTTCCGTCACATAGCTCAGAGTTGTCCTTCTAACCCGTCTGCTGAATGCTGAGCAGGGATCCCCTGTGGACGACTCTGTTTGCTTTACAAAGAAGTCACGAGTTAGCGCTCGGAATGCTCAGTATCATCAGCGTTCATCCCTGGCCACCTCCTGACTGATACAGATTTAGAAACTCTTTATGATTCTTTATGGTTCCCGTAAGCCCTTTAGTCTCGTAAACCCTGGTCTCCTAGTGGGGATGGCATGAGGACATTTGAGCCTGCTCTTTCCAAGGCTGCTTCAGAAGGGCCTGGCCCAGTGGCCCTGACCCTCAGCAGCAGGCCCGACTCATTGGAGTGATGATGGTGGGGGAGGAGAACCTGCACCTGCAGGCTGAGGATCGCATGAGCCCCAGAGATTGAGGCTGCAGTGAGCTGAACACAGACTGCACTGTACTCTAGCCTAGGTGACAGAGCGAGACCCTGTCTCTAAAAAAAACAAAACAAAACCAACTATGTGTAATTGGTAGTGGAGTCTCCCAGGGTGGGAGATGGCAGAGTGACAGGTGAGAGGGGTGGGACGTTCACTGTAGTCTCCCTCTGCCCTGCAGCTTCCCCTTCCTCCCTGCACTTCCTCTACAAGCTGGCCCAGCTCTTCCGCTGGATCCGGAAGGCTGCATTTTCTCGCCTCTACCAGCTCCGCATCCGTGACTGAGGGTCCCTGCGCACCACAGCCTCTCTGCTCCTCACGTCCGTGGCCACAGAAGCAGAGCGACAGAGCGACACATCCACAGGCGCCCCTGGGGAAATGGGACCAGCCTAATCTCGCGGAGTGCACTGTGTCTTGCTGCCTGGGTGCCCTCTCCTTTGCACCCTACTTCGGCTGGTCGCGGTAGATGATGTGGAAACAAAGCAGGACCAGCAGGCACAGCACCTCCAGAACAGTGCCCCGGATGACCAGAGGCCCCTTGAAAAGGAGGGGTTTGGGGACAGGGACTGTGTCCATGAAACATTCCATCTTCTTGGTGAAGGCAAGGGGTTGGTTCTTCAGGTCAGGATGTTAATGGAGCTGGAAGTTCAGAAAAAGCCTGGTGAAGTGACCCTTGGCCTTTCACTTCTTGAGAAACATACTTCTTTGCTGGGCATGGTGACTCACGCCTGTAATCCCAGCACTTTGGAAGGGTGAGGTGGGTGGATCACTTGTGGCCAGGAGTTCAAAACCTGCCTGGCCAACATGGTGAAACCCCATCTCTACTAAAAATACAAAAATTAGCTAGATGTGGTGCACGCCTATAGTCCTAGCTACTTGGGAGGCTGAGGCAGGAGAATCACTTGAGCCAGGGAGGCAAAAGTTGCAGTGAGCTGAGATTGTGCTACCGCACTCTCTCAAAACAAACAAAAAAACATGCCCCACAGGACAGTACCTTAATTAGCTAGAGTAGATCTGAGAGGGCCTCTTCTTGCCTGCACTGTGCTCCCCAGAGCTGATCTAATTCTGTATCAATAGGCTGTTCCCATGGTCTTGCCATGCGCTTGAAGCTGCAGGAGCCTTCTCACTGTTCAGGCTGGGGTGTGGTTTTCAGAACCACCGGGTTGACTACTGAAAACCAAGTGAGCCTTACAGCTCTTATCGCTGGGTAAAGTGATCTTGCCTGGTGCCTCTTGGTCTTCAGCTCAATTTTCCAGGTTGTCCTGGCCAAGTCTTGCTCTGTTACGCTCAGTGCCTCTGCCCACTCTTTCCCCGCCAGCCCTTCCCTCCCGCCCTGCAAACTTGTCCCTTGGCTGTTTCACCAGGTTCTGCCTGTATCCTTGCCTCCTTGGTACACACCATTTCAGGTTCTTCCCTTTCTGTGTCCCATTGTCCTAGTTATGTTCTGTTGTTTGTGTAATGCCCAAATTTTTCTGCTCGTGTGGCCTTGAAAAGTAGGCCAGCCTCAGAGGCTGCTGAGCTGAAAATGGAACTGAGTAATCAGGTGAGCTGGAAGGGATGTGGGGGGCGGGGCAGACGGGAGACATGGGTTTTGAAGGCAGTGAACAATAAAACCTTAGGGAGGTGGCACCGAGGCCTTAGCATTTGAGGAGCTGAAATGTTTCAGTGTTGTTTTCTCACCAGCCACAAGCATCTTATGAGTTTCTGTGCAAGGAAGCGTAGAGCACTGCTGTGCTGTCAGGATGAAGAAGGGCTTTCTGCAGGGGCTGGCCTTTCTCTACCCAGAGGCCAAGCAGGCTGCCCTGCACTGTGTCCTTGGTGTTGATGCCCAAAATAGAGAAGGTGCTTGCTAGCTTTTCCTTGGTACATTTTCGGGGGTTGCAAGGCAACAAGTTTTCTTTTGTTTTGTTTGTTTGTTTGTTTGTTTGTTTTTGAGATGGAGTCTCTGTCACCCAGGCTGGAGTGCAGTGGCGTGATCTCAGCTCACTGCAAGCTCCGCCTCCCGGGTTCATGCCATTCTCCTGCCTCAGCCTCCCGAGTAGCTGGGACTACAGGTGCCCACCACCTCGCCTGGCTAATATTTTTGTATTTTTAGTAGAGTCTGGGTTTCACTGTGTTAGCCGGGATGGTCTCGATCTCCTGAACTTGTGATCCACCCACCTAGGCCTCCCAAAGTGCTGGGATTACAGGTGTGAGCCATCGCGCCCGGCCAACTTTTCTTTAGAAAAATGAGTAAAGTAGGTAAACTTCACAGGCCCCTTAGAATTAAATCCTTAGGGCATGGTTCAAGTCTGTAGGAAGCAAATCTATACTTTTTTATATGGGCTTTTAAGTAAAGCTTAGAACCCTGGGGGGAGAAAAGCAGTCAGGTGAGGTTTGAGATTCCTTCTATAGAATGATTTCTTAAAATGAAAATCTGGGCCCACTTAACTACCCTAGATAAAACGCTTCAATGGCTTCCCATGGCTCACTGGATAACATCTAAATTCTTCATGGAATTGAAGGCCCCTATGTGCTGGTTTTGGCTAAGATCTCCCCTTTGATGTGGGTCCCCTGTTGATTATATGTGCGGCCTTCCAGCTGCCCACCATCACAGCTACAGCTCGCTCCCCTTGGCCTCTGTGCCTTGGCTCGCACTGTTCCTACTGAAGGCCTAGCACCTGCTCTTGGCCTGGTGAGCCCCTCCACCTTCCAGGCTTACTCAAAGAATTCTTTCTGCCCCTCCCTGTGTCCCGGGACCTGTTTCATATCGCTTCTGTGGTCGTGACCCCATGGTCTTGTAATTGTGAACTTCTTTGCTGCCCCTTCGAAGCTGGGGAGTGCTTGTTGCAGATGCATCCAAGAGGGGTAATTGCGTATCAACAGTGGATTTGCTGGTTGTTTCTACAGGGTTCTGAAGCATGCAACATAGAACAGATACCTTTAAATTTAGGGGCGCTAAGGAAAGCAGGAACCAGTAATCCTCTTCTGTGGTGGGATGGGAGGGTGGGGGAGAGGGGTGGAATGGAGAGGAAACAGGCTATTGTTGGCCAGCCCTGGGTGGAGGTGGGTGCAAGCAGGACAGATAGTGCCTGGGGGTGGGGGCGGAGGGTTCGCCTCTAGGAAGGGGCTAGAAGGGATGAGGAAATAGTTCATAGCTTCGTGCAGGTGATCCCTATTCTGCGTGTATGTGTTTGCACATGAGTGTTTGTAGACCATAGACCATTAAAAAATACGGAATTCAAAAGTTACAAAAAGGGTATTCTTGGAAAAGAAAGTTGTTTTTTTTTAGTCTTGCTGTGTTGCCCAGGCTGGACCTGAACTCCTGGGCTTGAGCAAGTCTTCCCCTCAGCCTCTGGAGTAGCTGGGCCTACAGTGTGTGCTGCCACACCCAGCTAATACAGTCTTTCTACTCCCGCTCTCTATTCCCCAGTTTCTTGCCCAGAGGCAACCCTTGCCAGTCTGTTTATCCCTCCAGATACAGTCTCTGATAGTAAACTTTTCTTTCTCTTACACAAATGATAGTAGTCACATACACTACACACACTGTGCCACGTTTAAAAAGAAAAAAAACAATTCTCGGCTGGGCGCGGTGGCGCATGCCTGTAATCCCAGCACTTTGGGAGGCCAAGGTGGGTGAATCACCTGAAGTCAGGAGTTCGAGATCAGCATGGCCAACATGGTGAAACCCCATCTCTACTAAAAATACAAAAAAAAAATGAGCCGGGCATGGTGGTGGGTACCTGTAATCCCAGCTACTCAGGAGGCTGAGGCAGGAGAATCACTTGAACCCGGGAGGCAAGGGTTGCAGTGAGCTGAGATCGCGCCATTGCACTCCCACCTGGGCAACAAAGAGTGAAACTTGGTCTCAGAAACGAAACAAAACACAAAAACCTTTCTCAGTCCCAGCATATGTGGAGCAGCCTCATTCTTCATAGCTGTGTGTCATTCCGTTGCGTGATGGGGTCACAGAGCACAGACCTGGTGCCCTTTTCCTTTTTAATATGTGGAAACCCCTCCATGCTTTCCAAAGCCTACAAGTACAGCAGCCCCAAGTTTAGGGTGAGCAGCAGTGGTCAGAGCTCTTTACTATTACTTTTGGGCAAACGCAAGCCAGGCTGGCAACCACCACTGCCGCCGAGGGGAGATACAAGCAGGCCAGTTCACACTCTGGACGTTCAGTTTCTTTCTACATCTAGAAGGTGGCCTCTGCTATCCACTTAAAGCAGCCCAAGGAACTGTCAGAAAGCGAAAGTGATGACATGAACCGCGAGTAGGGCACCTCCCTGTGCCGTCGTCTGCTTTCCTTCCTCCCTCCCAGCCTCCCTGTGCCGTCCTCTGCTTTCCTCCCTCCCAGCACGGAAAAGCCGTGGGGCCGATGGACTTTGGCCTCACATCCACAGATGGGGCCTGTGGGAATTCTACTGATTTACTCTCTGGCCTAGTCAAGCAACCCACCCACGGCCTGGCCAAGGTCGGCCTCACCGCCCTGGCCTAGCACCTTTGGAAACTGAATACATGGAGTGTTAACCAGAAAAATGTCTGGCCCTTTTGCCTCGCTGCCTCTGGAAACCTCAGTGTTTCGGGCTGGTAGGAAGCTACAGGACAGACAGTGGGCACGGTGCCTAGCAGCCTGTCGCGCCCCCGCCCGCCTCTGCATTCCTCCAGCGGTGGTGTACGGATCCAGACATTGTTTGCCACCTCTAGGCCTCTTGATAAAACAGCAAGTATTTTTCTTGTCTTAAAGCAATGCATGTATATTTTAGAAAATATTAATTGCATAGAAGGAAATACAGGACTCGTGATCCCACCACTCAGAAATAATTACTATTAATACGGTTGATTTTCTTTCAGCTTTTTTCCCCCTAATTAATTAACTAATTCTTTTTTTTCCTGCAACTCCTGCTTCACAGACTTTTTTTTTTTTTTTAACTTGGCATGGTGGCTCACACCTATAATCCCAGCACTTTGGGAGGCCAGAGTGGGAGGATTGCTTGAGCCTAGGAGTTCAAAGCTAGCCTGGGCAACCTAGTGGGACCCCATTTCTTTTTTTTGGGGGGGGGGTGGGTTATAAAAGCCCTTTTATAAAGCCAATTTTAAACAAGAAAAAAACAAAAAGTTTACAAAAGAAAAAAAGATACAGAAAAAGAATAACTTGCTTCATATGTCCCAAAAAGAGAAAAAAATAAACGGGACAATGCCAACATGCTCAACAATAAAGGGTTCTTTTTCTTACTTTTTTAATACAAAATACAAGCAAAGGATACACATACTTAAAACAGAGCTCAGGAGCAGACACGCAGTCCTGGGAACCCTTCAATAAGAGCAAAGCAGGAGTTTGTTTTTTCTTTGTGCAGATACATACAGAGACTGGGATATGTAAAAATTAAGTATCACAAAAGACCATCACACGATTCTACCAATGCATGTTGCATCTATAATTCACGAACATGGTCAACAAGATCATGTTCACTTCAACCCCATTTCATTTAAATTAAAGAAAAAAACCTGGCCGGGCGCGGTGGCTCACGCCTGTAATCCCAGCACCTTGGGAAGCCGAGGCAGGTGGATCACGAGGTCAGGAGATCGAGACCATCCTGGCTAACACGGTGAAATCCCATCTCTACTAAAAAAATACAAAAAATTAGCCGGGCGTGGTGGCGGGTGCCTGTAGCCCCAGCTACTCGGGAGGCTGAGGCAGAAGAATGGCGTGAACCCAGGAGGCGGAGCTTGCAGTGAGCCTAGATGGCGCCACTGCACTCCAGCCTGGGGGACAGAGCAAGACTCCGTCTTAAAAAAAAAAAAAACAAAAATAAACCTTTTAAATAAAGTGGTTACATTCTAACTTTAACTTCCTTAGTACCATGCTGCAGGTTTCAGCACTGTTAAGGTATTGCAAGAATGCCCAACCCTCTGGTGTCTGATTGTGTATCTAGCAACATTGCAGTATGAAGAAAAGAGATGCCCCGGGTACGACCCCATTTCTATTAAAAATAAATGTAAACACCCAACCCTCTTGGCAGCCCATGCACTTGAGAACCTGTAGAAAATGGCAGTGTGCAACCAGCATGGCTGCGAGCTCAGCGTCTTCACTAGAGAGAGTGGAGGTGGTTAGGAAAGGGCAGGCGGGAAGGGGCCATGTTGGCCGGACAACTGCAGGTGAAGATGGGATTGTGAAGTACAGTCCAAGGCCCACTCACCAAGGGCTGGATCCAAATATGTGGGGTTGGGATTCTGTGACCTACTTCCAATTTTAATATTGACCTGAGCTCATATTTAGCTCTACATGTTTCCCAGCTCGTATTTTCCAACAGCCCCTTTAAAACTTTTAGCATCCTCTTGTCACTTTTGTACTATCCAAGGTGGGACGGACAGGTGTCAGATAATAGCAGAGACTTGGTGAAGAAATGAAAGCACTTTTGTAGAAGAGTGTCATTTCAGAAAAAAGCCTTTTTTTTTTGAGATGGAGTCTCGCTCTGTCACCCAGGCTGGAATGCAGTGGCGTGATCTCAGCTCACTGCAAGCTCCGCCTCCTGGGTTCACACCATTCTCCTGCCTCAGCCTCCCGAGTGGCTGGGACTATAGGCGCCCGCCACCACGCCTGGCTAATTTTTTGGTATTTTTAGTAGAGACTGGGTTTCACCGTGTTAGCCAGGATGGTCTCGATCTCCTGACCTCGTGATCCGCCTCCCACAGTGCTGGGATTACAGGCGTGAGCCACGGCACCTGGAGAGAAAAAAGCTTCTTTAATGACGACCTCAACATAATTTACATGGAGAAGTTTCTTAGGTGGAAAACCGATTTGTATGGTCCTCAGAATGTAACCTACAGGTTCTTGCCCTCAGAAAAATGCATGCATACTTTTATGTTACAGGCTTATTTTCCAAATGCGGTAGAGGGCCATCCCTTCTTTGGCTTCTTGCCTTGTCTCTGACCCCACTGACTGCCCCTTTTCTGCCTCCATAGCTAGTTTCTTATTTTCCTTTGGCTTTTTTTTTCTTTTCTTTTCTTTTCTTCTTTTTTTTTTTGAGATGGAATCTTGCTCTTGTCACCTAGGCTGGAGTGCAGTGGTGCGATCTCGGCTCACTGCACCCTCCTCTTGGGTTCAAGCCAGCGAGGTAGATATTATCATTTTAGAGACAGCAAAACAGACTCAGAGGGGCTAATGTGCCCAGTGCCCCACCGCTTTTAAATGGTAGAGCTGGGATTTGAATCTAGGCATACAGGTACCAGGATTTCTGTTCTTATCTCCCCCATAGCACCTGGAATGAGGCCATCCATGTAAGAGGCCAAGTAATAAAGATTTGTTGAATGAACTTGGATTTTGGCCTTAGGAATTAGGGAAGGAAGAAATAGAAGCAGCAAGAGTTGGTGAGCAATAAGACCCGCACCAGGGCTGAAGGGTGGAGGTGGGGCAGGGGAGGGCTCTGTGCTTTGGCATCTGTTTAGTAGTATCGTCGCCCAGCTCCCTCCAGAGAAAGAGCAGGAGGTGTTCTTCTCAGATGTACCAGCAATGACAAAGCCTGGCGGGTGTCCTCCTGGGTAGGTATAAATACAAGCTGGTAGTTTCATTGGATGACTCACACAGATAAGCCATGCTCTTGGTTACCAGTGGACTTAGCTGGGTCTCAAAGAATGGGCTGCTTTCTCTGGAAAGCTGGGGAGCTGGTAAAATTTTTTGGTCGCCCCACCAGAGACATCCTACCCATTCCCAGTCCCTCTGTGGGCTCTGACATCTCTGTCCGGCGGGCACCCCCTGCTCTGGAACATTCTGGGAATGCTTCCCACTCCCCTTTTAGTACTTGTTTGTGTTCTGTCCTGTTCCTGGATTTCATGGTCTCCATGGTGACAAGTGCTTGTTTTCAGAGGTGCTAAAGACAATGGCTAAAAGATGTGCTCTATTAATCCTCCCAGGAAACATATTTTGCAAAAGCCTTTTTTTTTTTTTTTTTGAGAAACAAGGCCTAACCCCAATGGAGTAATTTGCTGCGTAAATGAGAGACATCATGGGATTGTGGTTAAGAGTGTGGGTCCCAGACCCATAATGCCCAAGTTTGTATCTTTTTTTTTTGAGACAGAGTCTCACTCTGTCGTCCAAGCTGGAGGGCAGTGGCATGATCTCGACACACTGCAACATCCACTTCCTAGGTTCAAGCGATTCTCTTGCCTCAGCCTTCCGAGTAGCTGGAACTACAGGCACACACTACCACGCCTGGCTAATTTTTGAATTTTTAGTAGAGACGGGGTTTTACCATGTTGGCCAGGCTGGTCTTGAACTCTTGACCTCAAGTGATCTGCATGCCTCACCTCCCAAAGTGTTGGGAATACAGGCATGAGCCACCACACCCGGCCTGAGTTTGTATCTTGACTCACCTGCTTTGACCTTCAAATAATCTTTCCTGTGCCTCAGTTACTTCATAGGTTTGTTGTGAGGATTAACTGGTGCTAATCCATGTAAAACACTGAAAAGGTGCATAGCATGTAGTGAGCAGGTGCTAGTTATTATTACTGTTGCTCTTAATTAAGTGAGGTAAGGAGGGGAGAGTTGGAGTGGTAGAACCCAGCATCTTGTGAACATCAGACCACAGAAAAGGCAGCACTTCTGATTCCTGTTCTTAGCCTAGGAACTAGGCTTTGCAAATGGCTCTGAATTTTTTTTTTTTTTTTGAGATGGAGTCTCGCTCTGTCGCCCAGGCTGGAGTGCAGTGGCACGATCTCAGCTCACTGCAAGCTCTGCCTCCCAGGTTCATGCCATTCTTCTGCCTCAGCCTCCCGAATAGCTGGGACTACAGGCGCCCGCCACCACACCCGGCTAATTTTTTGTATTTTTAGTAGAGATGGGGTTTCACCGTGTTAGCCAGGATGGTCTCGATCTCCTGACCTTGTGATCTGCCCACCTCGGCCTCCCAAAGTGCTGGGATTACAGGCGTGAGCCACCACGCCCGGCCGGCTCTGATTTCTTAAAGTGCTAAGCCTTTTTATATATTCATTTCAGACCATGTTTAATTTTCTAAATATGCAATACATTCATAGGGTTTTTGAAAAGGCTTGAAAAAGTCTAGTGTGAAAGCAGTCTGTATTAGTCCATTTTCACACTGCTTTAGAGAAGTATCAGAGACTGGGTAATTGTTGAAGAAAAGAGGTTTAACTGACTCACAGTTCTGCATGGCTGTGAGGCCTCAGGAAACAAGCAGTCATAGTGGAAGGCAAAGGGGAAGCAAGGCACATCTTACATGGCAGCAGCAGAGAGAATGAGGGGGGATGCCACACTTTAAAACCATCAGAACTCGTGAGAACTGACTCACTATCACAAGAACAACAGGGGAGAAACTGTTCCTGTGATCCAGTCACCTCCCACCAGGTCCCTCCTCCGACGTGGGGATTACAGTTTGAGATGAGATTTGAGTGGGGACACAGAGCCAAACCATATCACCTCCCATCTCTTCATTTAGCAAGTTCACCTACCCCAATGGCAGCTATGGCCGTTAGTTTTTTTTTTTTTTCTTTTTTTTGAGACAGAGCCTCACTCTGTCGCCCAGGCTGGAGTGCAGGGGTGTGATCTCGGCTCACTGCAAGCTCCGCCTTCCGGGTTCACGCCATTCTCCTGCCTCAGCCTCCCAAGTGGCTGGGACTACAGGCTCCTGCCACCGCGCCCGGCTAATTTTTTGTATTTTTAGTAGAGACGGGGTCTCACCGTGTTAGCCAGGATGGTCTTGATCTCCTGACCTCGTGATCCACTTGCCTCGGTCTCCCAAAGTGCTGGGATTACAGGCATGAGCCACCGTGCCTGGCCACAGCCATTAGTTTTAAATTTACTCTTCCAGAGGTAAATTTAATACACCAATACAAAACCAGTATGGATATAGATCCTAGTTTCTTCTCCTTTTTATAAAAAAAACCTGTAGTATATTATGTACTCTGTTTTATTCCTTCCTTTTTTTTTCTTATAAAAAATACAGAGATGGGGTCTTACTACACTGACCAGGCTGGTGTTGAACTTGCCTCAAGTGATCCTCCCATCTTGACCTCCCAAAGTGCTGGGATTATAGGCATAAGCCACCACACCCAGATGATTTTTTTATTTTTCAAAGAAGTGGCATGATTTTGATGACAATAAAGGACAATATGTAATTAATGGTAATTATAATACAGCCTTCTAGAGGCCAGGTGCAGTGGCCCATGCCCGTAATCCCACCACTTTGGGTGGCCAAGGCAGGTGGATCATGAGGCCAGGAGTTTGAGACCAGCCTGGCCAACATGATGAAACCCCATCTCTTCAAAAAATCTAAAAATTAGCTGGGTGTGGTGGCGTGCACCTGTAATCTCAGCTACTTGGGAGGCTGAGGCACAAGAATCACTTGAACCCAGGAGGCGGAGGTTGCAGTGGGCCGAGATCGAGCCACTGCACTCCAGCCTGGGCAACAGAGCGAGACTCTGTCTCACACATACACACACAAAAAAAGTATAAATATATAGCTTTCTAGATATAGGATTGGACTGGTTTTGGTTCTGGCTCTGTTACTAATTTGCCCTATAACTTTGCATAAGTCATTTAATCTCGGGTCCAATTTTTCTCACCTCCAAGATGGGGACAAAAATTATCTTCCTTGGCTGGGTGCGGTGGCTCATGCCTGCAATCCCAGCACTTCGGGAGGCCAAGACCAGCCTGGCCAACATGATGAAACCCCACCTCTACTAAAAATACAAAAATTAGCTGGGTGTGATGGTGCACACCTTTAATCCCAGCTACTCAGGAGGAGGCTGAGGCAGGAGAATCTCTGGAACCTGGGAGGCAGAGGTTGCAGTGAGCTGAGATCCTGCCACTGCACTCCAGTCTGGGCGACAGAGTGAGATTCTGTCTCAAAAAAAAGAAAAAAGAAAAAAAAATTACCTCCCTCATTTTCTTTATAATATTATTGTGTAAAATGAGTAAAAGTCTATAAGAAAAACTTTGAAAAGTATTAAGTAATACACATGTGTATGTGTGCGTGTGTAGACATATATATATAATATATATACACATATGCAATGGAGTAATGAAAATACTATATAATAAATATAAAATGGATTAAAACTATATAAAATAGATGCATGAAATGGCTACATAGATATGGATGTTTGCATATAGGCACATTTAGCTGGATTAAGTTAGATTTAAATGGTCCAATAGAGAACTGTGCATACAATTACATAGGCAACCACAAATCAACCCTTTCTCTGGGCTATCTAAAATAATCAGGTACTAGACCAAAAAATGACATGCTGTCTGCCTTACCTTTTAGTGATGATTTGTAGGAAGAGGAAGGTAGGGGCTGGTGAGTGGAAAAGTAGTAGAGTTTGTGAGGGAATGTTCTGTATGTCTGAAGACAAAGTCTGGAGATTGGTGGGCCAGAAGGTGTGAATCTACTCTGAAGGACAGGCAAGAGTCCAGCCCAGGGAAAAAGGTGCAGATGGGTAGGATTTGGGTGGGTACTTGAATTAAAAAAATGAATTTGTGAGGCAATATTGCTGGAGTCAAAACCAAAAAATCAAATTGACCAGGGCAAAAAATAGCCTGGGGCCTAGCATGGCTCTGCTGCCACGTAGGATGACTGGACCTCTTTCCAGGTTCGTGTTAACAGTCCATACTACTTATGGTATACGTGAAATGCTTTCTATTCATTCAAGCAACCTTACTAAAAACACCCCATGAAAATAAAAGTCTATATCTTCCCTTCAATATACATTCATATGTGCTTATTTTAAGCATATATCTACCAATTTGAGTTTGGCATTCTTTTTCATTTAATATTATTACCTATTCAGCTTCCAACATTATCACTTCCTTACTACACACATTTGTTTCCTAGGACTGCTGTTAACAAATTGCCACAAATGTATGGCTTAAAACAACAGAAATTTATTATCTCACAGCTCTGAAGGCCAGAAGTCAGCCAAAGCCTCTGCCTCTGAAGGCTGTAGGCAAGATTCCTTCCTTGTTTCTTCCAGCTTCTGCTGGCTCTAAGTGTTCCCTGGCCTGCGACAGCATCACTCCAATCCCTGCCTCAGTCTTCGCTTGACCTTCTTCGTACCTCTGTATCTTCTCTGCCAAGGATGCATGTCACTGAATTTAAGAGCCACCCTAATCCAGGATGATCTCATCTTGAGGTCCTCAATTACATCAAGATCCTTATTCCAAATAATGTCACATTCTGAGATTTTAGGCAAACATATCTTTGGGGGGCCAAAATTCAATCCCCTAATCCATGTTAGTAACCATGCAGTGTTCCTTCTTATTTCTATGTTGACCTTTTCAGCTCTTTCTATTTATTGTTATTATTTTTGAGATAGAGTTTCAATCTTGTTGCCCAGGCTGGAGTGCAATGGTGCAATCTTGGCTCACGGCAACCTCCGCCTCCCAGGTTCAAGCAATTCTCCTGCCTCAGCCTCCTGAGTAGCTGGTATGACAGGCATGCACCACCATGCCCAGCTAATTTTATATTTTTAGTAGAGGCAGGGTTTCGCTGTGTTGGCCAGACTGGTCTCAAACTCCTGATCTTGGGTGATCTGCCCTCCTCAGCCTCCCAAAGTGCTGGGATTAGAGGCGTGAGCCACCATGCCTGGCCAGCTCTTTCTAACTAAAAAATAATAATAATAATAATAAAAAATAAAAGATGATACTTGCAAAATACCTCAAGTGTACCTCATTTACCTCAAATATACCTCATGGTCCGAAAGTATTTAGTCAGCAATGTACCATTATAGAAAAACACATAGCTTGTGGCTCCAACTTTAAAACCAGAATAACCAAGTGAAAAGTCAGTACAGATTCTCACTTCTACTTAAAAAATCAAAGGTACACATTGGGAATTGAACAGCTATGTTTTTTCTTCTTTCTAGAGATGTGACATACATATTTTCTGGTCAGTAATATTCTACCAATGGTATTAATTCAAAGCAGGTAGATGACCAGCGATGCTGTTTACTACATCCTACGCATGCTGAGATAGATGAGTGGGACACCATCTCGGTAGGAAAGAGTTTGACAGGAAGAAGAAATTGCAGAGTCCCTGCCTGTCCCAGAGAACCTAACAAACTGATCTATATGGAAAGGATTTTCAGCAAACATGCACAAACACAGTTAATATGCTGGAAGAAGAGGATAGCTTTTAGTCTATTTCCAGCACACGGCCTACACTCACTGGTACCCCATACAACAGGAATGAATGCCGACTTAGCATTTTTGCCTTCACAGCGCTGGCAACTAAAAGGCTCACAGATACTCTGATCTTTAAGCAGATAATCATGGAATTCTCAACATCATATCCACTAGGTTAGGCTGAGGGTTCATCTATAAAAGTATTTTTCCAAAAATAATGCTTAAAAGAGACTTCTAGAAACAGTGGGACTGTATCAGGATCAACAGAAGACTTCTTGACCCAAAGATTCAAATATAGAACTAGGAATTGATTTTCACATGTAGTTTTTAGGTAAAGGACATCTCTTTCAGTTGATTCCTACAGCCAAGACTAGCTTTGATCCTGGGAGATTCAGAAACCTCAAGATGGGTAGCTGGCTTGAGTAACATCCTAGATAATAGTCCCAGTCAAAAACCCCATTGAGGTTGAAGGACTGGAAACTGACCTGTGTGAAAAAGAGCTATCAGTGCAGGAAAAGACTCATGCTGATTTTGACCTTCCTCTGACCCTTTTCCCTCAACTGCTTGGTGGGGAGTAGCGAGGAGAAGGAGCATGTGGCACCCTCATTGGAGGCTGGAGCACTGCTGCAGAAAGTGATCTCTTACTCATACTTCAAGACACAGCCTAAGTATGACCACCTGTATGGACCCTTCCCTAATGCCCAGGATCAAGAAAAGAATGTGGCCACCTTCCAAGGCTCAGAGTAGCTGTGCAATGACTTGTGTCAAAACCCGATCCAGAGCAGCAGTGATGAAATCACCCTCTCCTTTAAGACCTGGCATTACAATGGCCTCATCCTGCATGTGGGCAAGTCAGCTCTCTGATGGATGGTGCAATTTCCTTGGTCATTAACCTGAGGTCTGGGGCCTTTAAAGCTATTGAGGAGCCAGTGAATGGAGAATTCGACAACGCCTGGCATGATTGAGGGTGACACATCACGGCAGATGATGGCTGAGGAGACATTGCCCAGAAGTCTCATCTTAGGTGGTTGAGTAGGAAGTTTGTGAAGCAGGTGGTGGGTGAGATGGAGTGGGTAGAGATTCAGGTATGGAGATGTCAGTGTCTAACTTTCTTCTAGTCTTTGCAATTTCACAAGGAAAATCACTAAAATGTGCGTCTCTTCATTTAAAAGAAAAAAAAGTTCATGCCAAAGCTGCTGGGACAAAGAGGACTCATGATAGTGGGTTATTCCACACTGTTGACACACTGAATGTATGCTGGCAGAAGGGCCTCAGGTGGAATGCTGGGCATGGGTTTGCCCCACAGCAGTCTGATTCAAAAGCACCTGAGAGATGGGAGGAGTACTAGGGTTACTAAACACAAGAAGGTGTTTCAGGAGAAACACATCAAGCCATTTGTTTTTGACCCTTAATACTTAACATGAATGATGAGTTGCAGAACAGTCAGTCTTTCCAAGATGTATTGTTCTATCCTCAATAGCTGCAGCCTCTCCAAGCCAGTGGGCTGGTGACATCCAGGATGATCCTCTTCCTTGCCTGGAGGTGGGATCTAGTGCCACAGCTTGTTCGGGGAAGCTGGCATAGAAGATGATTTGCTCAACAAAGTCACCGCTAAACTATCGCTTAGGTCTAGTCCCCGGCCTATGGCACCAAGTACTCCTGGTAGTACTTGTACACAGAATTTCTCTATAATAACCAGAACATGTCATCCATGGTAATGTCTGCTACATATCCAACCACAGCATCAAATTCTGTCTGATGAAGGGCACCAGCCCCTTCATCTTTATCATGCCTAATATTGTGAAGGCCATGTGCTAAATCCAGCAATCCGCTCCAGTAGGTGTCCTTCAGGATACTTTTCTGTCAAGTAAATACATTTATTAAAAATAGGCATGTAGCCGGGCGCAGTGGCTCACACCTGTAATCGCAGTACTTTAGGAGGCTGAGGCGGGCGAATCACGAGGTCAGGAGTTCGAGACCAGCCTGGCCAACACGGTGAAACCCCATCTCTACTAAAAATACAAAAAATTAGCTGGGCATGGTGGCGTGTGCCTGTAATCCCAGATACTCAGGAGGCTGAGGCAGGAGAATTGCTTGAACCCAGGAGGCAGAGGTGGCAGTGAGCCGAGATCGTGCGATCGTGCTATTGCACTCCAGCCTGGGCGACAGTGTGCGACTGCATCTCAAAAAAAAAAAAAAAAAAAAGGCATGTAAAAGTTAATCTCATGGAGGTAGAGAGTAGAATGACAATTACTAGAGGCTGGGCAGGGTGTGTATGTGGGATGAAGAGGTGGCTTGATGGACACAAACATAGATAGAAGGAGTGAGTTCTAATGCTTGATAGCAGAATAGGGTGACCATTGTTAACACTGTATTGGGTGTTTCAAAATAGACGGAATAAAGGATTTGAAATGTTCTCAACACATAGAAATGAGAAATACTCAAGGTCATGGGTATCCTGGATACCCTGAGTTGATCACTACACATTCTATGCATGTAATGAAATGTCACATCTACTTCAATAATATGTACAAATATTATTTATCAAAAAGCAGGCATGTAGGTGAGTTGATTTTCTTCCATGTCTTCAAACTCCTGGTAATACTTGTCCACAAAATTTCTCTATAATAACCGGAACATGTCATCCATGATAATGTGTACTATATATCCAACCACAACATCAAATTCTGTATCAGAGGCAGAAGAGAAGGACAGCATGAAGCTCGATTCCTCCAACTGTCCTTTGGCTGGTGGCCCTCCACCCTGCCCACAGCCCGGCCAGCTCAGCCCCGTCTCTGTCCCATACAGAGCCACAGCCACAGTGAGAGCCTGGCAGCCTGCCCGGAGGAGGCTTCTTGGCCCAGCCCGGTCAACACCCACATGCACCACCACCAACTTTTTGCTATTGTGAATAACATAGCTGTAAACAGATTGCATATGAAAGTGCTGTGAAATCACCAAGGGCTGAGTAGAACAGTTAAGACGATAGTAGTTGTTTTCTTTCTGGGTTTTTCTCTTGGGCTGGTTTTTGAAAGTGGATCTACAACATTGATAGAGATCAGTTTTTCTGCTCTTCCAACATACTGCCAGGACGTGGTCCAGAAAGATTGGGTACTTTGCAATACTCATAGCAATATGTGAAGTGATTGGAAAAAATGAGACTATTCAACCAGTTGTTTCAGTGTTGGTTAGGAGGAAAATGCCCAGAAAGGGGAACAGTTAATCATCTACACAATACCAAGAGCAGGAGGGGATGACCGACGGCTTCATCTTTCCTAGTCTATCCCACACAGACCTTTAGGTGCTCTTTTTTTTCTTTTTTTCGCTCTGTCGCCCATGCTGGAGTGCAATGGCGCGATCTCGGCTCACCACAACTTCCACCTCCCAGGTTCAAGCGATTCTCCTGCCTTAGCCTCCTGAGTAGCTGGGATTACAGGCATGCACCACCACGCCTGGCTAATTTTTGTATTTTTAGTAGAGACGGGGTTTCTCCATGTTGGTCTGGCTGGTCTCGAACTCCCAACCTCAGGTGGTCCACCTGCCTCAGCCTTCCAAAGCGTTGGGATTACAGGCATGAGCCATCGCACCCGCCTCTTTAGGTGTTCTTTTAGGAGCTGGTAGCGGAGGAAGGTGGTTACCCATCTGTGACAGAGCCTTGGATGTCACGAGGCCACAGGCTGGCCTTTCCTCCTGTTTACAGGAGGTGAGTTTTCCTGAGTTCCCAGCCTCAGTGTTCTCTGCACAGTCTGTCACTGACTCCCGCTCCCAGTGCTCACTGCCTCTTGTTCTCACTGCCTCCTGTTCTCACTGCCTCCTGTTTCTGCTGAGTTCTTTGCATCTGCCTGATGTTGGTTTAAAGCTCCACCCCTCCCAGGGGAATTTGTCCCATGATTCACCTCCTCTTTGGTGATCTCTTGATTGCGGCTGCTGCAGCCATGTAAACCTTAAAGGCGAGCCAATTTGTTTGTGATCCAGTGGCCAAAATGGTTCACCCTCAACTTCCCTTAATCCCCTGCAGCATCTGAGACACATGGGTGAATGTATGTAAGGTACTTGGGGCTAACCAAAGTTAAATACATATGACAAGTACCTGAATCTAGATAATCTAATGGTAAGATATCGTTTGCTCTCTGGACTTCATGGGCTCACCCCAGCAATGGGGTGCCTGGAAATGAAGAGATCTTTCTTGTGTCTCATCCTCTGGGCTCCCAGCCTCCCTCAACATCATGACCTCCATCTGTAACACCCACCATCCTGGAGCAGCATCCTGGATATTGGAACTCTGAAGTCTAACCTAAGAGAACAAGGACAAGCCTCTCTATGAAAGGTTTGCCCTTCCAGATCCAGTTGAGCTCTGCTCTGGAGCCAGACTCTCTGAAGCATAGCCCAGCTCTAGCTCTTACCAGTTATGTGATCAGGAATGAGAGTTAATGTTTCTATGTTTCTGATTCTTCATTTGTAAAATGAGGATAATAAAAATTTAACTTCAGAGGTTTGTTGTGAGGAATAAAAGCCATTAGCACAGTGTTTGGCATATAGAAAGTGCTCAGTGTTGGGGAATATTGAACAGATAATGAATATCGCCAAGAGTCTTTTCCTGGGTGATTGATAGAAATTATCTTACCTCCTGCTCTAATGAATGTGGCTCAACTATTTAGGCCATAACTGTAATTATATTTGGTTATATGGCCCCACAGCATTAAAATTCATACAAGAAGAACTTCACTCACACATAGTAACTGGAATGCAGTAGATGTGGATAATTTCTTTAAAAAGCCTAAATCATATGGGTGGTTGTTTTTTCATAAACAGCCTAGGCTTAACTTCAGTTTCTCATCTACAAAAAGGGGACTGTACTAGGGTTCTCCAGAGAAACAGAACCAATAGGTGGTATCTTGAGAGTTATAAGGAATTGGCTCATGCAATTATAGGGGCTGGGAAACCCAGGACCTGCAGTGGTTATGCTGGAGACCCAGAAGAGCTGAAGATGTGGTTCCAGTCTGTCTGAAGCCTGAGACCCAGGAGAGCTGAAGACATAGTTCCAGTCTGAGTCTGAAGCCTGGGACCCATGAGAGCTGAAGACGTGGTCCCAGTCTGAGTCTGAAGCCTGAGACCCAGGAGAGCTGAAGACGTGGTTCCAGTCTGAGTCTGAAGCCTGAGATCCAGGAGAGCTAAGGACATGGTTCTAGTCTGAGTCTGAAGCCTGAGACCCAGGAGAGCTGATGGTGTGGTTCCAGTCTGAGTCTGAAGCCTGAGACCCAGGAGAGCTGAATACGTAGTTCCAGTCTGAGTCTGAAGCCTGAGTTCCAGGAGAGCTGAGGACATGGTTCCAGTCTGAATCTGAAGCCTGAGACCCAGGAGAGCTGATGGTGTGGTTCCAGTCTGAGTCTGAAGCCTGAGACCCACGAGAGCTGAAGACGTGGTTCCAGTCTGAGTCTGAAGCCTGAGACCCACGAGAGCTGAAGACGTGGTTCCAGTCTGAGTCTGAAGCCTGAGACCCACGAGAGCTGAAGACGTGGTTCCAGTCTGAGTCTGAAGCCTGAGACCCACGAGAGCTGAAGACGTGGTTCCAGTCTGAGTCTGAAGCCTGAGACCCAGGAGAGCTGAAGATGTGGTTTCAGTCTGTCTGAAGCCTGAGACCCAGCAGAGCTGAAGACGTAGTTCCAGTCTGAGTCTGAAGCCTGAGACCCAGGAGAGCTGAAGATGTGGTTTCAGTCTGTCTGAAGCCTGAGACCCAGGAGAGCTGATGGTGTGGTTCCAGTCTGAGTCTGAAGTCTGAGACCCAGGAGAGCTGAAGATGTGGTTCCAGTCTGAGTCTGAAGCCTGAGACCCAGCAGAGCTGAAGACATGGTTCCAGTCTGAGTCTGAAGCCTGAGACCCAGGAGAGCTGAAGATGTGGTTTCAGTCTGTCTGAAGCCTGAGACCCGGGAGAGCTGAAGACGTAGTTCCAGTCTGAGTCTGAAGCCTGAGACCCAGGAGAGCTGAAGATGTGGTTTCAGTCTGTCTGAAGGCTGAGACCCAGGAGAGCTGATGGTGTGGTTCCAGTCTGAGTCTGAAGCCTGAGACCCAGGAGAGCTGAAGATGTGGTTTCAGTCTGTCTGAAGCTTGAGACCCAGGGGAGCTGAAGATGTAGTTCCAGTCTGAGTCTGAAGCCTGAGACCCAGGAGAGGTGAAGACGTGGTTTCAGTCTGAGTCAAGGCCTGAGAACCAGGAGAGCTGCTGGTGAAAGTTCTAGTGCAAGGGCAGAAGACCAATGTCCTACCTAGCTCAACAGTCAGGCAGGCAGAAGTTCCCTGTTTCTCAGCCTTTTTGTTCTATTCTGTTCTTCAGTTGGTTGGATGAGGCCCCTGCACATTAAGGAGGGCCATCTGCTTTTCATGGTCTACTGATTCATGTGTTTATCTCCCAGAAACACCCTCACAAACACACCCAGAATAATGTTCGACCAATGAATGTTGGGTACTTTGTGGCCAAGTCAAGTTGACACATAAAATTAAACATCACAGGGACTTAAAAACATGTCCTTTCCCCTTTCCAAACTTATACCCAGGGAGGAAAGCATACAGCAGGGTGAGATGGGGGATCCAGGATGCCACAAATCAAATAATTTTAAGAAGGAGGACAAAAACCAAAAAGAAGTAGATTTTTTTTTGAGACAGTTTCACTCTTGTTGTCCAGGCTGGAGTGCAATGGTGCTATCTCGGCTCACTGCAACCTCCACCTCCTGGGTTCAAGCGATTCTCCTGCCTCAGCCTCTCAAGTAGCTGGAATTACAGGTATGCGCCAGCATGCCCAGCTAATTTTGTATTTTTAGTCGAGATAGGGTTTCACCATGTTAGTCAGGCTGGTCTCAAACTCCCAACCTCAGCTGATCCGCCCGCCTCAGCCTCCCAAAGTGTTGGGATTATAGGCGTGAGCCACTGCACCCAGCCAATTGTTTTTTCTCTAAAGACTCCAAGACCACTGTTTTAGTCTGCTTACAACTGCCATCACTAAATACCACAGACTGGGTGGCTTAAACAGCAGAAATAAATTTTCTCACAATTCTGGAGGCTGGAAGTCCAATGTCAAGATGTTGGCAGAGTTGGTTTCTCCTGATGCCTCTCTCCTTGGCATGCAGATGGCCGCCTTCTCGGTGTGTCGTCACGTGGCCTTTTCTCCGTGTCTGCACCCTCCTCGTGTCTCTTCCTCTTCAACACCAGTCTTTCTGGATTAGGGTCATATCCTTGGGACCTCATTTAATCATAATCACCTCCTTAAAGACCCTATTTCTGACTACAGTCACACTGGGGATTAGGCTTTAACACATGAATTTTGGGGAAACACAGTTCAGTCCATAACAGCCAACCTATTTTATCTCCCTGGAACCCAGAGATGCTATAGTTAGCATTTATGGTGTAGTCATAGCTCCCTCCAGCCCAAATTTTCATAAAGGGGAAAGATGAGGTGGTTCAAGAGCCTTGTCATAATGAAAGGCAATTCAGGGCCACCGTCATTACTAGTATCATCATCATCACCATCATCATCATCTTTATCCCAACACCTTAAGAACCCGTTCATGATTTATGTGGTGGTTCACAAAGAGAACTCGAAAAGTGAATTTATTCAGCTATGTTTACTGAGCTCACCTGATGCACTCAACTAGCTATTTTTGGTAGGGAGGGCACTAAGATGAATAACACAACCCCTTCCTTTAAGGTGTTGCTGTTTTGTAGAGTGTTTAGACACACACACACACACACACACACACACACACACACACCCCTATACTCCAAACTAGAAAGTGATAAATACGGCTGGGCACGGTGACTCACGCCTGTAATTCCAGCACTTTGGGAGGCCGAGGCAGGTGGATCACGAGGTCAGGAGTTCGAGACCAGCCTGAACAACATGGTGAAACCCTGTCTCTACTAAAGATACATATTAGCCGGGCATGGTGGCGCCTGCCTGTAATCCCAGCTACTCAGGAGGCTGAGGCAGGAGAATCGCTTGAACCCAGGAGGCGAGGTTGCAGTGAGCTCAGATCGCACCACTGCACTCCAGCCTGGGCAACAGAGCGAGACTTTGTCTCAAAAAAAAAAAAAAAAGAAAAAGAAAGTGATAAATACTATGGGGCTGGGCGCGATGGCTCACGCCTGTAATCCCAGCACTTTGGGAGGCCAAGATGGGTGGATCACAAGGTCAGGAGATTGAGACCATCCTGGGTAACACGGTGAAACCCCGTCTCTACTAAAAATACAAAAAATTAGCCGAGCGTGGTGGCACGCGCCTGTAGTCCCAGCTACTCGGGAGGCTGAGGCAGGAGAATCACTTGAACCCGGGAGGCGGAGGTTGCAGTGAGCCTAGATCACACCACCGCACTCCAGCCTGGGCGACAGAGCAAGACTCCATCAAAAAAAATAAAAAATAAAAGAAATGCTATGGAAGAAGTAATAGAATATGCTATGGGAGAGTTTGGAAGAGAAATACACATAGAGTTATACTAATAACCAAAATCCTTTATTGACCATTTATCATGTGCTTGGCACAATTAGCTTAATCCTGAGTCTTAATTGTCAGGATCTTACATTATAAGATAGACAAAAATTCAACGCATGCTTTACTAAGTACCGTTTGTATCAGTGGGTAAAGCACTGTGTTTGGTACTCTCTCAAATGCAAAGATGATTACGACACATGTACTATCGTTTATGAATGGGTGGCCAACAGAACAGATTGCCGCATAGGTAAGCAGAAATCTGCTCTCATTCTCTATTGGCCACAAGCAGGCATGTCTTAGGAGCAGAAGGGTAGGAAGATCTCTAACTGTGCTTGGAAACTTGGGGAGTTACCACGTCTGGCTAAAGTGGTATTGTCTTAAGGAAAACCTATGAATTTGCCTGCGTTGGCTTGGTGCTGAGGAAAGTGGAAGAGAGAGGCTGGGGTACACCTTTCAACATGAATGGAACTGACCACTGGAGGGAAAGAACAAGAAACAGCAGTGAGAACAAGGAACAAAGACCATCCAGCCCCTCACCCACCTGGGGGGAAGTGAGGGGAGATGGGCAGGGTGACAACGTGGCCAACATCTAAAGTGTGAAGAGGGGCTTTTACCAAGTGCCCACCCCTTCCCGAGCAGGGGGCAACCAACAGCATCTGGCGGGTCTTACTACTGGGCAGAGGCAGGGGAACCCTGGTATGAGTTCTGGATTACATAGGAGATGTGACTTGGACACGTTTGGGGCTTAAAAGTAGGAAGGGATCAAGGGGGGAGATTTGAAAATCCCGGTGGAGGTGCGAGGTATCCGGGGAGAGGGTAAAAACGGGAACAGTCTTCAGCACCTGCCTGTACCAGGAGCTCTGTGTATGCCATCTCATTTCCGTCTCCAGCAACCAGGCGGGCCTTGGCGGCAGGAGGCACAGGCTTTGGGAGCAGAGGCCCTGCAGCTTGCCAAGCACACACGGCCCTAGGGCGCCCAGCTGAGACGGCACCTTGGCACCCGGGCCCGCTGCAGCCCGCTCCGGTCAGCTGCACCCCAGTCAGGAGCCTTTCCAGCGGGTCGGAGGAGAACGGAAGTTTGGGGAGACCCGCGCGATTCGCCTGGCTGCATTTTACATTTCTTTCTCCGGCAGCTGGGGTCACGAAGGCTGCTCTCGCCGGCGGTGTTGGAACGTGGACACGTGCGCTTTGGTAATAGGGCAGCCTCCCCCGCGGGCGCAGTCCCCGCTGCGAGCGCCCCCGGCTGCTGAGGCGGGACCGAGGACCCGGAGATTTGAGCCGCGGGTGGGCGGGGAGGGGCCTTTGTGACCTGCCCGCCCCTCCCCGGCACTGTGATGCCGGGGGGCAGCTGCGGGCCCGGCGCGCCTGTCCCCGGCGTCCCCCCCTCCCGGTGTGTCACAACGGCGGAGGCGGCTGTATCTGGAGCAGTCGGGGCGGGCAGGCCCAGCTGAGAGGTGCGCGGGCGAGGACAGCGGCAGCGATGGTGAGGCTTCCCGGGGCCAGGCGGGCTGCGGGCGCGCGGCAGGCGTAGGACCGAGAGCCGAGTCTACGCGGAGGCGCACGGACCCGTCTTCCTGGAGCCGCAGGGCTCAAGGCCTTCTGGGGGTGGCAGTTCAGGGTCGAGGAGTCCGCACCCTCGGGCGGGAACACCCGGTGCCCTTTATCGTATGGGGGAAATAGAGACCAGGGGCCAGTTGTTCCTTAAAGGGACCTAAGGGAGCTTTGCGTGCAGACGAGGGGGAGGGAGGCCCTGGGGAGCCCGACGGAGAAGGGGGCGAGATTCTGGGGTCCCCAGATGGGCAGCCTGTGGACAGAGTGGAGAGAAGGGCGAGTCCGGGGATTCTGGATGGGTGGTCTGGGCCGGGGCGACTGGGGGGCCAGATGCAGTCACGTCTCCGAACCCAGCCTAATGTGACAGGGCCCGGAATGTGACAGAGGACCTAGGGCGCCACGGTCCCCCCACGCGTGGAGGTCTTTCTCGCAAGCCTGGCCAGCGGCTTGGGTTTGCTGCACGCACAGCCCCAGCGCGGCGGGGTCCTCCGGGCGCACTCAGCAGCTCCCAAGTCTTTCCAGCGGTCAGAGTCGAAGGACTTTGGGAGTAAGAAGTCTCTGCTTCCAAAGGCCAGGGGACCTTCGACCTGTTTCCTACCCTGGCTTAGGGGGATCGCGGCTGCTCCCTTCCCTGCCCCCGCCCCTGGATCTTACTGAGGGGCGGCTGCAAACACTCAGTTCCTCTTTCTAGGGTCCCCCTCTCCGCCCCCAGTGCCCCTGGTGGTTAACATTTGCCCCCAGTCCACTTTCCCAAAGCCCAGAATCCCAGGAATCCCTCCTGGACCCCTGATCTTTCAGCAGTAGGGAGATGGGCTGGAAAGATTGGGGGCAGAGTGAGGGCAGAATAAGCCTATGTCATGGCCAAGGTCGGGTTCCCTGGGCAGGCTTGCTCCAGGTGTCAGTGATCCAGAAAGCAGGCGAGAACCCCCTCCGCCCCGCCCTGTTACGTTTGGCCCGTGCCCAGGGCCTCCTGGCTCCCCCGGAGCTCTAGCCTTCCAGCTTCAGTTTTGTCAGCACCCTCCCTCCTCCTAGCGGGCTCCCAGACACCCCTGGGAACTGAAAGAACTTGGGAATATTAGGGAGGGTGGCCACAGGAACCTATTTCTGCCTGAGGACCCTGGTATGAGGCCACACAAAGGGCCCGGAGCTGCCAGTTCAGAATTTTGACTCCTGGCTCTGCAGCTAGCTGTGTGACTTCAGGAAGGTCACTTAACCTCTCTGGATGTGTTTGTTTTACCTGCGAAATGAAGAGGGTTATAATTCAAATTTCCAAGACTCCACTTAGATTTCATTATTTTTAAACTTTTTATGGTAGGGAATTTCAAACATATGCAAACGGAGAGCAAATGGTATAATTAGCGATTATATACATCATCTAAGTTCAATAATTACCAACTTCTGACCTGTCTCACTTCATTTATTCCCTCCCTCCATAATTTTGAAGCAAATGCTAGGCTGCATACTCTAGAATTGATATTTAATATTTATAATATCTAGCAGGTAGCTAGTGTTTTAGGATTTTCCAAGTGCTTCCCTTGCATGCTTTAATTTGGATCTGAATGCCATTGTGGTACAGAGTGGAGCCCAGAGGATGTTTACAGGGGCGTGTCGAGGATCTTAACCCAGCCCTGTGCACAAGCTTGAATGTGTGATCCACAGACGTGTTTCTGACAATGCCTGGTAAATCAACAATTCAAACAGCAAAACTTTATTTTGAACGTGCTTAAGAATTTGGGTGTTTAGCTGAAAACCTATGGTTAAATATTTTGAAATGCGACCACCTTTCATTTATTTTGAAACACTCAATTTTGTCTAGTAGGTTCTATCTAGAACATTTAACTTGTGTGCGTTGCACTGTCTTGATGGCTAATATTTTTTGTTGAACATTTTACACTCACAGAAACTTTTAAAATATCATTTGGCTCATTTGTAAAAGGCTAAAATGACACATCTATAAACCTAGACCCCTAGAATCTCACCCTTACAAAAATGACTGTATTTCTTCTAAGGATTAAGTTTCAGGCTGCTGTCCTGTCCCCTTCACTTCCCTCCCTGGTGGGGGTTTGGGGGAGGTGACCTTGGTGTTAAGGAGAATTCGATTTGGAATTTCTGTAGGCTCTGGGCAAGAAAAGTGTAACTAATCCTTAAGTGTATTTTTAAATGCATTTCTCTAGCTGCTAGGCAGATGAGCATTTTTCCTCTGTGAACTTACCCCCAACCCCTTCTCCCCAGCTACCCACTGCACGGTACCACCAATACCCTTTAGCATTTCTGTCCTGGAGCCTAAAGTGACACAGCTGGTAAGAAGCTGCGTAGGGGCTGGAGTTTACATCTGCTGGGCACCAGAGCCTCTGTCCTGAGCCACCTGCCCGTGCTGGGACCGGCAGGCTACTCCCACAGCAGACCATTCCCATCCATTCCCAGTGTTCTAGCACGCAGCTCTCTGGGAACTCAGACTATGACACCTTTTTTGGGAAGTGGTATGGAGAATCCTGGCCAGGTGCCCTAAGCCAAGCCCATGCCAATGATACCAGGGCACAGAGAAGTTTTCTGTGGTTTATGGGGAGGTGGGAACATCTGCAACACGGCTTCTTTAACTCCATTCCGTTAGGACTGGAGAGCACGAAGGAGCCCGTCTCCCTGCAAAAATGGGCAGTTAGAGGGTTCTGGGGGCCAAATGGACACCCTTCTGCCTGCAGCCTTCTGCAGTCTCCCCATGTAGACAGGCATGGCCAAGCTCTGTGGAGTTGATAGGTGTATTCTGACCTCAGAGCACTGTGTGGGCTCCCAGGGGCTGCAGGTCACTGCTGCCTCCTCCTCCCCTCCCATCACAAAAGGCAGGTTTCCCGAGAAGCACTGGGCGCATGCCTCCGAGTGAGGGGCCTTGGCTCACAGGGCAGCGGCTGGGGCAGAGCTGCTGGATTGGTGAGTCCATTGGGAGCCCCCAGCCTTGGGTCAGGCCCATACAGAGCTTGGGGTGGGGGTTAATGCCACTGTTGAATGTGCTTTCTCCTAGTGACCTTCAAAGGGAGATGAAAGTTAAAAATAATTTTGGTGGGGGAAATAGCTGGTGGATAGCGGGCCAGTGATGGGGGTGGGCAGGAGGATGTGGCACTGTCGGGGGGAGGAAGCAGACCAAATGCTCCTTTTCCCTCAAGCCGCAAGGGACGGACAGCACTATCTGTGGCCTTTGTGGTTGGCATTTCCCCTGCAGTGTCTTCCTGTTAGGAGTTCTCTCAGATAATAAGCTGCAGAAGAGAGCAGGAGATGGAGCAGGCACTGTGTGCATCGGATTGAAACTCCTAAGTGTCTCTTGCACCTGCCCCAGTGCCAGCCACAGCCCAGGCCTTCAACGCCCTCCGGCCTCTTATGCTGGAAGTCTCCTTAGCAGATGGCCTCATGGCCAGAGCTGGCCTCCTGTGAGCTCTGTTGCTGCCCTAACTGCAGTGCCTATCATCTGAGCCCCTCTCGCGAGCCACCTTCACTCGCTAAAGTGAATTTAGGCCGACTTTGTTTTTGCTGTGTCTGGCTTGCTATCTATTCTTTGTTATGAGTGATCTCAAATATGCCCTATGATCGAAGAGTTCTGAGCAGAGAGAATTCAGCAGCCCTTCAGGAGCCACATCTGTCCTTACTTTAATTACCCCTCTGTGACACTGTGGGCCTGCTTTTCACTTGCCATCCCTGACCTAGGTCCTAAGATATATGTGATCTATTTTATCCCAGCCTGACAACTAGAGATAATTCGGTGTAATCACATGCTTCCTGACAGCAACTGGGGCATGAGAGCACAGGTGGTCAGGGAGTGTGGGTGGTGCCAGGCTTTCACAGGGCACACACTGTGGTCCACGTCGGCCCCTCTCCCAGATGATATGCCACTTTTACTGTCTTGTGATACTTGGAAATAGTATCACAAGACAGCCTTTTTAAGGCTTCAAAGTCTCCTTTTGCCAAGGATGGTGATTAGCTTATCTTAGTCCTCTGAGAACAAAGCAAAAGGAAATGACTACTATTAAAATAGAATATAAGAATGATGTAAAAAAAAAAGGGCTTCTTGCAGCAAAATTATAAAAGGGCTGCAAAGTTCTAGAATTTCTTTTATTGATGCTCTGCAAAACACAGGCACTGGGCTCATGCCTCCCAGCGAGGGGCCTTGGCTCACAGGGCAGTGGCTCCCCAGGCGGAGTGTTCACAGGTGGCCCAGATGTCTCATTGGCCCTGCCCTTCCTCAGCCTGCGCTCCGGACAGACTGGGCAGTGTGCGGGAACCACCCTGCGTTTTACTGCCTCTTGTTCACACTGCTCCTGCATCCACCTGAACTGCCCCAGATCATCTTGGCCGGCTGCCTTCTTCAGGGTCCCTGCGAATATTCCTCCTTTAGGAAACCAAGCTAGAAGATGTCTCCTTCTCCTTGGAACTCCCTCTGCACTTGACCCGTACACTTCTTAGGCCCTGGCCGCTGTCCTTGTTGGATGGACTGCAGCCCCTCAGGGAAGGTTTTCATTCCAGTCCTCCCTGTGTTAATTGAGCACCTGCTACATTCAAGCACCGGGCTCGGTACTGGGGATTCCTTGAGTGAAACAAAGGTTCCTTGCCCTCACAGAGCTTACGTTCTCTACTAGAAAGGTGCGAAAATGAACAGGCAGCTATAATACGGTGTGATGATTACAATGACAGGAATGAAGGGGATGGGGGAGCACATGGCAGGGCCCTATGCTGGCTTGGGGTTTTGCAGACTTTCCTTAGGAAGTGACAATTAACTGGATACCTGAAGGATGAATGAGAGTTAGCCCAGTAACCTCACAATGCTGTCTCGAATGCAACCACACAAAAAGATTTGCTGTAGAAATGAGTAGGTGCCTTTTGTAGCTATCCCAGCGTGAGGTCTGTGTGAGAAGTGGCATGCTTTTCATGAGGAAGGGACCTCCTTGGTCCCTCCACCTCCCTCCTCTTCACCCCCCAGAAGAAGTTGGGTGGGACAGGCTTCTGCAGCAAACAAGGGACCCCCTCCCCTCACAGGGACCAAGGAGGACAGAACTTGTCTGAGCTCTACAAGCCCAGATTGAAAATAGAACTGAGAGAGACAGGAGCAGTGTGAGTGACAGGCATGTGCTCTGATTGGCTAGACAGAGGAATCTGAAATATGAGTTTGGAGCGGGCACATGACTTAAATATCCTCTGCTGGGTCAGCTTCCCCTTGCCCCCAACCCCAGCTGCACACGTGGGCCCTGAGAAGCGGACTTCTGGTTCTGTCAGAGAAAGATGACCCATTTTCAAAGAGGCCGCCCCATGAGCCATTCGCCATTTCGCTCTGCACAAGAGACATTTCCTGTTTGGAGTTCTGCTATCCGAACTTGGTCTTGCATTGGCGCAGATGTGGGCACACCCCAGGGCCCTGGGAGTTCAGAGCTGCAAGTGAGGCAGGAGGCCATGTGGCCTAAAAGAAAGAAGTCAGGCCCGGGTCAGCAGCCCTGGATTCTGGTCCAGGCTCTTTTGCTGCTGCAGTGCTGTGACATACTGAATTTGTCCCTTTTCCTCTCTGAGCTCAGCAGTTTCATCTGTAAAATAATGGAGAGGGAATCATATTAGGTGATCCATGAGGCTGGCCCAGCTCTGGTATCGTAAATGTTTGTAGCCAATACAACATCCCTGGTTATGATAGAAGGATGCCCTTGACTGGCCCAGCTCTGGTATCCTAAATGTTCGGAGCCGATATAACATCCCTGGTTATGATAGAAGGATGCCTTTTCTTAGACGTGAGGATGCGTCCCACGGGCTTCAGCACTGGGTCTGCTCTGTGGAACTTCCAGGCCGAAGGCTGGGGAGGGTAATGGGGCAGCATGGCTGCAGGAGTCGAGCTCAGTGCCTGAGCCGGGAGCTCGATGCGGGAGCTGTGGGCTGCTCCTCCTCCCTGCTAGGAGCAGGTGCAAGAGGCCTGCAGAGTGCTGGGGCTGGGCACGGACCTCACAGTGCCATGAAGCCTCGTGCAGCTTTGAATTTCACTTGTGATTTCTTCATGGAACTTCAAAGCCCTAGCAATGTAGGCGCGTAGTCAATTATTATTTGAGTAAGTGACTGCGTGCAATGGCCCAGGATAAGGGGGTTCTGGAGAGGGCAGTCCGTGCTCCTATTCTTTCTCTGTCTTCTTTATTATGATTTTTGCTTTTTACTATGAAAAATTTTAAGCCTTCAGAAAAGTAGAGTGATATGCCACCCATATACCTATTATCTAGATTTAAGAAGAAGAATGATTTTTCCATCTGTTATTTGCTGTGTTTGGGAAGGATTTTAAAGTACAGACGTCATGACATTTTACCTCTAAATGCTTCGGATGCAACTCTAAAAAATAAGGATGTTTTCATACTTAACCACATTTTTATGAATACGCTGAACAAAGCAAATCAGTTTATTTGTCCCCCAAATATTTTGATTTGTTCAAACAAGAATTCAGTCAGAGTCCCCATGATGCGTGTGGTGGTGCTTGGTGGTGCCTTAGTTCCTTTGACATGGGACAGCCCCTCCCAGCTCTTCATTTCTCATGAGTTGAAAAGGCTGGGCCAGGCCCGATGGCTCACGCCTGTAATCCCAGCACTTTGGGAGGCTGAGGCAGGTGGATCACGAGGTCAGGAGATCGAGACCATCCTGGCTAACATGGTGAAACCCTGTCTGTACTAAAAGAATACAAAAAATTAGCCGGGTGTGGTGGCGAGCGCCCGTAGTCCCAGCTACCTGGGAGGCTGAGGCAGGAGAATGGTGTGAACCCGGCAGGCGGAGCTTGCAGTGAGCCGAGATCGCACCACTGCACTCCAGTCTGGGCGTCAGAGTGAGACTCCGTCTCAAAAAAAAAAAAAAAAAAAGAAAGTAAATAAAAAAAATTAAGAAAAAAAAAGGCTGGACCAGCTGCCCTGTAGGATGTCTCACCTTCTGGATTGATTTTGTTTTCTCTGATATCACTGAACTTAATTAACCCTCTGATCCCTGTGTTTCCTGTGAAGTGGAAACTGAATCTACAGGGCTCAGTGATGAGGGCTGAGTATTTTTGAGAAGAAGTCCTCACTGGTGGTGTGTGTGTCACATTGCGTCCCATCAGGAGGTCCTCGATGTCGGGTTGGCCCACAGTTAGCGATGCTGAGATTGATCGCGGCCTTAGGCTGGCGACCCTGGTAGTTACGTCCCCCCTTGTGACTATAACAGTGGTTCTTTGGCTCTCGGCGAAGATCCAGTTCCCCATCAGTCTTTCACCTAATGGTGTTGGCGTTCTTGTCCAAATCAATCACGTAATTAGAAGATGGAATAGGGCAATATTTGATAATCTATTATTCGGTCCACATTGCTTAGCAGACATTCTTCAATTAAAGAAAAAAGAGCCTTCTCTAACTAACGGGGCTGTCTGGATAGGGACAAATGAGTTTTTCTCTGGGGGTTTTCTTTGAGGACTTGTGGGTTTTCATCTTGCATCCTGCTTCACTCAAATGCTGCCATCAGTACTTGTGAGGCTCAGGTTGTCTCATCTTAGGCAGCAGGAGCCTCTTCAGGTGCTTGGGCAGCCCCTTGGTTAGCCTCCGTGCCTCCAGGCGCTATGCGACATTCCAGGCTCATCTAGCACACTCCCCACCCTGGACCTGGACGCCTCCGTCTCTCCAAGGAGCCCAGTTCCTGTTAGCAGGGATCTTCCTTCTCTCTTGATTGGTGTAGCTACTTTTCACTTTTGAGAGCACCTATGAATCTGTCAGTCATTTCTGAGTCTATTTTATGCCTCCAATTATTCTTATGAGCTAGTTCAATAGGAAAAATAGCTCTTTCTAAGGGGTGTGTGTGTTTGCACGACGGGGGCGGGGGAGAGAGAAAGAGACAGACATTTTGTAAAAGACTGGCATATGTATTAGTGTGAGATTAATGAGGGCATTAAAAGAGGCTAAAGACGTTGTCACCATGCTAGTGGTTTTCAGGTCCCCCAAATCCTTGACTCTTCCTCCCATGATCTTCGATTTTCCCAAAATATCCCTGCGTCCTCCCTGGAAAGCCCCAGAATGTTCCAGAAGTGAGAGCAGGCTGGGGGCCGGGCAGCACTGTAGGCAGGACTAGAGGGTGGTCGGGATGCGGTGGTGGTGAGGGGGCGACAGACCCAGAAGGCTGAGGGTTAGGACCACAGAGGACACTGTCACTTAGAAGGAAAATACATAGGATCAGGCCCCCCTCGGGCCTCTCCAGTGTCCCCTCAGCTTCCACACCTCCCTGGGAAGTCACAGCCACATGCTGAATGTGACGCCGTGGTCTGGGTGGATAACTCGCTGGTTGTGGGTGGTTTCTGGATGCAGATGCTGCTTTCCTTAGGCCTGAATTGAGCCCTCAGATGGAGGCAGAGAATAGACCCCACAATAAAGGAGAGAGGAGCAGGGACCTGAGAGCTCCCTCTACGTGTGCTACTTCCCGGTGCAGAAAAATGCTACCAGGTAGTACCGTAATGAAAATGATAATGGCAAGACAGCATCAACAACTGTGGCTAACTTACACTTTTCAGATGAGGAGAGGCTCAGTAACTCAGCCCAGGCCACACAGCACAGCAAGTAAATTGAGAAGGCAACATGGGAACCTGGGGCCGTGGGCAGCTCTGTGGGTGAATCCCCTCCCTAGCCACCAGGCTCACGGAGATCCAGCGGGTTGCGACCCCCGTCGGGCTGCCCCACGCTCACCCCTGTGCTCATCCTCCCTCAAGGCAAGGACCAGGTGTCGCTCAGCTGTAGCACAGAGACAGGACTAGAGTGGGGGCACAGTTGTAAAATTGAACTAGGGGGCAATGGTCCTGATGCTCTGACCCCGCAAGATGCTACTCAGGGCAGCTGCCCTGCTCTCCATGCCCAGAATTTCTTCCACGTCTCCAGGAGCCCCACACTTTGACGTGGACTCTACTGGCTTCTGTGCCCAGCCGTGCCCTCTGGAGGCTCTGCCCCTGGCTTGGGTTACCCGGAGCTGGAAAATGCCAGGGCAGGTCATGGGTAAAAATAGAAACCCACAGACCTGGCACATGCTTCCTGCTGGGCTCAGGCGGCTGCCCCAGGCACAGTGTCGCCTTGTGTGGGCCACTGCTTCCCCAGGGCAGGGTGTGGGTGGGAGGATGAGTCTATCACGCCTACGTGTGCACGTGCACACACACACACACACACTGTCTCTCTCCCCACCCCCCTTTTTCTTTAATAATTTCAACTTTTATTTTAGATTCAGGGAGTACATATGCAGATTTCTTACATGGGTATATATTGTGATGCCAAGGTTTGGGGTACGATTAATCCTGTCACCCAGGTAATGAGCATAGTACCCAATAGTTAGTTTTCCAATCTTTGCCCGCTTCTTCCCTCCCCGCTCCAGTAGTGCCCAGTGTCTACTCTTGCCATTTTTCTGTCCATGAGTACCCATGTTTAGCTCCCACTTATAAGAACATGTGGTATTTGGTTTTCTATTCCTGCATTAATTTGCTTAGGATAATGACCTCCAGCTGCATCCATGTTGCTGCAAAGGATATGGGTTCATTCTTTTTTGGGGGCTGCGTAGTATTCCATGGTGTATATGAATGACATTTTCTGTATCCAGTCTACCATTGCTGGGCACCTGGTTGATTCCGTGTCTTTGCTGTTGTGAATAGTGCTGTGATGAACGTGTGAGTGCAGGTGTCTTTTTGGTAGGATGATTTTCTTTTGGATATATACCCAGTAACAGGATTGCTGAGTGAAATGGTAGTTCTGAGTTCTTTGAGAAATCTCCAAACTGCTTTCCACAGTGGCTGAACCAATTTACATTCCCATCAGTGCACTCCCCATCTTAAGCTGTTAGTACGAATACCAATCAGGCAATTGTGGCTTCACATCAGCTTTACTTAACACTTGGCCTGGCATAGGCAAGGGGCAGGCTATGGGGCTGCAAAGATTTTCCAATTGTTCAGCGTGCAGGAAGGGCCTAATTTATACCCTCCCCATCCTCTCTTGGGGTAATAAATAATCCTTTATTTCTACATTGGTAACCATGATACTACTGACAGCCATGGCGCATACTTCCAGAGCATGTTCCTTTCATGAGTGCTCATTTGCTCTGTGATATCCTGAGACTGTGTGTGTGCATGTGTGCACAATGTCAGAAAGTCAGGGTCAGGAGCAGCTGTGAATGCTGCCTTGTGTGGGCGTAGGCTGAAGGAGAGTTTCTGCCATGATCGCCAGTTCTTCCTTGGGCCTTCTTCACCAGTGCAGGAATCTTGTGGTTTGGAATTAGCCCCTTGCTTCATCTTTGCAACCACCCTCCTTTTTTCTTTCCTGGTATAAAAGGTCAACCCTGGGAAGCAACCTTTAGAGCAAAGCACAAAACAGCTGTGTCTTCTTTGGATCTAAGTCCTGGTCCAGCTGCTATAGAGCTGGGGCACCTGCAGCCTCAACGCCAACTGGCAATGGGGGGCTGGGGCCTGGCTGGCCTGCAAGGTGAATGTTATGGGGATGTAGGGCAAAGGCATGCTGGGGGCCCAGACTCTCTGACCTCGTTGCTTCCCTCTCCCCACAGCGGGAATGCATATCAGTCCACGTGGGCCAAGCGGGAGTTCAGATTGGCAATGCCTGCTGGGAGCTCTTCTGCCTGGAACACGGCATCCAGGCAGACGGCACTTTTGATGCTCAAGCTAGCAAGATCAACGATGATGACTCCTTCACCACCTTTTTCAGCGAGACTGGCAATGGGAAGCATGTGCCCCGGGCCGTCATGATAGATCTGGAGCCTACTGTAGTGGGTGAGTGGGGGCGGAGTTCCCCTCCACAGAGAACATCTCGAAACTGCAGAGGCATTGGCCCACAGTAGCTAAGGAAGCAGCGTCTCTAGCTGGAAGGTGGGGATGGTGCAACCGCAGCCTCCCACCCCACGTGACATCTGTCAGCTCCTTGGGGTCCCCACAGTCTCGGGGAATCTCATGACAGTGATCAAGACTCTATGCAGAACAAAATGCCTCCCACTTCAACCCCAAAACCTGCGGCACCAGGTCAAAATGGTCACATCGCTACTAAATACTAAGGATAAGAAAATCCAAATAATTTTAGAAATTATAAGACACCCCTAAGTGAGCAATTTCCCTAAGTATAGGTTTCTGAGTCTGCCCTCGGGGTGGGTATAACCTCACAGCATCTTACACACAAAGGGGCCTATCACAGCAGGCACATTGCTTCACAGCCAGGGGCCGCTGGAGTTCTGGAATGAGGTTCATTCAGGTTTAGGAAACACAGGAATTCTGCCTTGTGTCTAGGCAGATCTCCCCTTCCCACACTATCCCCCAGTAGTGCCACTTCCCCTGTTTCTGACCCCTGGGTCAACTCTCAGTTGAATATCAGGATTTCCCCAGCTCCAAGCCTGGCTCCTCAAGCCAGAGATGGACAGTTCTGCAAAGAGGACTGGGCACGAAGTATATGCCTGGACACCAATGTCTAGGGGCAACAGAGGGCAGATGCTCCACCCCCTGGATGCTTTGCACCAATGCACAAAGTGCAGGTTACCTCCTGGGCCACTGCACAGATGATTTTTCTGCAGGGAGTAGAGGAACCCCGAAGAGAAGAGGTGACATAGTTGGGGCCTGATGTGTCTTGATCTGCTCTGTATCCGCTTTGTGTGGACCCTTGGAAGTGAGCAGAGACCCCTTAAAGGCCTCTCTAGGGCTCTTGCTCCTCTATGACTTGGAACATAGCTTTGCTTCCCATTATTCTAAAATATGTCTAATGCCTGACATATATTATTGCCACCATGAGGTGGAGTTGAGGGGTGGGACAACTCTTGGGGGTCTAGGTTCTGGGCAGATCATCCTGAATCTTTCTCCATGTCCCTAGAATATTTTAATGCAAAAGGACTTAAGTTAAATTGTTGGTACACCTTGGCCCGGCGCGGTGGCTCACACCTGTAACCCCAGCACTTTGGGAGGCCGAGGCGGGTGGATCACGAGGTCAGAAGATCGAGACCATCCTGGCTAACACAGTGAAACCCCGTCTCTACTAAAATTACAAAAAATTAGCCAGGCGTGGTGGTGGGCGCCTGTAGTCCCAGCTACTCGGGAGGCTGAGGCAGGAGAATGGCGTGAACCCGGGAGGCGGAGCTTGCAGTGAGCCGAGATCGCGCCACTGCACTCCAGCCTGGGCGACAGAGCGAGACCCCGTCTCCAAAAAAAAAAAAAAAAAAAAAAAAAAAATTGTTGGTACACCTTGCAGCATGAAAGAAAAAACAAAAGGGAAACCTGGAGGAGTCAAGGTGGAAGGGAGGAGAGGCAATTGGCGTTGGTGTTCGATGAGCTTTTTTTTTGTTTTTTTGTTTGTTTGTTTTTTTGAGACGGAGTCTCGCTCGGTCGCCCAGGCTGGAGTGCAGTGGCGTAATCTCGGCTCACTGCAAGCTCCGCCTCCCGGGTTCAAGCCATTCTCCTGCCTCAGCCTCCCGAGTAGCTGGGACTACAGGTGCCGGCCACCACGCCTGCCTAATTTTTTTGTATTTTCAGTAGAGACATGGTTTCACCATGTTAGCCAAGATGGTCTCGATCTCCTGACCTCGTGATCTGCCTGCCTTGGCCTCCCAAAATCCTGGGATTACAGGCGTGAGTCACTGCACCCGGCCGGCCCAAGTTTTGTTGCTGTTGTGTTTTTTTTGGAGATGGAGCCTCGCTCTGTCTTGTTGCCCAGGCTGGAGTGCAGTGGCAAGATCTCAGCTCACCTCAGCCTCTGCCTCCCAGGTTGAAGAGATTCTCCTGCCTCAGGCCTCCGAGTAGCTGGGACTACAGGCGCACGCTGCCACACCTGGCTAACTTTTTGTATTTTAGTAGAGATGGGGTTTCACCGTGTTGCCCAGGCTGGTCTTGAACTCCTAAGCTCAGGCAATCTGCCCGCCTCGGCCTCCCAAAGTGTTAGGATTACAGGCGTGAGCCACTGGGCCCGGCGATGTTCGATGAGCTTTGTAAAGCTAAGTCTTTTTAGGGTTCTAGCCAGCAGGGCAGCCTGCTTCTCACCGCCCACATGAGCCACAGGCCTTGGCTCTGTTAGTCCCTGAGCTACCCGGGAATTCTCTTAGCCTTTTGCAGATTCATTACGAGGTGGTCTGGCTTCAAACCTCCATGGAGTTTTATAGGTAGGGGAGAACGGAAGGGGTCCTGCGGTAGTGTGGTAGGGAGGGAGGCTTCTCCCCTGGGCAGTAGGACCTAATGGTCTTCCTCTCTTGGAAGATGAGGTTCGGGCAGGAACCTACCGCCAGCTCTTCCATCCAGAGCAGCTGATCACAGGAAAGGAGGATGCAGCCAACAACTATGCCCGGGGCCACTACACGGTGGGCAAGGAGAGCATTGACCTGGTGCTGGACCGCATACGGAAGCTGGTAAGATCAGGAGGGCAGGGGACGGGTGGGTCAGGCTGGAGTGGACAGGCTTGGCCCCATGCCTCTTTGATCAGGCTAGGGAGAGGCATCTGACCCCTGGCTATAGGATGGAGCTCCTAAGGTTTGGGAATTTCTGCTTAAATTCTGTAAGAAGCATGCACAGGGGTGATGCCCCTTCCTCTGTGTTGGCATCATAGACTGTGTTCCAGGCTGAGGCCCTACTCATACTCATTGATACTCTCTGTTAGTATCTGGGGAAGGTTCCGGGTATAAGGCAGGATGAGGTCTCTGCTGGTCGGAAACACAGGTTAACAAAGCATTTAACTTGGAAGAGGAGAGGAAGAGATTGTTGATACATTTGGGCACTTACAAGTGCCATTACAGATGTTAAGCACATTCCTTCATTTAATCCTTAATAATTAGACTTAGGAGGTGTCCTTCCTGTGCTTTACAGATGAAGAAATTGAGGGCCAGGGTGGTTCAATATCTTAGCCTGGGTCACACAGCTAAAAAGTGGCAGAGCTGGGGTTTGAACTCAGTTGGACTACAAAGCTCTTGAGTTGTAGGTTGTGTCACTTTATTTATTTAAGCTTCCATTTGCTTATCTGTATAATGGAAAAGCTTGGACCTGATCACATGTTCTTTCCCTGGGAGGTAAGGGTGCCAAACTTTTGCATATATTCACTTTTTCTGTTTAGAGGAGGGCTTGTCAGGGTCATTGGCCTCAAAGCTGTCTGTGGTCCCCAAAAGTTCAAATCACACCCAGTGGGAAAATCCTGTGATTCTATGAATTCTCTGGTGAGAGCTGACATCCGTGCTTACAACGTATCAGGCCCTTGCTCAGCATGTTATGCTATTTTATTTAATTGTCACAATAACCTTATGAGGATTTTCTATTGTCCCCATTTTCACTAAGAAGGAACAGAAGTGGCCAGGCATGGTGGCGCATGCCTGTAATCCCAGCACTTTGGGAGGCTGAGGGGGGTGGATCACGGGGTCAAGAGATTGAGATCATCCTGGCCAACATGTTAAAACCCCATCTTTACTAAAAATACAAAAAATTAGCTGGGCATGGTAGCATGCGCCTGTAGTCCCAGCTACTCAGGAGGCTGTGGCAGGAGAATTGCTTGAACCCAGAAGGCGGAGTTTGCAGTGAACCAAGATTGCACCACTGCACTCCAGCCTGGCGACAGAGCGAGACTCTGTCTCAAAAAAAAAAAAAAAAAAAAAGGAACAGAAGTTTGGAGAGGTTCAGTAACTTGCTCAAGTTCTTACAACCAAGAAATGGCAAAGTTGATATTAGAACTCAGGCTTTCTGGCTCCATGTACCTTTCTGAAATTGGTGCCCTGAGTCACCTTCCAAGGTTGGGTTGAAGTGTGTCGGCAGCAGTTCCCACAAAATCAAATGACAAGAGCAGGGAAAGTGGGCAAGGAGTTGGGGCCCTCAAAGGGCAAAGTCACCATCCACTGTGGTTCTGAAACTCTCATTCCCTGTTCAACCAAGTTACTGGGCTGAAACCTTCATGTACCTAGAGGCGTGTGCCCCTGCAGCTTGTCATCCTATTAAAAAAAATAGAGACAGAGACTTGCTCTGTCATCCAAGCCAGAGTGCAGTGGTGTGATCATAGATTTCTGCAGCCATGAGCTCCTGGGCTCAAGTGATCCTCCCACCTCAGCATCCCAAGTAACTGGGACTACAGGTGTGCATCACCACGCCCAGTTAACTTTTAAAATTTTTTGTAGATGCGAGGTCTCACTATGTTGCCCATGCTGGTTGTGAACTCCTGGCCTCAATGGATCCTCCTGCCTCAGCTTCCCAAACTGCTGGGATTACAGGCATTGAGTCACTGTGCCTGGCCCCATCCCATATTTTAGCCACTCCTCCAAAGATCAATACAACTCCTTTTGTTTCCTTACTTCTTCAAAGCTGTTTTGATTTCATCCACAAAAAAATATGAGGCAGACAGAGTGGGCGGTCTGGCTTTTTTACTGTGGGGTGTTCTCGGAAACTTGTCTTCATGATTTCTTCTCATGTCCTGCTCTCCCTAGACAGATGCTTGCTCTGGCCTGCAGGGCTTCCTGATTTTCCACAGTTTTGGTGGGGGCACTGGCTCCGGCTTCACTTCTCTGCTGATGGAACGCCTCTCCCTGGATTATGGCAAGAAATCCAAGCTGGAGTTTGCCATCTACCCAGCCCCCCAGGTCTCTACTGCAGTGGTGGAGCCCTACAACTCCATCCTGACCACCCACACCACACTGGAACATTCAGATTGTGCTTTCATGGTGGACAACGAAGCCATCTATGACATCTGCCGCAGGAACCTTGACATTGAGCGCCCTACCTATACCAACCTCAACCGCCTCATCAGTCAGATTGTGTCCTCAATCACTGCTTCTCTCCGCTTTGACGGGGCCCTCAATGTGGACCTCACTGAGTTCCAGACCAACCTGGTGCCCTACCCCCGCATCCACTTCCCGCTGGTCACCTACGCGCCCATCATCTCTGCCGAGAAAGCCTATCACGAACAGCTCTCTGTGGCCGAGATAACCAGCTCCTGCTTTGAGCCCAACAGCCAGATGGTGAAGTGCGACCCGAGACATGGCAAGTACATGGCCTGCTGCATGCTCTACCGGGGCGACGTGGTGCCCAAGGATGTGAATGTCGCTATTGCTGCCATCAAGACCAAGAGGACCATCCAGTTTGTAGACTGGTGTCCCACAGGCTTCAAGGTGAGAGCTGATGACTTAGGAAGGGGAGAGAGGACTAGAGAAGCAGAGGGAGGTGACCAAGGATATGCAATTCCATGGGCGCTTCAGGCTTTATGTGATGATAAGGGGAGGGGGACTTCAACCAAATGTAACATGAATGGAATTCAGCTTTGGTTGAGACACAAGTGCTGTCAAAGTTTTGTCTGTTTAGGCCATTTTAGAAAAGTTTGGTGCTATTTTAAATTGATTAATTGGTTAATCACCTTTGGTTTTGTTTACTGAGCAACAAGTAATGATTTGGTATTGGCCCAAATCTACTCACCTGAAGTACAGTGCTTTTGGTGTTCATGATTTGGTTCAATTTGCCTAACGTTAGTTTTGTTTTTTTTTTTTTTTTTGAGACGGAGTCTCACTCTGTCACCCAGGCTGGAGTGCAGTGGCACCATCTGGGCTCACTGCAAGCTCCACCTCTCAGGTTCACGCCATTCTCCTGCCTCAGCCTCCCAAGTAGCTGGGACTACAGGCGCCCGCCGCCACGCCCAGCTAATTTTTTGTATGTTTAGTAGAGATGGGGTTTCACCGTGTTAGCCAGGATGGTCTCGATCTCCTGACCTCGTGATCCGCCCGCCTTGGCCTCCCAAAGTGCTGGGATTACAGGCGTGAGCCACTGTGCCCGGACTTTTTTTTTTTTTTTTTTTTTGTGAAACGGAGTGTCGCTCTGTCACCAAGGCTGGAGTGCAGTGGCGCGATCTAGGCTCACTGCAAGCTCCACCTCCTGGGTTCACGCCATTCTCCTGCCTCAGCCTCCCGAGTAACTGGGACTACAGGCGCCTGCTACCACACCCGGCTAATTTTTTGTATTTTTAGTAGAGACGGGGTTTCACCGTGTTAGCCAGGATGGTCTTGATCTCCTAACCTTGTGATCTGCCCGTCTCGGCTGGGATTACAGGCAGGAGCCACCGCGCCTGGCCTCCAACCTAAAGTTAGTTTTAATGGATATTTTACACTTCTTTGTACAGCATGATTTTGTGGCCATTTTAATTTTAGAGTTAACCAAATTATTCCAGTTGCCAGAGGAGTATGATGCCTCTCTCTAACAAAAAGCTGTGTTCTCCCAATTTATTTTGAAAACTTAAAATATCTATCCTGCACATCTTAATCAATTTGGAGTAATAAGATACTTTTATAGTTGTTCTATGATTGCTATTTTCCATTGCCATTAACCAGGAGTAAGCAAAAACCAGCAAGCCGTGTGGCTGGTGGTAACCAAGTGCCCGCAGTCTGGAAAATGCCAGGCTCAGAGAGTCAGTGGGGAGATACAAAATAGCGAGGGTAGACCCTGGGGCCCCAGGACCAGGAATGCTGAATGGTAGAAGTCACCCCTCTGAGCTGGACCGGCAGGCAAGCAGCCTGGCTGTGCACATGAACAGCTCAGCCACTCCACCCATGGTCTTTTGTCAGATTCTGCCATCATAACAGCTACCACATTCACATTAACTACTGCCCTGTAGTCAGGATTTCTTTTTTTATTTTTTATTGTATTTTTCCCCTGAGATGGAGTCTTGCTCTGTTGCCCGGGCTGGAGTGCAGTGGTGCAATCTTGGCTCACTGCAAACTTTGCCTCCCGGGTTCAAGTGATTCTCCTGCCTTAGCCTCCCAGGTAGCTGGGATTACAGGCATGCACCACCACGCCTGGCTAATTTTTGTATTTTTAGTAGAGATGGGGTTTCACCATGTTGGCCAGGCTGGTCTCGAACTCCTGACCTCAGGTGATCCACCTGCCTCAGCCTCTCAAAGCATTGGGATTACAGGCGTGAGCCACCAAGCCTGGCCCCTAGTCATGCTTTCAATCATTCAGAGGTTTTACTGGTACCTATTGTGTGTCAGGGTTTGTCTCAGTTGCTGGAGGTGAAGAGATGAGCATGCCTCAGTTTTCTTGGCGGGAGTTACAAGTGTGAGGCACCAGCTGCGTGCTGGCCTCATAGCTGCCCTGCATGGGTCTGAGGCTTTGACCTGGCTGTTCTGCTGAGTGAGGAGTGTAGCATTCCTTTTCACTGCTATCCTTCTAGCTACATATATAATTTCCCCCCAAGACTATGCCTATTTTTTATGTGACAGTTCTAATCATCCTGGCAAAACCAGTCAAGGTCTTCCAAAAAATGAAATTCTTTTTTCTTTTTCAAATGGAAACAAACAACCAGCTAGTAGGAGAATGAATGGGGAAAAAAGAGAATGAATGAGAGACATGGTGGGTGATGGGGAAATTAACAAAGCGGAAATGTCCCCTCATTCTCTCTCCTTAAAGCAGAAGCTCTGGAGTTATGTCCTGAAGGATCATTATGGTAGCATTAGCATAAGCTAAGAAAAGTATGTTCCCTGGAGAGGATGCTGCTAAACTTCATCTTCTTGCATTCTCTCCAACAGTACTTGTCCCCACTTGACTCAGGTCAAGAGATGTTAGCACTTAGAGGAGAACAGGTTGGCCCAGGCACAAGGTTTATGGCAGTCGGCTCAGTTCTAGCAATGTATGTGATGTGGCCAAATTCATATACATTGCCTTTCCCTTCCCCACTTTGCCCCTCTCCCAGTATCACCTCCACCTCCAAGATGCCACCTGTGCCTAAGAGGAATGACGGCTGCTGTGGGTCCAGTGGCTGCCTGGCTACCCATGTTGCCACACAGCTGGCTGCCATTCCCACACCAGCCCCTCAGGAGGATGTGCATTTTAAAGCTATGGATTTAAGAGACTGGCGATTAAAATGTGGTGGTCTCAGTGGGAGAGGTGGCTGAGGACATCACTATAGTTCTCATAAGTAATGTCACGGTTTGCCACATTAGACTTGTCCCAGTTTCCCATGGTTCCTGGGGTTGGCTTTGGTTTGGGACGTGTGTTGGGAAGAAGAGAGATTTCCAGGATAGCAGCACCACTGTAAGACGGGTCTGGGCTGAGCCTGGGAGACCTGCCATGCTGCCAGAACTTGGCAAGACCTTCAACAACCTTCTTGGATTGGAGACCCTGCTTTTCTTCTAAGAAGCCCCAATTCCCAAAAACCTAGAGCCTGGTTAACGCCAACACCATCCCGGGGCCTTTCGGCTCTCTTTATTTATTGCTCTGGAATATCCCTGTGACCTCTTCCAACAGTTTTCACTCTTGGCAGGGAAACTTCCTTAAATTTACTCGCAACACAACTAAGAGGAACTTCAGATGACCACTTGGGAGAGAGTACACTTTTGAACAGCTTTGAATCTAGAATGCGTTTCCCTGTTACACATACACATGTACCAGACACCTCCCACCCGCTCCTAATGTCGCTCGTGACTCTCATTTGCCTACTTGCTGAGCCCCCTATACCAGCCCTGTCCTCCTTCTCTAGCCTTTGATTGCCCAGCCCTTCCCCATCTACTTTTTTTTTTGTTTTGCTTTTAAGAGACAGGGTCTTGCTGTGTCCCTGCCACTGGAGTGCAGTGGAACCACTGTAGCTCACTGCAGCCTTGACCTCATGGGCTCAAGTGATCCTTCCACCTCAGCCTCCCTGAGTAGCTGGGACTAGTAGGCATAGCCACCGGGCCTGGCTAATTTTTTTTTTTTTTTTGGTAGAGATGGGTTTTTGCTCTGTTGCCCTGCCTGCTTCCACTTTCTCTTCAGCTTCTCCCTTGCCACCTGCTGGCTTCCCCAGTCCCATCCCGCCTGTTGCATCCCATAGCCCCACTCCCACGCCCCTGACCATGACTTGAAGCCATGCCAAGTGACCAAGATGTCCCATCCTGAGTTATCCTCTGGCTGACTTGTATCTTCTTCTGTGGCTCCTCCTCTTTCTGTGTCCCTCAGGTGGGCATCAACTACCAGCCCCCGACCGTGGTCCCCGGGGGAGACCTGGCCAAGGTGCAGCGGGCCGTCTGCATGCTCAGCAACACCACGGCCATTGCGGAGGCCTGGGCCCGCCTCGACCACAAGTTCGACCTCATGTACGCCAAGCGGGCCTTTGTGCATTGGTATGTGGGAGAGGGGATGGAAGAAGGAGAATTTTCTGAGGCCAGGGAAGACTTAGCTGCCCTGGAGAAGGATTATGAAGAAGTGGGGACTGATTCGTTTGAAGAAGAAAATGAAGGGGAGGAATTTTAAATATATACCTTCCCCTTGGCTGTGTCTCTTTATTTATGCTGTGCCATTCAAAGCACATGTTCAAGAGAACAGAACACTCTCCCCGCCCCAGCCTGATTCCTGCCTTACCCAGGAGGAGGGTGCCTGGCCCCAGTACCCAGGGTGGCACGACTGGGCTAAGTGGACACTGAGCTTCATCAGGCCCTCCCTGGGTAGGAGCAGCTTTGTGTCACTAAAGAAAGTGAGGGCCACTGTCTCCGGCGGGTGAGGCTGCAGCCCAGTTTCACATGCGAGGAGGCCTAATCAGGAGTTTCAATTCCAGATCGGGCTGGGTCCAGCCCCAAAACATGGCCTGCTGGCTGGGGAGTGGGAACACTCAGAGAAAGGGGAGATCTGGGCCTGGGAAGATTCCGGGGCAGGGGTGAGCGGACGTTCACATGAGTGGGTCTATAGCCCGCTCCGGGCATCATCTAGACTTAGCATGCATTCACTCCCCCATCACATATTCCAATACACACCCTGTCCTAGGCACTGAGAGCTGGAGAGTTGGTGATAAGCGAGACGAACACATTTCCTGCCCTCATACACACATAAATAAAGTGAATGAGATCATGTCAGCTGGTGTCAAGTGAGAGAAAGTAAAAAGCAGTGGTGAGAGAGTGTCTGGGCGTGCTCCTGTGGACTGCGTGGTCAAGACAGCCTCATGGAGGCCTGGGCCGTGCAAAAGGATGCTAGGTGCAGGGAGAAGCAAGTGCAAAAGCTAGGAACAAGCTTGGAGCGTCTGCAGAGCAGAAAGGAGATTGTTTCCTGGAGGATGGTGAGAGGGGAAGAGTCAGAGAGACAAGACCCAGGAGCCAGGCAGGGCCAGAGAGCATCCAGCCTTACAGGCCATGGAGAGGAGTTTAGAATTTTTTTCTAAGTGAAACAGAAGGATTTGGAAGGTTTCAAGCAGGATATGTATACCTTATTTCTATATTCATACTGACCTTATATCCAATCCTCCCAACAGTCTCAAAATGGATATTCTGCTCATTGTGTAGATGAACAGACTGGGATGTTTTAGGTGTTGGAGACAGTAGGAGGTAGAGCTGAGATGCAGGGCCTGCCTTTCCTCCTGTCCTGTCCACCCTAACTACAATGTTTCCGTGTTTGTTTGTTTGTTTGTTTGAGATGGAGTCTCGCTCTGTTGCCCAGGCTGGAGTGCAGTGGTGCGATCTCCGCTCACTGCAAGCTCCGCCTCCCGGGTTCACGCCATTCTCCTGCCTCAGCCTCCCAAGTAGCTGGGACTACAGGCTCCCGCCACCATGCCCGGCTAATTTTTGTATTTTTAGTAGAGACGGGGTTTCACCGTGTTAGCCAGGATGGTCTCAATCTCTTGACCTCGTGATTGGCCTGCCTCGGCCTCCCAAAGTGCTGGGATTACAGGCGTGAGCCACTGTGCCTGGCCTACCCTACGCCATTTCTAACACTGTGTGTTCGTGCCAGGTTCCAGCTACTGCCTGATAAAATGCTGGATGGAGAGAGGCACAATCTGTATCATTTGCAAAGGAGGGGGTGGTTACCTGCTCCTCTTCCCTGAAGTGGGCAACTCTGGCGGAATCTAAGGAGTAATCAAAAGGCCATGAACCAGCTAGGAAGATACCTGGGGCTGGGCCCATGGTAGGTCCCTGGGCATTAAGTGCACACTTCTTTACGTGTGGATGTTTCTGTCCTGTATTCCTTGGAAGCTCTAAGAGAAACAGAGTAAAATGTCCCACGGAAAGGAAGATTAGACATGAGGTGATGCCAGTTACTTCTAGAGGCCCAGATCTGTTGTCCACTGTGACCGCTCTTGCCAGAGGTCGTGCCTGCACCAGGTTCCATGGGAACTGGCCTGGACACACTTAGCCGTGGTAGAGAATCAGGGTCAGGAGCTGTCAGTCCCCCTTCAGGAGGATGCATCCTTCTCTCTCCATAAAGATGAGACCTACTCAGATAACCTTGAAAGGACTTCCTGCATATGTGAGTATGCCCTGTTAGGGGGAGTATAGCACACCTGCTAGGCAGGGCTTAGGGAGGGGGCAAAGCTTGTGTGATATGTTCCTTTCCTCTAGATTAACACAAATTAGGTTAAAAATTAGGTTGAATGGCAAAGTCACAAAAGTGCTAAGAGGCATGAATACAGGGAGATGGGTCAGCAGGGAAGTTTGGGATGATACACAAGGGCCTTGGATGTATCCCTGCTCCTCCCAACTGCTTCTCCTCTCCCACTTCTCCTCCTTTGCTTGAGTCCCTGTCTAACCATGGGGACTGCCAGCCCTGTCAGCTTCAGTGGTTCTGCTGATGAAGCAGGAGACTGAGTTTTAGAACTGGGGACAAGGGATCCTAGAAAGAGGGTGAGAATGAAAGTGGGTGGCTCTCTACGATTCCCCAAAATAAGTAGTTTTGTAAGTCTTTCCCCAGCATGGGATTGCCTAGAGACTTAAACTTGTAAAGCAAATTTGGTGAACACTAGGGAAGAGATGGGAATCAGAAAAGAGAATTGCACAATGGCCTTTGGCAGGGAGCTTGGTTTCTCTACTGGGCTGAACAACTAGATAACCCGGTCCTGGAATCCCAGTGCAGCTCTCTTGGGACACTCTAAGTCATATTTACTTACCATGAAAAATTAATTTCATTGTTAAATATTTTACCCCAGGCATAGAAGAATCCATAGTTAACATAATGTCTAGTGAATCCTCTTTCACACTCCACCCCGATTTCTCAAATGCGTTTCTTGGCTCTCTCTCGTTTGAGAGTGTGGGTATCCACACGCACCCCCTGCTCCAGTTCCAAATTCTCAGCAAGAGCGACACACCTCCAGTCTTCTGACAGAAATCAACTTAGGTTCCAGAAATGAAGCTACCGAGGAAGAAGACAGTATGTTTATTTTCTGTGAACTTGCAGACTCTATCAGCAATTTTATCTGGCTCCAGTACTCCAAGTTTTTAAGGATCACCGGGCTGGGGCTGGGCATGGTGGCTCGCACCTGTAATTCCAGCACTTTGGGAGGCCAAGGCAAATGGATCACTTTAGTTCAGGAGTTTGGGATCAGCCTGGGTAACATGGTGAAATCTTGTCTCTATTTAAAGAAAAATAAAGTAAAAGCAGACCCCAGGGGCACTGCCTTTTCTATTAGAATGCAAATATGCTAAAGAGATTGAAAACTTCCCTTTTTGTGAGTGAGTCCAAACTAGCCACAATTTTTTTTTTTTTTTTTGAGATGGAGTGTCGCTCTGTCACCCAGGCTGGAGTGCAGTGGCGTGATCTCGGCTCACTGCAACCTCTGCCTTCCAGGTTCAAGCGAGTCTCCTGCCTCAGCCTCCCCAGTAGCTGTGATTACAGGCGTGCACCACCACAACCGGCTAATTTTTGTATTTTTAGTAGAGACAGGGTTTCACCATGTTGGCCAGGCTGGTCTCGAACCTGGCCAGACTTCAGGTGATCTGCCCACCTTGGCCTCCCAAAGAGCTGGGATTACAGGCGTGAGCCACTGTGCCCGGCCCACAATTTTTTTTAAAGTACCGTAATTAACTTTTTAAAAGGTTTTGTGGCAAATTTATGTTGTCCACTTTAGGGATGAGGAGAGTGAGAGGGTGAGTGGGGCAAAAGGAGAGGATATTGATACTGAGAGAAATGAAATTTCATAGTGTGTAGGGCAGCCTTCTTCCCTCATGCATTGGAATCCTCAAGAGTAAAGGTGAGTCCTCACATAGCCTTATCTTTTTTCATGAATATGCAGTATGGAACCTCTCATGGGACCTTCTATACACTGCATTTGGAGCTTAGAAACTAAAGCCTCAGGTGTGAGACTGCTTGTTAAGCTCATGGTCAATGAGTCAGAAGATGGTGTTACCAAGCATGCTCCATGGTCTTGCAGTGGGGGGGAAATAAAAATACAGAAAATGATTTTCCTTATAAATTGCAACACAAAAATCACTGGTAAAATGTTAATAAACAGAATCCGTACCATACTGAAAAAATATAGCACAAGCCTGGGTGACATAATGAGATCCTGTCTCTAAAAATACCAAAACCAATCAACTTAGCTGGGCGTGGTGGCACGCACCTGTGGTCCCAGCTGCTTGGGAAGCTGAGGCAGGTGGATTGCTTGAGCCCAGGAGTTTGAGGCCAGCCAGGGCAACATAGTGAGACCACAATTCTAAAAGAAAATACTACGGCACAACTAAGAAGGGTTTATTCTAGGAATTCAACCATGGTTCAATATTAGAAACTTCATCTGTTTCTCCAGATGTCTTAGCATCTTGGAGAAACACTAGAGACACTGAATAAGGTCAAGAATAAGGCGAGGATGAAGGATGCATAGTACTGCTGCTACTGTTTCAATTGCACTGGAAATATAAGCTAATGCAATTAGAGAAGGAAAAATAATTAAAAGAATAATAATTAGAAAGGGAGATGAAAAATTATCTCTATATGTAGATGATATGATGGAACATGGAAAATCCTGCAGAATTAATGGTAAGACTAATTTAAACAAAATGTAGCTTTCAGGCTGGGCGCAGCGGCTCATGCCTGTAATCCCAGCACTTTGGGAGGCTGAGGCAGGCGGATCACTTGAGGTCAGGAGTTCGACACCAGCCTGGCCGACATGGTGAAACCCCGTCTCTATCAAAAAGATAAAAAATTAGCTGGGCGTGGTGGCATATACCTGTAATCCCAGCTACTCGGGAGGCTGAGGCAGCAGAATGACTTGAACCCTGGAGGCAGAGGTTGCAGTGAGCTGAGATCGCGCCACTGCACTCCAGCCTGGGCGACAGAGCAAGATTCCATATCAAAAAAAAAAAAAAAAAAAAAGGTAGCCTTCATCTTATAAACATATAACCAGTCCAGATAGGATATAGTGGAAGAGAAAAAGAGAAAACCTCTATTAACAATAACAATGAAATAGTTAGATACTTAACAATAACAATTTAGGAAATGTTAGAAGCCTTTATGAGAAAAATTTTAAACTCAAAGACAAAGTAGATGAGCAAATTTAATGACATTCCTAGGAAATTTTTTTTTTTTTTTGTCAAGGTCTCACTCTCTCGCCCAGCCTGGAGTGCAGTGGCACAATCAGATCACTGAAGCCTTGAGCTCCTGGCCTCAAGCAATCCTCCTGCCTCATTTTCCTAAGTAGCTGGGGCTACAGGTGTCTGCCACCACACCTGGCTAAATTAAAAAAAAAAATTGGCCAGGTGCGGTGGCTCACCCCTGTAATCCCAGCACTTTGGGAGGCCGAGGCGGGCAGATCACGAGGTCAGGAGATCGAGACAATCCGGGCTAACACGGTGAAACCCCGTCTCTACTAAAAAATACAAAAAATTAGCCGGGCGTGGTGGCGGGCGCCTGTAGTCCCAGCTACTCGGGAGGCTGAGGCAGGAGAATGGCGTGAACCCGGGAGGCGGAGCTTGCAGTGAGCGGAGATCGCGCCACTGCACTCTAGCCTGGGCGACAGAGCGAGACTTGTCTCAAAAAACAAAAACAAAAACAAAAACAAAACAAAACAAAAAAAAAGAGTCACACGAACACATGTTCTGATCCACCTGAGGCAAAAGGCGCCCCTGTGGAGCCCAGCACGTCTGTGTGGGAGGAACCGCCTGGAGGAGCAGAGAGCAAAGCAAAGGGGCTTGGGGCGGAACACGACGGGAGTGGCAGGAGCAGCCAGCGGGAAGCCAGGGAGAGGGTTTGGAGATCAGCCAGTCGCGGGCAGGGGTAGGCAAAACCTGTAGGTTCCTGTGGACGCCCTGGAATTGTGCAGTTACTTCTGAGTGAGGCATGAAACCAGTGAGTTCTGAGGAGACAACTAACGCTGCAATTTAATTTCCAGTTAACCTGTGGAGCTTCAGAAGCTCTCACTCACAACTGGGATATTAACAAGGTCGGATCCGGAGGGAAGTCCCTCAGCACATAGAGCATGAAGTGTGCACCCCCCCGTGCAGCAAGTCCACGCTCGCTCAGAGATGGAGGGAAATAGGTAGGAGGAAGTCCTCACTGGGAACATTGTATGGGCTGCAACCTGGCTGCTCAAAACAAGGTTTATAACTGAAGTGTAGTTTACACAATGCTGACCTGTTGGAAGTAATGGAAGAGGTTCATATGCACACATGGATAAAATTAAATGTTTAAGTCTGAGTTTAAATCTTACAAAAAATAAAAAATAAACCAGATGAGGCCTAAAGAGGAAAAATTATTTACTTAAAAAATGCAGGCCGGGCACGGTGGCTCAAGCCTGTAATCCCAGCACTTTGGGAGGCCGAGGTGGGCAGATCACGAGGTCAGGAGATCGAGACCATCCTGGCTAACACAGTGAAACCCCGTCTCTACTAAAAATACAAAAAATTAGCCGGGCATGGTGGCGGGCGCCTGTAGTCCCAGCTACTCGGGAGGCTGAGGCAGGAGAAAGGCGTGAACCCAGGAGGCGGAGCTTGCAGTGAGCCGGGATGGTGCCACTGCACTCCAGCCTGGGCGACAGAGCGAGACTCCGTCTCAAAAAAAAAAAAAAAAAAAAAAAAAAAAAAAATGTGTAGGGACCAAGTCTTGCTAAGGGAGGAGACCACCCCTCATATTGTCTTATGCCCAATTTCTGCCTCCAAAGAAAGAAAAAGTAAAAACTAAAAGGCAGAAATGAAATCCACAAGCAGACAGCCCGGCATCACACCCTGGGCCTGGTAGTTAAAGATCGACCCCTGACCTAATCGGTTATATTATCTATAGATTACAGACATTGTATAGAAAAGCAGTGTGGAAATCCCTATCCTGTTTTGTTCCCATCTAATTACCGGTGCATGCAGCCCCCAGTCACGTACCCCCTGCTTGCTCAATCGATCAAGACCCTCTCACGCGCACCCCCGTAGAGTTGTGAGCGCTTAAAAGGTACAGGAATTGCTCACTCGGAGAGCTCTGCTCTTGAGACAGGAGTCTTGCCAATGCCCCCCGCCGAATAAACCCCTTCCTTATTTAACTCGGTGTCTGAGTTTTGTCTGCGGCTCGTCCTGCTACATTGCTATGGTTGCCCAAGTTGGTCTCCAACTCCTGGGCTCCCTCCTACCTCAGCGTCCAGTGTGAGCCACTATGCTTGCTGTTGGTTCTATTTTTTAAAAAAACAAACAGAAACAAACAAACAAAAAACACCTACTCTGCCAATCTGTCTTTTTATTATTTTATTTCTATTTGATTTCAAAATTTTTATGGATGTGGCAAATTTGTTTGCCTCAGTATCATTAAATTGTAAAAACTAGATTTACAAAAAGATATATATATTAAAAAAACCAGTGTAGTGGCTATTTTAGACTGTGGAATTATAAGTAATTTCCCCCTTTACATGTTTTATATTTTTCAGTTTTTCTACAGCGAATATATACTGCTTTATATTAAGGAAATGTTTACGTTAAGAATACTCAGTAGGCTACAGTTTCAAGATGAATTTTGTGGCCTGAAAGCTGGGGCTGTTGCTAATATTGTAAGGCCTTTGGCTTCCATTTGCTGTGAGATGTGGTACCAGTGGAAGGTTGTGAGCAGAGAAGTGACATTATCTGGCCTATGTTTATAAATACCTGCTGATTTATTTATTTAGAGATGGAGTCTCACTCTGTCACCCAGGCTGGAGTGCAGTGGAGCAATCTCAGCTCACTACAACCTTCACCTCCTGGGTTCAAGTGATTCTCCTGCCTCAGCCTCCTGAGTAGCTGGGATTACAGCCACCTGCCACGATGCCCAGCTAATTTTTGTATTTTTAGTAGAGATGGGGTTTCACCATGTTGGCCCACCTGGTCTTGAACTCTGGACCTCAAGTGATCTACACACCTCAGCCTCCCAAAGTGCTGGGATTACAGGCGTGAGCCACTGAGCCCGGCCGTATGCAGTTTTGTTATATGCATAGATTACATAGTGGTCAAGTCAGGGCTTTTAGGGTATCCATTACCCAAATAATGCGCATTGTACCCAATTAGGAATTACCTATCATATGACCCCCTCATACTCCTTCACCCTTCCAAGTCTTCATTGTCTGTCACCCCAATCTCTGTCTTCATGTGTACACATTTTTTAGCACCCACTTATGAGTGAAAACAGGTGATATTTGACTTTGTGTGCCTGGCTTGTTTCACTCACTAATCTATCTTTTTATTAGTGTATTTAGACTGTTTATATTTAATGTAATTACCTGTATATTAAGTCTTAGGTCTTCCATAGAATTTTTTTGTTATCTTTGTTTCCTCTGTTCTTGGTTTCTCTGTTTTCTTTTTCGTACTTTCCTTTGGGTTACTAGCACCTTTTTAGAATTCCATTTTGATATGTCTAGTGATTTAGTGTGTATCTCTTTGTGTAAATTATTTAATAGCTGCTCTACATATTACATTATATTGATATCTCAGTCTACTAGTGTTGACATTTTACCAGTTTGACTGAAGCATAGAAACCTTACAATTCTTTTAAGTCATTTTACCCTCTCTCACTTACAATTATCTTAATGATTCTTCTACATACTTCAATAACCATGTTAGACAATGTTAAAATTTTTGCTTGGACAAAGATACTCTCGAAAACTCAGCAGAAGAAATGTCTAGTGTATTTATCTATATTTTTACTCTTTCTGTTGTTCTGTGTTCCTCCCTGATGTTCTAAGACTTATCATTTCCTTTCTATTTCAAGAATTTCCTTTAGCCATTTTTTTAATGGTAGGTCTGCTGGTGACAAATTCTTAGTAGTTCTTCATCTGAGATTGCCCTGATATCCCTTCCATTTTTGAAGGCTGTTTTCACTGGATAATAGAATTCTCGATTGACACTGCTTTTCTTTCAGCACTTGGAAAATACTGTGTCACTTCCTTCTGGTCTCTGTGATTTCGGAGGAGAAATATGCCGTCATTTAAAAATTGCTTTTCCTGGCAGGGCGCGGTGGCTCACGCCTGTAATCCCAGCACTTTGGGAGGCCGAGGTGGGCGGATCATGAGATCAAGAGATTGAGACCATCCTGGCCAACGCAGTGAAACCCTGTCTCTACTAAAAATACAAAAATTAGCTGGGCATGGTGGTGCGCGCCTGTAGTCCCAGCTACTCTGGAGGCTGAGGGAGGAGAATCGCTTGAACTCGGGAGGCAGAGGTGGCAGTGAGCCGAGATTGCACCACTGCACTCCAGCCTGACAAAAGAGCGAGACTCCATCTCAAAAAAAAAAAAAATTGCTTTTCCCTTATAAATATGGTAGAATTTCTGTCTTGCTGTTTTTAATACTTTTTTCTTTGCCTTTAGTTTTCAGGCGTTTGATTATGATATATATATTGATATAGATTGCCTCAGACTTGTTAGGAGTTTATTCGGTTTAGGCTATGTCTTTTGCAATTTTTGGAAAATCTTGAGCCATCATATCTTTGAATATTTTTCAGCTTCATGCTTTTTTCTCTTTTTTGGGGGGACTTTGATGACATGATGTTAAATCTTTCATCACAGTCCCACAGGTTACTGAGGCTCTGCTAATTTTTTTCAGTCTATTTTCTCTCTGCAGTTAATATTGAGTAATTTCTATTATTTAATTTCAAGTCTCATGACTCTCTTCTCTGTTATCGCCACTCTTTGACCCTACCCTGTGATTTTTTTTCCTCTTTAACCTTTAGCCTGACCTGACAATGTTTTTCTTTTTTAATAAGTTTCTTTTAGTGCTATTTTTTTTTTTTTGAGACGGAGTCTTGCTCTGTCGCCCAGGCTGGAGAGCAGTGGTACTGAGAGGCAAAGCCAGCTGGGCTTCTGGGTCGGGTGGGGACTTGGAGAACTTTTCTGTCTAGCTAAAAAGGATTGTAAATGCACCAATCAGCGCTCTGTGACTAGCTAAAGGTTTGTAAACACACCAATCAGCACTCTGTAAAAACGCACCAATCGGCGCTCTGTGTCTAGCTAATCAGGTGGGGACCTGGAGAACTTTTCTGTCTAGCTAAAGGATTGTAAATGCACCAATCAGTGCTCTGTGTCTAGCTAAAGGTTTGTAAACACACCAATCAGCACTCTGTAAAAACACACCAATCAGCACTCTGTGTTAGCTAAAGGTTTGTAAAGGCACCAATCAGCACTCTGTAAAAATGGACCAATCAGCGCTCTGTAAAATGGACCAATCAGCAGGATGTGGGTGGGGCCAAATAAGGGAATAAAAGCTGGCCACCTGCGCCAGCGGGGGCAACCCGCTGGGGTACTCTTACATGCTGTGGAGGCTTTGTTCTTTTGCTCTTTGCAGTAAATCTTGCTGTTGCTCATTTTTTGGGTCTGTACTACCTTTATGAGCTGTAACACTCAGCGTGAAGGTCTGCAGCTTCACTCCTCAAGTCAGCAATACCACGAACCCCCCGGAGGAACAAACAACTCCCAACGTGCCACCTTTAAGAGCTGTAACACTCACTGCGAAGGTCTGCGACTTTACTCCTGAAGTCAGTGAGACCACGAACCCACCAGAAGGAAGAAACTCCAGGTACCTGTGAACATCTGAAGGAACAAACGCCAGACACACCAGCTTTAAGAACTGCAACACTCACTGCGAGGGTCCCAGCTTCATTCTTGAAGTCAGCGAGACCAGGAACCCACCAGAAGGAACCAATTCCAGACACAGTACAATCTCAGCTTACTGCAACCTCTGCCTCCTGGGTTCAAGCGATTCTCTTGCCTCAGCTTCCCAAGTGGCTAGGATTACAGGCATTCACCACTGTGCCCAGCTAATTTTTTTTTTTTTTGTATTTTTAGTAGAGATGGGATTTCACCATGTTGGCCAGGTTGATCTTGAACTCCTGACCTCAGGTGCTCCACCCGCCTTGGCCTCCCAAAGTGCCGGGATTATGGGCATGGGCCACTGTGCCTGCCCTGGAATCTGATTCTTGCAGAGCAGTTGTTGATTTCACTACACTTGTCAGAAATCTTCTAAGCTGGGAAGGGGGAGGGGAAAAAAAAGAATCGTCTACGCTTCTTTACAGCAAAGGAAATAACAGGGAAGGGACAACCTACAGAATGGGAAAATATTTGCGAACTTGCATCTGACAAAGGATTAGTTACCTATATATAAACTGTATAAGAACCTCAAATAACTCAATAGTAAGGAAACAATCTGATTAAAAATGGGCAAATGGGCCGGGTGTGGTGGCTCAGGCATGTAATCCCAGCACTCTGGGAGGCTGAGGCGGGCGGATCACGAGGTCAGGAGATCGATACCATCCTAGCTAACACGGTGAAACCCCATCTCTACTAAAAATACAAAAAATTAGCCGGGTGTGGTGGTGGTCGCCTGTAGTTGCAGCTACTCGGGAGGCTGAGGCAGGAGAATGGCGTGAACCAGGAGGCAGAGGTTGCAGTGAGCCGAGACGTCCCACTGCACTCCAGCCTGGGTGACAGAGCAAGACTCCATCTCAAAAACAAAACAAAACAAAAATAGGGCAAATAATCTGAAAAAGATTTTCATTTTCTCAAAAGAAGACATACTAATGGCCATCAGGTATATAAGTAAATGCTCAACATCACTAAGCATCAGAGAAATGCAACTGAAACCACATTAATAGGTATCATCTCACCTCAGTTAAAATGGCTATTATCAAAAGACAGAAAATAACAAATTTTGGGGAGGATGTGGAGAAAAGGAAACCCTCGTACACTGTTGGTGGAAATGAAAATTCGTACAACCATTGTGGAAAACAGTATGGAGGTTTCTCAAAAAATTGAAACTAGAACTACCATATGATCTAGCAATCCCACTGCTGGGTATACACCCAAAAGAAAGCAAATCAGTATATTGAAGAGATATCTGCACTCCCATGTTTACTGCAGGACTAGTCACAATAGCCAAGATATGGAATCAATCCAAGTGTCCATCAACAGATGAATGGATAAAAAACATGCTAGATAAGGCCGGGCGCGGTGGCTCACGCCTGTAATCCCAGCACTTTGGGAGGCCGAGGCAGGCGAATCATGAGGTCAGGAGATCGAGACCATCCTGGCTAACACGGTGAAAACCTGTCTCTACTAAAAATACAAAAAATTAGCCGGGCGTGGTGGCGGGTGCCTGTAGTCCCAGCTACTCGGGAGGCTGAGGCAGGAGAATGGCGTGAACCCGGGAGGCGGAGCTTGCAGTGAGCCAAGATCACGCTACTGCACTCCAGCCTGGGTGACAGAGCGAGACTTTGTCTCAAAAAAAAAAAAATGTACTACATATACACAGTGGAATACTATTTAGTCATAAAAAGAATGAAATCCCGTCGGTTGTAGCAACATGGATGAAACCAGAGGACATTACGTTAAGTGAAATAAGCTAGGCACAGAAAGATACATATCCCACCTTCTCACTCCTATGTGGGAGCTAAAAACGTTGATTTCAGGGAGGTGGAGAGTAGAATGATGACTACCAGAGGCTGGCAAGCAATAGGAGGGAGGGAAGGATGAAAAGTGTTGGTTATGGGTACAAAGATAGTTAGATAGAGGGAATGATAGTACTGTACAGTGATAATAGTTAACAATAATTTATTGTATATTTCAAAATAGCTAGAAGAGAAGATTTGGAATGTTCCCAGTACAAAGAAATAATAAACGTTTGAGGTGATGAATACCTTCATTACCCTGATTTGATCATTGCACATTGTATGCATGTATCAAAGTATCACATGTAACACATAAATATGTACAATTACTATGTATCTATAAAAATAAGAAACAAAGGAAAACAGTTGCTGTATAAACAATACTGGGATAACTGTCAAAATTTAAATATTGAATATATTATATATGGGAAAATTGTACGGATATGAAATTATCTGAATTTGGTAATAATTGCACTGGGGTTATGTATGAAAACATCTTTGATCCTATGAGGTTCATATTGAATTATTTAGAGCTGAAGAATGTCAATCTCTTCAATTTACTCTCAAGTAGTCCAGCAAAAGAAAAAAAGTGATTGTGTAAATATATACACATATATACTGTGTACTCACACATACACATAGATGTGTGTGTATGAGAGAGAAAATTAGTGAAGGAAGGCTCACTAGGTTGTTATAATATTTGTATAACTTTTCTTTATGTTTAACATTTCTTTTCTAATATAAAATATTTAATTTTGAATGGTTCTCCATTAAGGCAACAAATTGCCAGAGGATAGGGAGTGCCTGGGAAAGGTGACAGATGCCAAGTCACATTCTGTTTGAGTTGCACCCTGAAACCCATGCCAGGAAAATGAAATGTGGAGTTCTGTTTGACTGCTTCCACTCAACAGCTCCCTCTCCTCAGGAGAATGCATGTTCCCAAAACAATACTGAGAGGGAGGTTCAATGTTTAATTCATCTTAAAAATTATTTTTTATATTTGGAAGCATGCAAAACACAGTAAAATTTACAATAAAAAGCATCCTGACAAAATGCAGAGAAGAAAATAGGCAGGAGAAAGTTGTGGAAAGGGACTGAGCAGAGGTCACATGAAACCACGCGTTTGTAGAGAATGTGTTTTGTAAAGGAGTACTACTTTTTCAGACATCGGTTCTGTTTTCTTTTTTTAAAAAAAATCACTTGCTTTTTTTTTTTTGAGACAGACTCTTGCTCTGTCGCCAGACTGGAGAGCAGTGGAGCGATCTCGGTTCACTGCAACCTCCGCCTCCCAGGTTCAAGCGATTCTCCTGCCTCAGCCTCCCGAGTAGCTGGTTCTACAGGTGCACACACCACCATATCTAGCTAATTTTTGTATTTTTAGTAGAGACGAGGTTTCACTATGTTGGCCAGGATGGTCTCGATCTCTTGACCTCACGATCCACCTGCCTCGGCCTCCCAAAGTGCTGGGATTACAGGCGTGAGCCATCATGCCCGGCCACATCACTTCCCCTTATCCCATGCAACAAACCCTGTCCTTTCCCCAGGACAAAAATTCTTGTCAGTTTCTATAAATTGTTCCTCACGTTGGGCAAATAGCTTTTTTCTAAATAGCTTTCCATTTTGAGGGGAACTAGATTATCGCATTAAAGTTAGCCAACATCTTCCTCTGTGACCAGGTTTTTAGACAGAATTTTAAAGTGAGGTAGGTAGGTGTGGCCTTTTGCCTCATACTTCTTTATTTTATTTTTTTTTAAAGGGAAAAAGAGTAAGAAATTCAGATGATGAGAATTCCAGGGACACTGAAAGTATCCCAAATTGGCAGAAATACTGTGTAAACTACAGAAAATGCTTCTCAGGGCCCACACTTTCTTTTGAAACAAATATTACACAATTTCATTATAAACTCTTTCGCGCATGATTTTGAGAAATCTTTCCACCAATGCTTTCAAAAAGCACAATCTGTCTTAATAAAAAACTACTACCTGGTACTATTATTTTACATTTTAAAATTGTGAAACAGTATTAAGCCTACAGAAAAGTTGCAAGTATAGTCCAAAGAACTTCCTTCTTGAACTATTTGAGAGTCAGTTTTCCACGTGACATTGCATTTCTCCCAAATCCCCGCCTGTGAAGTTACTACCACCTAATCCTCAGACCCCATTCAAGCTTCACCCGTTGTGCCAATATTGTCCTTTACAGCCAAAGGATCCAGTTGGGGATCTCCTGTTCATCTATGACCTCTTTGGTCTCTGCCAGTCTGGAGCCGTTCCTCAAAGCTGTCTTTGATTTTCATGAATCGTTTGAAGATGGCAGACCAGCTGATCTGCAGAATGCCCCTCGATTTGGGTTGGCCAGGACCCGCGTCCTGGCGAAGGGGTTCCGGTTACTGACCTTCGATGGGAACAGCACAGAAGTGATACCGCGCTGGCTCCACTCTGTCCTCTGGTGGCACGCAATTCCAGTGTTCCCCGCACTGATGACTTTCTTGTACCGAATATTTACATTAATTACATTCTTTATAGTTATAATGTAATATTACATATGAGACCATGGGGTTCATCTGATTAGGTCTGCCCAATTTAGCCTGCCCTGCTTGCTTTGGGTCACTTGCTTTTGTTATTTTTTTTCTGTGAAGCTGAAGGCCGCGCCACTGAGCGCTGTAACTTAACCTTGCCGGCTTCCTTACAGATAACATGTATGTCACTACTGTCATGATCGTTCAAATTGTTTTTCAGGAACTTGGGGCAGCTCCTGCCTAGTTCAAACCAGTTGAGACCGTGAGCTTTCAAGTAGGCTTGTGCAAACAAAAGAAGTGGCCTTTTGACATCAGAGGCCCCAAGCGACACCCTCAGATCACGCTAAGGCTGTCATTTTTTGAACATGTGCCCTGTGAAGTGCCACGAACCCTGACTATGCTTGCAGTGGTCACCGACTGCCTCATTTTCCCCCACTGCCAATCACCTTTGCCCATACCTTACACCACCCTGCTTCTCTCACCGGTAAATATCCCTAAGACTTATCTTTGGGGAGGAAGATTTGAGAGCTGTTCTCCTGCCTCCTCACTGGGCTGCCTTGCGAATAAATCTTTTCTCTTTTACAAAACCTGTCACAGTGATGGATTTATGGCATGCGGGCAGAATGAACCTGTATCACATGTATGTAATAATGGTAATTAATAATATGTATTTTGTGGGAGAGTACTTTGAAACTGTGTAAATATCCTGTTTCTCATCAAACTTTTAATTTATTCAGTATCTACTTTTATTGGTATGAAGTGTGGCTTCCCATTTTATTTAACAGGTCGAAATGTTACTATCATCATTTCAGGCCAGGCGCGGTGGCTCATGCCTGTAATCCCAGCACTTTGGGAGGCCGAGGCAGGAGGATCACAAGGTCAGGAGATCGAGACCATCCTGGCTAACACGGTGAAACCCCGTCTCTACTAAAAATACAAAAAATTAGCTGGGCGTGGTGGCGGGTGCCTGTAGTCCCAGCTACTCGGGAGGCTGAGGCAGGAGAATGGTGTGAACCCAGGAGGCGGAGCTTGCAGTGAGCCAAGATAGTGCCACTGCACTCCAGCCTGGGCAACAGAGCGAGACTCCGTCTCAAAAACAAAAACAAAACAAAACAAATCATCATTTCTTTTAATGCTCAAGTTGTTCCAAATTTGGCCAGTGGGAGCATGGTCTTGGAGCTGGCTTCTGCATCGTTTTGAAACATCCCCATCATTCTTGGAGCATTCCCTTACTTGCTGGCAGAACAAGATGTCCTAGGCTCATCTTGTACTTTCTCTGCCTTAACCCCAGAAACAGCCATTTCTCCAAGCAACATTGGTTCCTTTTACTAGAGAATGGGAATTAGAAACCAAGATCTGGGTGCAAGATGTACTGTTGGGGTGTCACTGTTCCCAGGCCCCCTACAGACCAAGTCAGGGGATGTATGCATGTATACACATGTTTACCTCCACATGTACTTCTTTTTTTTTTTTTTTTTTTTTTTTTTTTTGGATAGGGGATCTCGCTGTGTCGCCAGGCTGGAGTGCAATGATGCAATCTTGGCTCACTGCAACCTCTGCCTCCCGGGTTCAAATGATTATCCTGCCTCAGCCTTCCGAGTAGCTGGGACTACAGGCGTGTGCCACCACACCCAGCTAATTTTTTGTATTTTTAGTAAAGACGGGGTTTCACCGTGTTAGCCACGGTGGTCTCAATCTCCTGACCTCGTGATCCACCCGCCTTGTACTTCTTTATCTATCTGTGTATACATACTGAAAATCATGGATCCACACTGCTAAGTCCAATTCCAGTTCAACACTAGTGGGCTCATTCTCCCTTTCCTTATTTGTAACTCCTATCTCTGAGAGTTTCAACTCTGGCTCCAATTATCCTTAATACATTCAGTTACCTGGTCATCCCCCTGTATGTAACTAATCTGTCATCTCCACCAGCACCCTGCCCTCCCTGGACACCACACACTGGGCCACTCCAATACCGGGATGTGCCACATCTTCAAATTGCTTGGGCTGTGACCCTGGGCCGGGCTGCACCAGCACCCATTTGTGTCTGACATTGTGCTGGGCAGCCCCACTGTGCTGCCACCCTCCTCAACCTGCTCCAGTCCAGCACCCTGCTTGGGCCACTGTGGAACATACTACACAAACGCCCACTTTGCTTGACACACCTGATGGCCTTAGCACGGAATTGTTCAGGAGGGTACCATGAAGGACGGAAGGAAGAGCCCCATAGAAGTGTAATGGATCCTTACATTATATAGTCCAGCCTCCAACCCAAGGTTCACCCTTGTCCATTCTGCACTGGGGCAGCAACACCAATTACTTTGCTCCACCGACCTACCAAGATTCAGATAGAATCATTGGATTGACTATTAATAGTTTTCTGCTGATAGTTGCTGCAAGCAACTGCAGCTTGCTCCTTAGCCTTCTACTGACTTGCTGTATTTAGCATATTTTATCAAATTTTGCAACCTCCTCTCCTCATTGCCCTCACTTGAGTTTTTGAGGTTCCTGTTTGTGGACAAGACTTACCAGATGTATGAAGCTGGTTATATAACTGATTGGTCAGCAAATATAATGAGGACGGACCCTGCGCCCACCACCGTGTACCTGTGTAAACACCATACTGCGCAAAGTCCACCAGCCTTCCAGGGAGAACATGCTGCACTGTGGGCGACACTGCCTCCGTTCCAGCAGCAATGTAAGCGGAGTCTGGGCTGACGATGGACGTGTGGATAGCCTGTATGTGTATATCTGTGCTCATGCTTCTAACACACATCCACCCTATTATGGACACGTTTATACATCTTCATGCCATGGTATTTTGTACCTTACTGCAGACCCTACCAACGCTTCAGTGAGGTTCTGGCAGCTTTGGGTTTTTGGAGGCTATTTGTCTGTTGCTGCGGGGACGGCTTTCAGAAAGAATGATCGCTTTGGGGGAATTGTACCCTGCTTTCCTGCGCAAATTCCAGCGGCTGGAGTTTGAGGCCCCTAGCAGATAACCCTTCTGCCCCTACCCCCATGAGTCTACATACAAGAAATACATCTCTAAAGAGGTAATAAGCCTTTCCGGTGTGCATGTTACAGATCTCTTAACCTTATATATACACAGATGGTCCATCACTTACCGTGGTTTCACTTACGATGTTTCGACTTCATGATGGGTTCACTGGGACTTGACCCCATTTTTTTTTTTTTTTTTTAGACGGAGTCTTGCTCTTGTCGATCTCTGCTCACTGCAACCTCCGCTTCTTGGGTTCAAGTTATTCTCCTGCCTCAGCCTCTTAAGTAGCTGGGATTAAGCGCCACCACGCCGAGCTAATTTTTGTACTTTTAGTAGAGATGGGGTTTCACTATGTTGGTCAGGCTGGTCTCGAACTCCTGACCTCAGGTGATCCGCCTGCCTCAGCATCCCAAAGTGCTGGGATTACAGGTGTGAGCCACCGCGCCCCCTGACCCCTTCTTAAGTGGAGAAATATCTGTATCTGCATGCCCACAGGGGAGCTCCTAATTACACCATGTGCCGCATCCAAGCCACAGGCCGGTGATGTGAAGACACCCGATCCAAGAAATACAATAGCATTAAGAAAGAAAAAATGCTGCCATGGATACTACCAAACGCCAAATGACTCTAACACGTAGGCTAATTGCAAGGACCTTAAAATCGCAAATAAAAAGGCGCCTGTAGGTCGGGCGCGGTGGCCCACACCTGTAATCCCAGCACTTTAGGAGGCGGGCGGATCACCTGAGACCAGCCTGGCCAGCATGGCGGAACCCCATCGCTACTAAAATACAAAAATTAGCCAGGAGTGGTGGCGCATGCCTGTAATCCCAGCTACTCCGGAGCCTGAGGCAGGAGAATCGCTTGAACCCAGGAGGCGGAGTTTGCAGTGAACCGAGACAGCGCAACCGCACTCCAGCCTGGACGACAGAATGAGACTCCGTCTCAAAAAAAAAAAAAAAAAAAAAAAGCGAGGGCTGGAAGTCTGGAGCAGGTGCGCGGCTGCAACGGCAGCCGCGGGAAGCTCGGGCCGGCAGGGTTTCCCCGCACGCTGGCGCCCAGCTCCCGGCGCGGAGGCCGCTGTAAGTTTCGCTTTCCATTCAGTGGAAAACGAAAGCTGGGCGGGGTGCCACGAGCGCGGGGCCAGACCAAGGCGGGCCCGGAGCGGAACTTCGGTCCCAGCTCGGTCCCCGGCTCAGTCCCGACGTGGAACTCAGCAGCGGAGGCTGGACGCTTGCATGGCGCTTGAGGCAAGTTCGGGGCTCATTTTGGAAGTTTTCTTTCTAGCACAGACATCCAACTCTGCTCCTATGCCAGTCAGATAATTAAGGAATTAAGTAATAATTGTGCTCTGCAAATTATGATAGTGATCTGTATTTACTACGTGCATATATTTTGGGCCAGTGAATTTTTTTCTAAGCTAATATAGTTATTTGGACTTTTGACATGACTTTGTGTTTAATTAAAACAAAAAAAGAAATTGCAGAAGTGTTGTAAGCTTGTAAAAAAATTCAAACAATGCAGACAAATGTGTCTCGCAGTCTTCCACTCAGTATCATTTTTGTTTGTACCTTATCAGAAATGTTTCTATGTACAAGTCTTTAAAATCATTTCGAACTTGCTTTGTCCACTGAGTATATTATGGACATCTTTTCATGGCAGGACATATAGATGTGTTAATGGCATTAAAAATAAAACAAAAAACTGATTCGGCCGGGTACGGTGGCTCACGCCTGTAATCCCAGCACTTTGGGAGATCGAGGAGGGAGGATCACCTGAGGTCAGGAGTTACAGACATGGAGAAACCCCGTCTCTACTAAAAATACAAAATTAGCCTGGCGTGGTGGCGCATGCCTGTAATCCCAGCTACTCGGGAGGCTGAGGCAGGAGAATCGCTTGAACCCGGGAGCGGAGGTTGCGGTGAGCCGAGATCGCACCGTTGCACTCCAGCCTGGGCGACAGAGCGAAACTGTCTCAAACAAACAAACAAAAAAACCTGATACATGGTATGGGAAGTACATTGTTTAAACAATGCATGGAGATTTAGGTTGTTTCCAGTTTTTACTGGCACAGATACGGCAATGAATATAATTTTATGTATACATTCATACAAATATATCGGTGGAAAATTCCTAGAAGTGGAATGGCTGGGTCAGTGGGCATTCATATTGAGAAATTGGAAGGATGTTGTCAAACTCTGCAAATCAGAGTATTTTAGTCTTAACCTCTCTTCTTCACACCCTTTTCCTTGGAAGAAAGCTAAATTTAGACTTTTAAACACAAAACTCCATTTTGAGACCCCTGAAAATCTGGGTTCAAAGTGTTTGAAAATTAAAGCAGAGGCTTTAATTTGTACTTATTTAGGTATAATTTGTACTTTAAAGTTGTTCCAGAAAACAAGGCAAATACTGAAAAGCATTTCATCTGAAGTTTCTTTCTGGTATTGAACAGAGTTGGATGGAGAGTGAATGCAGGTTACCGATGTGTTCGCAGGAACAAAACGGGAGGGAGAGTAACACAGGTGCACGGCTTCATATTGATTTATCAAAGAACTTGCTTTTGGACTGTTAAAAAATGTGTTGCACAGTTCTGACACTTTTACACAATGATGAGCTTACAAAGGGGAAAATGCTTAACATAAACATAGTTTCAAAGAAGGTAAGTCCTAGTTTTTCCACGAGCTGTTTTTTTTTTTGAGAGAGAGTAGTCCCAAAATTTCCCTATTATGTGGTTTTTCATCCAAAGTGTTGTAATCCGTGTGTTCTAACCCGCATATTACGATTACTCAAGAAATGCAAAATAGGCCGGGCGCGGTGGCTCACGCCTGTAATCCCAGCAATTTGGGAGGCCGAGGCAGGTGGATCACGAGGTCAGGAGATCAAGACCATCCTAGCTAACACGGTGCAAACCCATCTACTAAAAATAAAAAATATTAGCTGGGCGTGGCGGCAGGCGCCTGTAGTCCCAACTACTCGGGAGGCTGAGGCAGGAGAATGGCGTGAACCTGGGAGGCGGAGCTTGCAGTGAGCCAAGATCCGGCCACTGCACTCCAGCCTGGGCGACAGAGGGAGACTCCGTCTCAAAAATAAAAATAAAAATAAAAAAAGAAAAAAGAAATGCAAAATAATGTGAACACGTCATCGAGACTGCGGTCTACAATTGTGGTTGCCATGATGGGGTGGGTCGGAAGACACCGAGGCTGCTTGAATCATGTTCCTGGCAGGTTAATTTTGTTCCTTTTAGGGCATCTAAATGTTGGAGTTGGCTTTCCTGGCAGAGAGTCCAGTTGTGAGTGGAGTATTGGGTGGAGGCCCCACCCTCCCCAGGTTTTCTGCAGCTTGTTCCTGGCTCTTCTGGGGCTTCTCTGAGGACCCCGATTGGTCCTGGGGCTTCTTTAGTGGTGGGCCTGGGCCAGTTCCTTCCGTTGCTCACCTCTCCCCGAAGCTTAAGGATAACATTTCGGGAAGATCATGAGAGAACGTGAACCAAAAAAAAAAAAAAAAATTCAGGTAGGGTGGGAGCTAAGTTAGTTTAGTATTTGGGATTTTTGTTTTGTTTTGTTTGAGACAGAGTCTCAAACAAAGACCCCGCGCCTGGCCTGGGGGTCTTTTTTTGAGTCAGCAGTTGAGTTTGAAAATCCCCTTCCTTGGAATCCGCCCAGGCTGTTTTCTCTGGTGGATGCTTATTGCCCCTGCTAACTTCAGCTGCGGTCTCTCTGCTCGCCTTGCCCTCCCCATCCTCCTTAGACCTTTTAAGCTTCACTTTCCTTTCCTTGCTGCCCCGCCTCCCTGTCTCCCCAGTGTGATCTACCCTGAAAGGCTGCTGTATTTTGTTTCCCTTTGGGACCGAGCCTGCTCAAATGATCTGCTCCATGAGGTTTTACTGCTATATCCTACTGAAGTATCTGGGAGGTCTTGGCGGAGAAGAGGACAACATCTTGGAAAATGCAGCCTGGAACCTCTCTGCTCTCTTTCATCAGCTTTCCCTCAATGATGAGCTCAAAATCCTCTTTCTTGCTGATGGAATTGTCTGCTGTCATCATTTCAGTTGAGTCCTCCTAGGCTGGGCCTTGTAAGAAGAACAACTGTTTATAACTATTGAAAGTCAATATTTACTAAGAAAAAGAGGTTGTTGTTATCTGAGCCATCCAACATGAATTTAAGAATATATTCCAGGCTGGGCGCGGTGGCTCATGCCTGTAATCCCAGCACTTTGGGAGGCCGAGATGGGTGGATCACCTGAGGTCAGGAGTTCAAGACCAGCCTGGCCAACATGGTGAAACCCCGTCTCTACTAAAAATACAAAAATTAGCCATGCGTGGTGGCACATGCCTGTAGTTCCAACTATTTGGGACACTAAGGCAGGGGAAGTGCTTGAACTCGGGAGGCAGAGGTTGCAGTGAGCTGAGATTGTACCACTGCACTCCAGCCTGGGTAAAAAGAGTGAAATTCCATCTCAAAAAAAAAAAAGGAGACAGGGTCTTGCCCTGTTGCCCAGGCTGGAGTGCCGTGGCACGATCATAACTCACTGTGGCCTCAAATTCCTGGGCTCAACTGATTCTCCTGCCTCAGTCTCCCAAGTAGCTGGGACCACAAGTACATGCCACCATGCTAGGCTAATTTTATTTTTATTTTTAGAAAATAAAATATTTTTTATTTTATTTAGGCAACATGCTATGTTGCCTAGACTGGTCTTGAACTCCTGGCTTCAAGCTATCCTCTTGCCTCAGCCAACCAAAGTGCTGGGATTGCAGGTGTGAACTGCCATGCCTGGCTTTCTATTCTCTATTTCTAGGAGATAAGCTTTTTGAGCTTTCACATATGAGTGTGAACATGTGGTATTTATCTTTCTGTGCCTAGGTTATTCCACTTAACGTAATGTACTCCAGGCTCATCCATGTTGATGGGAATTACAGGATTTCATTCTCTTGTAATGGCTGAATAACATCCCATTTTGTGTATATAGTCCACATGTTCTTTATCCATTCCTCTTTTGATAGACACTTAGGTTGATTCCGTATCTCGGGTATTATGAGCAGTGCTGCAGTAAACATGAGAGTGCAAATATCTCTTCAACATACTGATTCCCTTTCCTTTGGATATATATTCAGCAGTGGCATTACTAGATCATGTGGTATATCTATTTTTAGGTTTTTAAGGAATCTCCATACTGTTTTCCATAATGGCTCTACTAATTTACATTCCCACCAATGATTTGGTTGAGTTTATTCCTCACTCTGAGCAGCATGTTAGCTGGACTTAAACCCCGTCCAGCTTGTCTACATCTGGCCCATCACTTGCCAGTGGGAAAGGCACTTACTTCTTTGTATCTCAGTTTTCTCATCTGTCAAATGGAAATATAACAGTAATTAATTCACATGGCTGTGTAAGGATAAATAAGACAGTACATATAAAAGGCTTTCACCTTTTATAAGAAATAGTGCTTCGATGTTACCCATTATTATTATTTTATTTCATCTTATTTATTTATTTAGATACAAGGTCTCATTTGTTGCCCAGGCTGGAGTGTAGTGGCACAATCATAGTTCAGTGCAGCCTCAAACTCCTGGCCTCAAGTGATCCTCCTCCTTCACCCTTCTCAGTATTTGGGGCCACAGGCGTGCACCACTATGACCATCTAAATTTTTTTTTAGAGATGGGGTCTCAGTATGTTGCCCGGGCTAGTCTTGAACTCCTGGGCTCAAGTGATCCTCCCACCTCAGCCTCCCAAACTGCTGGGATTACAGGCCTGAGCCACCATGCCAGGCCTCATCTCTATATCTTTAGGGTTAGTCACTGGCACCTTAATTTGTTCATTTGGTGATGTCATGTTTCTCTGATTGACCTTGATCCTTATGGCTGTGTGTCAATGTCTGTGCATTGACATAGGTACCTAAGCCAGTCTTCATTGCCTGGCTTTGTTTGGGCTCGTCTTTCATCAGGAAACCCATAGGAGATTAGGGAGAGGCTGATTGGTCAGGACCCTAAGCCCATGACTGCTTCAGCTGTTGTAGTGCTGGGGGGTGCTCTAAGCCCAGCATCACTGTGGTTGGAATTCTTTGGCCACTGAGGCTGACACAGCCCTGGGTTATGCCTGAAGGCCATAGCTGCCGAGACTGGCACAGCACTGGGGCACGCCCAAGACCCACAGCTGTGATGGCGTGCTTGCTGCTGCTGAAGTTATTCAGGGCCCAGGGCCACTGTAGTTGTCAGGTAGTGATGTGGGCCAGATCGCCAGTCCCTGTTACTGGGGCTGTGGGTTCTCATCTGGCACTAGGGTGGGGTGAGATCTGCCTGTGGGTACTGGTCTAGTATCAGGGTGATGAGGCTCTGCCCAGTACTGGGTTTTACTGTAGTGAGCCTAGTCCTGGTGACAGGTGACAGCGTGCTGGCAGCCATCACAGCCCTCGCTCGCTCTCGGTGCCTCCTCGGCCTTGGCGCCCACTCTGGCCACGCTTGAGGAGCCCTTCAGCCCACCGCTGCACTGTGGGAGCCCCTTCCTGGGCTGGCCGAGGCTGGAGTGGGCTCCCTTAGCTTGCGGGGAGGTGTGGAGGGAGAGGCAGGGGCGGGAACTGGGGCTGCACGCGGTGCTTGTGGGCCAGCGCGAGTTCCGAGTGGGCGTGGGCTCGGCGGGCCCGCACTCGGAGCGGCCAGCCGGCCGGCCTGCAAGCCCCAGGCAGTAAGGGGCTTAGCACTTGGGCCAGCAGCTGCTGTGCTCGATTTCTCGCCGGGCCTTAGCTGCCTCCTGGCAGGGCAGGGCTCGGGACCTGTAGCCCGCCATGCCTGAGCCTCCCCACCCCGCAGCCATGGGCTCCTGTGCGGACCAAGCCTCCCCGACCAGCGCCGCTCCCGGCTCCACGCCGCCGAGTCCCACCGACCACCCAAGGGCTGAGGAGTGCGGGCGCACGGCGCGGGACTGGCAGGCAGCTCCACCTGCGGCCCAGGTGTGGGATCCACTGGGTGAAGCCAGCTGGGCTCCTGAGTCTGGTGGGGACTTGGAGAATCTTTATGTCTAGCTAAGGGATTGTAAATATACCAATCGGCACTCTGTATCTAGCTCAAGGTTTGTAAACACACCAATCAGCACCCTGTGTCTAGCTCAGGGTTTGTGAATGCACCAGTCGACCCTCTGAATCTAGCTACTCTGGTGGGGACTTGGAGAACCTTTGTGTCCACACTCTGTATCTAGCTAATCTAGTGGGGACGTGGAGACGTTTTGTGTCTAGCTCAGGGATTGTAAACACACCCATCAGCACCCTGTCAAAACGGACCAATCAGCTCTCTGTAAAACAGACCAATTGGCTGTCTATAAAATGGACCAATCAGCAGGATGTGGGTGGGGCCAGATAAGAGAATAAAAGCAGGCTGCCCGAGCCAGCAGTGGCAACCTGGTCAGGTTTCCTTCCATGCTGTGGAAGCTTTGTTGTTTCATTCTTTGCAGTAAGTCTTGCTACTGCTCACTCTTTGGGTCCACACTGCCTTTATGAACTGTAACACTCACCGCGAAGGTCTGTAGCTTCACTCCTGAAGCCAGCAAGACCACAAACCAACCAGGAGGGACTAACAACTCCAGACGCGCTGCCTTAAGAGCTGTAACACTCACCGTGAAGGTCCGCAGCTTCGCTCCTGAAGCCAGCGACACCACGAACCCACCGGGAGGAACGGACATCTCCAGATGCGCCGTATTAGGAGCTGTAACACTCACCGCGAAGGTCTGCAGCTTCACTCCTGAGCTAGCGAGACCACAAACCCACCAGAAGGAAGAAACTCCGAACACATCCGAACATCAGAAGGAATAAACTGCGGACATGCCCCCTTTAAGAACTGTAACACTCACTGCGAGGGTCCACGGCTTCATTCTTGAAGTCAGTGAGACCAAGCACCCACCAATTCCGGACACACTGGGTTCCAAGGCGAAGTACTCCACTTACCTCTTCTTCCCCCAAGCAAACAGTGTCTCTCTTCACACAGCTGTGCTGGGTTGGGGGAGGGTACACGGGTACCCCTATGGCCACTGAGGCTGAGACAATATTGAGTCACACCCCCAGAATTCATGCCATGAGACCAGCCCAGCACCAGGATGTGCCTAAGGCCGACAGGTAGCTACAGCCTGCCTGCAGCTAAGGTTTATCTGACTGCTGCAGCTGGCCGGCAGTGTTGCGGGCCAGAACACGAGGCTGTTCTGCCAGGGCCGCAGGTCCCCTTGGGTGTTGGGCGGGTTGAGAGGCTTCCCCTGTATGCCAGCCTGGCATCAGGGGCTGAGAGTTCTTGCTTAGTGCTGGCTTTTTACTGAAGTGGGCCTGGTCCTGGGTTGTAAAGCAAAGTCCTATGCGCGCTTCCCTGTCCTTTCCCAAGAGGGCGCTCCCGGTTAGGATTTGGCAGTCGGCTCTGAGGATGAATGGAAACGCCTGGGACCCAGGTTAGGGGATGTGTAGCCTAGCTGTCATTTCCAGCCTAGAGCTCTATGAGTCAGTCTCCCCAAACATTTATCTCCCTCTAAGACCTGCTCTTTGGCATCAGAACGGATTACATGAATACACATTCCTCCTTCTCTAATTCTTGCCTACCCGCATTGTATTTTCACAGAGATTCCATCGTGCCTGGCTCACATAAGCGCTTCCTGGAAGTGAAGTCGTGCTGTCCTGAACGCGGGCCAGGCAGCTGCGGCCTGGGGGTTTTGGAGTGATCACGAATGAGCAAGGCGTTTGGGCTCCTGAGGCAAATCTGTCAGTCCATCCTGGCTGAGTCCTCGCAGTCCCCGGCAGATCTTGAAGAAAAGAAGGAAGAAGACAGCAACATGAAGAGAGAGCAGCCCAGAGAGCGTCCCAGGGCCTGGGACTACCCTCATGGTCATTAGACCCCTCCCGTTTTCCTCTTCTTGACTGCATGTAAATGTTCGGCTCACCCCCTCCGCTCTGAAGCCGCAGAGCTTTGTATTCGACGGCTCATGCTTTCCTGTGCCTGAGTTTCTGCATCTTTTAGATGGGGATACAGCCTGGGCCATAGTGAAACCCTATCTGTAAAAAACAAAAACAAGGTCGGGCGCGGTGGCTCATGCCTGTAATCCCAGCAGTTTGGGAGGCCGTGGCAAGTGGATCATGAGGTCGGGAGTTTAAGACCAGCCTGGCCAAAATGGTGAAACCCCGTCTCTACTAAAAATACAAAAATTAGCTGGGCGCAGTGGCAGGTGCCTGTAATCCCAGCTACTTAGGTGGCTGAGGCAGGAGAATTGCTTGAACCTGGGCGGCAGAGGTTGCAGTGAGCTGAGATCACGCCACTGCACTCCAGCCTGGGTGACAGAGTGAGACTCTGTCTCAAACAAACAAACAAACAAATGGGGGTAATAATAGTACCAAGCACATAGGGTTGTTGGGAGGATTAAATGGGGTCATCTGTGGAAACTGCTTTAAGCCAGTGCTGGGATTCTAGAGGCACTTAGCATTAGTTCCCATCTTTACTGCTACCTTTGTATGGGTCTGTCTGGAAGCAATGTGCTCCTGATAGTCTGGGAGTAGAAATCTGTGCTCACCTGTGACCCCAGGTTGTTACTTTCTTACTGTCCTATCTTGTAAGCCAAAGCCCTTTCCCCAAGAATCCTGAGATTAGTGGTACTTCCCTTGTGGGGTCTGCTGAGCCTAAGGTTGGGTTGGAAAAGAGGAGGTTGGTTGCTAGGGGTCAGACAAATGTTATCTTTTGTTTTTCTCGTATTCTTATAAGTTCCTTCTGCCTTTCAGCCTCTCAGGGTGACACTGGATTAGGTGAATCTTCCCCAAAGTAACCTTCTGATTTATTTCCTGCCTCCCTGTAGTGGGAACTGGGCAGAGACCTCTCCGCTGGACTCCAACATAGACATACTGGGGAGTCCCTCTTATCCCTGAGCCCCACAGATGCACATTTGGACTTAGCTCCGTGGAGAACGATTTGAATGAAAGGAAGCCATATTCTCAGTTATGCTTTCTCTAATGTTTTTTTTTCTCTCCCAACAATTGCTCATACTACTCATTTGGCAGTGAGTAATATATACTTTTGGTGACATCTCACTTTTCCTAATGGACTATATTAAAACTTTTCTTGTTATCGAACTTTTTGTGTGTGTGTGTGTGAGATGGAGTTTTGCTTTGTCGCCTAGGCTGGAGTGCAGTGGCACGATCTTGGCTCACTGCAACATCTGCCTGCCAGGTTCAAGCAGTTCTCCTTCCTCAGCCTCCCGAGTAGCTGGGATTACAGGCATGCACCACCACACCCGGCTAATTTTTGTATTTTTAGTAAATATGAGGTTTTACCATGTAGGCCAGGCTGGTATTGAACTCCTGACCTCAGGTGGTCTTCCCGCCTCGGCCTCCCAAAGTGCTGGGATTACAGGTGTGAGCCACTGTGCTTGGCCCTTGTGATAGAGCTTTTTAAAGATTCATGTTTGATATCTTCTCTCCGATTTGTTTGCAAGCTGAATGAACACTTCGTACTTGAGAGACTTTACAGGACTTCATGTCCTTAGTAGCTTTAAGAAAAACATTAGATTTTTGTCAACTTTTTTTTTTTTTTTGAGACAGAATTCCACTCTTGTTGCCCAGGCTGGAGTGCAGTGGCATGATCTTGGCTCACTGCAACCTCTGCCTCCTGGGTTCAAGCAATTCTCCTGCCTCAGCCTCCCAAGGAGCTGGGACTACAGGCACCTGTCATGACACCTGGCTGATTTTTGGATTTTTTTTTTTTTTTTTTTTTGAGATGGAGTCTCGCTCTGTTGCCCAGGCTGGAGTGCAGTGGCGTGATCTTGGCTCACTGCAAGCTCCGCCTCCTGGGTTCACACCATTCTCCTGCCTCAGCCTCCTGAGTAGCTGGGACTACAGGCGCCCACCACCACGCCCGGCTAATTTTTTTTGCATTTTTAGTAGAGACGGGGTTTCACCGTGTTAGCCAGGATGGTCTCGATCTCCTGACCTCGTGATCTGCCCGCCTCGGCCTCCCAAAGTACTGGGATTACAGGCGTGAGCCACCGCACCCGGCTGATTTTTGGATTTTTTTTGTAGAGACATGGTTTTACCATGTTGGCCAGGCTGGTCTCGAACTCCCGACCTCAGGTGATCCGCCCACCTCGGCCTCCCAAAGTACTGGAATTACAGGCATGAGCCACCATGCCCAGCCTTGTCAACTTCTTTACCCTAGGCCTTGCCCTCAGCATTTTTTTCTCTTCCCCTTATAGGCCTGGTTGGTTTACACAACATTGGACAGACCTGCTGCCTTAACTCCTTGATTCAGGTGTTCGTAATGAATGTGGACTTCACCAGGATATTGAAGAGGTAAGACTGTTCTTCAGGCTGATGAGCATTTGTATTATTTCTTTTTCCTTTTTTTGAGATGGAGTCTTGCTCTGTTGCCCAGGCTGGAGTGCAGTGGCATGATCTTGGCTCACTGCAAGTTCTGCCTCCCGGGTTCAAGCGATTCTCCTGCTTCAGTCTCCCGAGTAGCTGGGACTAGCCCGCCACCATGCCTGGCTAATTTTTTTTGTATTTTTAGTAGAGACGGGGTTTCACCGTGTTAGCCAGGAAGGTCTCGATCTCCTGACCTCGTGATCCACCCACCTCAGCTTCCCAAAGTGCTGGAATTATAGGCGTAAGCCACTGCACCTGGCCTGTATTATTTCATTTTTAATATATTCAGTTATTCACAGTGACTTGGACTTTTTGAGATCTTCTCTCAAAAGCTGGCAGAGGAAAGATTGGCTTCTGCATATTCTGGCCTACACATTATTTCTAAAACTTCTTAGGTTGGTCTGGGGTGCGACCCAAGTATTGGTACTTTTTTTTTTTTTTTTTTTTTGAGATGAAGCCTCACTCTGTCCCCAGGCTGGAGTGCGACGGTGCAATCTCGGCTCACTGGAACCTCCGCCTCCCGGGTTCAAGGGATTCTCCTGCCTCAGCCTCTCAAGTAGCTGGGATTACAGGCGCCCGCCACCACACCTGGCTAATTTTTGTATGTTTAGTAGATATGAGTTTTCACCATGTTGGCCAGGCTGGTCTCAATTTCCTGACCTCAGGTGATTTGCCCACCTCAGCTTCCCAAAGTTCTGGGATTACAGGCATGAGCCACTGCGCCCGGCCAGGTATTGGTACTTTTTTAAAGCCCTCTTTGGGTGATTTTAAATGCGGCCAGGATTGACAGCCACTGACTTGGTTAAAAGACAGAGTTGGGACTAGACCAAAGTCGGAGAAGGAGTAAGTCAGTGGGGAGTACACACCCCTCCTTCCACCAACACTCACACAATGCACTCTCTCCCTCTGTCTCTCTCTATCACTCCTTTTCTGCCCTGTGCTCTCTCCTTTTTCCCATCCGAAAAATGCCTGTGATTAAATGAATCATTGCCAAACCACACGGACAGCCTTTCATGTTGCCTTTCTTCCCAGGACCTAACCCAGCATGTGCCTCTGCAGTCTGGAGAGCTTTAGGCTGGACATTTTGCTGCTTGCCCGAGATGTGGAGCCAGGACCTCGTGCATCTGCCGTCTGCTCTAGCACGATTGCTGGGCAGGGTGCAGAGGGGCCAAGGCAGCAGTCATGCTGATCCCCCTCTCTAGAGGGTCCCCTGTAGAGCAGATTCACTCACATGGTGCTTCTCAACCTTGACCACACATTGAAATAATCTGAGGAACTGAAAAATTCTGATAACTGCCCGCGCCCCGCCCCCCGGACCCAGAATTCTGGTTTAATTTGTATGGGAGTGGCCTGGATATGAAGATTTAAAATTTCTCCCAGGTGATTCCAGTGTGCACCTAGCTTTGAGAACTACATGTAAGGAGGTTTCTGGCTGTTCTTGTGTGGCAGGATCACGGTGCCCAGGGGAGCTGACGAGCAGAGGAGAAGCGTCCCTTTCCAGATGCTTCTGCTGCTGGAGAAGATGCAGGACAGCCGGCAGAAAGCAGTGCGGCCCCTGGAGCTGGCCTACTGCCTGCAGAAGTGCAACGTGCCCTGTAAGATACCCTCCCACTGGGCTCCTGGCTGCTGATCCAAAGGGGATGGGAAGCTTAGAGAGTGAAGAGAGGAACTAACGGGCAGTGAAGCAACAAGAAGCAAGTTAGGTAGCCTGGACCCCTCAGATTATAGAGACATTTGTGTAAGAGGCACACATCTTTGGAGGTGCAGAATTGATATTATTTATGGACATTTTACTTCCATACCTAACCTTTCTCTGCCTCTCAGTAGAGTAAGTGAAGGCATCTCCTCCAAGCTTATTCCACCACAGTCAGGGAACTGCAGGAAAACAGAATAAAGGAATAAAAAAGAGAAAACATGTTCTACAAAATAATTCACAAATAGGTTAGGTTTTTTTTTTTTTTTTTAGATAGCTATATTGGGTTGTGCATCACATACTGTAAAATTCATCCATTTAAAAACATACAATTCAAAGGTTTGTAGTGTATTCACAGAGTTGTGCCTCCATCATCACAATCTAATTTCATAACATTTTCATCACCCCCAGAAGAAATCCTACACTTACGGGTTTTCCCTTGTGTATAATACATTGCTTTTCTCTTGCTGCTTTCAGAATTCTTTGTCTTTAACTTTTGAAATTGATTATGATGTGTCTTGATGTGGGTTGCTTTAGATCAGTCTTATTGGTGTCCTTTGGGCTTCCTGGATGTGGATTTGTATTTCCTTCCCTGGGTTGGGAAGTTTTCAGTCATTATAGGTATGCGTTGCTTACCAACAGGGATACGTTCTGAAAATGCATCAGAAGGTGAATTTGTCATTGTGTGGACATCATGGAGTGCACTTACACAAATTTAGATGGGACAGCCTACTACACAGCTAGGCTGCATGCTATGGCCACTGTGCTCATGTGGTCTGCCATTGACTGAAATGTTGATCTGCAACTCGTGACTGTTATTTCTTTGGATAAGCTTTCCATCTCTTCTCACTCTCCTCCTTCTGGGACTCTGATAATGCCTATTTTGGTCGGCTTGATGTCCCCTAACTCTCTTAAGATATCTTCACTCTTTTTCATTCTTTTTCATTTTTGCTCCTCTGAATGATTTCCAGTGACCTATCTTCTAGTTTGCTAATCCTTTCTTCTGCTTGATTTAGTCTGTTGAGCTTCTCTTTTGAGCTCTTATTGCAGTTATTGTATTCTTCAGCTCTGTTATTTCTTTTGAACTTTTTTCTGTCTCTTTGCTGAAATTCTTACTTTGTTCATGCATTGCTGTCCTAGACATGGTAAGCATCTTCATGATCATTATTCTGAATTGTCTGTAAGGTAAGTCACTTATCTTCATTTCACCAGGGGCATTTTCTGGAGATTTATCTTGTTCTTTTGCTTGGAACATATTTCTCTGTTTCTTCATTGTTCTTGATTCTCTGTTATTTTCTGTACTTTAGTTAAGAAAAATACCTCTCCCAGGCTGGGCGCGGTGGCTCACGCCTGTAATCCCAGCACTTTGGGAGGCCGAGGTGGGCAGATCATGAGGTCAGGCGATGGAGACCATCCTGGCTAACACGGTGAAACCCTGTCTCTACTAAAAATACAAAAAATTAGCTGGGCGTGGTGGCGGGCGCCTGTAGTCCCAGCTACTCGGGAGGCTGAGGAAGGAGAATGGCGTGAACCCGGGAGGCGGAGCTTGCAGTGAGCCGAGATTGCGCCACTGCACTCCAGCCTGGGCCACAGAGCAAGACTCTGTCTCAGAAAAAAAGAAAAAAAAAAAGAAAAAAGAAAAAAAGAAAAATACCTCTCCCAGTCTTGTCCCACGGGCCTTGTATAAGAGACGAACTTACCAATTAGCCCTGCCGGACACTCGGAGCACCTGTTGACCCTTTGTGTTGTCCAGACTGTCATCTATGTTGTTAGCGGCCCTCAGGAGATTAGAATGTGTCAAGTCCTGTCAGTGCCCTAGACAGGGGAGATAGAAACCAGCCCCTTGAGGTGCAGGTGGAGACGTTGGGGCATTAAATGTGTGTTCCAGTTTATTCTATCCTCAGGGAAAAGCTGGGAGCATGAGTTAATCCGCCACTTGCTCTGCAAAACGCTGGACAGAGGATCTGTGGCAAGTGCCTGCACTCATATTGAAACTGCACACTCCTTCACGCATTGTTTTACTCTTTGTCACCCCCAGGGGCCTAGCGAATGCTGGCTGCTCTCTGCTTAGAGACGGACAGGTTAGTTGGAAGCTTGACGCTATCTGTTGAGCAAACCAGTGGGAGCAGCTGTGGAGGTGCTCACCTGCCTGTTCAGGGTCTCAGAGGAGCACTGGTTTCCTGCTCTGTCAGCTCCCAGATGCATAGAAACCCCAGGGCAGCAGCTGCACTGTGCAGACAAACTCCTTCTAGGGAGAAAGTAGGAGCCGGGCCTTTTTGCCTGTTCACGCTGCACTGGGCCTGGGGGGATGTTCTTTGGTCTCTGTGCCCCTGTGGGACTTACAAATACAGAGCCTTGTCAGCTCCCAAAGCTCGGTGGTCGAGGAGCTAGACCTTCATTTGAGAGGGGTAAATGTGTACTCAATGTGTGAAGTTAGAGACCTGATTTTACCATACAGCAGGGGGTGGGAGAAGGCATGGGACTTGCCCACAGGCCTGTCCAGACTCCTGGAAATCTATTGTTTACCTGCCTCATTGGCTCCAGGTGCAGGCCAGTTATTAATAGAAGCCCATCCCTCGGGCAACAGCTAGGAGAGCCCGCAGACATATCCTTCCAGGGAGAAACTGGAAGCCTGGCATTTCTGCCTGTTTGCTCTGTGCTGAGCACAGCTGCTGGAAGTGCTCACGTGCCCGTTTAAAACTGCCTCTTTGCCCTCTGTGGTCGCAGAGGATTCATAACTGCTGACCCATGTCTGCTCCCAGAGCTAGGTGACCCAGCAGCCAAGCCCTTGAGTGGGAACTGCAAAAGCTGGGGCTGCCTATGTGTGGTCCAAACCCTCCCCTCTCCAGGAGAAAGCTGGGAGTAGGGATTCCTTCCTCACAGTAAGGTACTGTGTCTGGGGTGGGGCTTGTGGTGCGAGTGTGTCTCAGCTTTTCCAACCGGTTGCGATGTGGGTGTTCTCCCCATTGCCCCCTGTGCAGGCCTCTCTCAGCTGGTTTCTGGGTTTCTTTCAGAGGGAGTTGATCTGTGTGTAGATGAGAGTTTTACCGTGTGTCCATGGGAGAAGGGGAGCACCAGGAGCCTCCTTCTCTACCATCTCGCTTGTGTCACCCTCTGTGATTCTTTTTATACATAGTTGAATTTGATTCACTAATATTTTGTTGAGGAATTTTGCATTTATGTTCACGGGAGATACTGGTTTTTAGGTTTTTTTCTTACAATGTCTGTCTGGTTTTGGTGTTAGGATAATGCTGGCCTCAGAGAATGAGTTAGGAAGTGTTCTCTCTGCTTTTGTCCTCTGGAAGAGGTTGTAGGGAATTGGTATAATTTTTCCCATAAATGTTTGGTAGAACCCATCGTTCACTAGTGAACCCATCTGGGTGTAACTGAGTACTCCCATTTTCTAAGAGATAGTTATATTAGTTTTCTTATTACTTTCTTTTCACTTCTCCTCTTCCCATCCCTCACCCCTCACCGCGGCCGTGTTTCCTGTTTCCTGTTAGCCCTTTAGAAATGCAAATATCACCTTTCGCCTACCCCTCTCCAGACATTCCCTGCTGGGCAAAAGGAAGAATCTGTAAATGGAGGTAGGCTGATGGAGGTTTGATTGAGAACGGGCAAGTTCTTCCAGCTGATCTTTCCTGAGACTTGGCAGTAGATTTGCAGCCCAAAGCATACCCACCAGGGAACTCTCCCTGCCAGGGGGTGGCTTCGAAACTTCCACCCTCTAGGGGTTTGTCTTTCACCCACTAGGAAGGCATGGAGAAAGCATGCCCACTCGGCCACTTTTCTGCCCGGAAAGGCGCCAACTCAGCTGCTGGGAACTTGATAACTGCCCGGTAGAAAACCGCCATTGCTCACTCCCCCCACCCCCACAACACACCTTATGAAAATGCCCCTCTCTCCTCCAAAGGAGAAATGGCACATTAAAAGGCAGGATGTGTCTTGCTCCTTGCCCCAGGCTGGCTTCAGAATAAATTCACATTTGTGTATAAAACCTTTTGTATCACATTTTTTTTTGTATCAGAGTTAGTTGAGCTCTACACGCAGTGAGCAGCTCCTCAGCTTTTCGCTGCATAGGTACTGTGTTCAGCTTTCCTTCCGTCCTCAGTCTGGAGAACCTCAATCAACCTAGCTCCAGGTTTATGGATTCTTTCTTTTGCCAGCTCTAATCTGCTATTGACCTCCTCTAGTACATTTTTCATTTCAGTTATGGTTCTCCTCAACTCAAGATTTCTGCTTGGTTCTTCTTTTATAGTTTTTTCTTTATTGATACTTTTTATTTGGTGAGGCAGCATTTTCACACTTTCTTTTACATCTTTTGACATGGTTTTCTTTAGTTCTTTGAACATATTATAACGGCTAAAGTCTTTGTTTAGTAACGCCAACATCTAGGGCTTCTCAGTGAAAGGTTCTACGATTGCTGTTTTCCTGGGTGGCCATGCTTTTCTGTTTCATTGTAGGTCTTGTCTCTTTTGTTGGAAAATGAACATTTTAGATAATGTAAGGTGGCAACACTGGACATCAGAGATCCCCACAGCAGGGTTTGTTGTTGTTGCTGTTTTATCGTTTCTGGGCAGTTCATGATTCTGTATTCGCCTTCATTGCTTTCTTGCATGTGGCCTTGTTGTCAGCCAGAGGGGAGGGATCTGAGCCCTCTCAGGTCTTACTTGGGCATGCGCCTGGCCTTCTAGATCCTCAGGAATGTATCAGTGCTTTTCAAAGTCCCTGTGGACATCTCATTCCCCAGGCTGAGTGCAGTGGTGACATCACAGCTCACTGTAGCCTCAACATCCTGGGCTCCAGTGATCCTCCTGCTTCAGCCTCCCAAGTAGCTCTGACTACAGGCGTGCACCGCTACTCTCAAGTACTTTTTTAAATTTTTTATCGAGACGGAGTCTTGCTATGTTGCCCAGGCTGGTCTCAAACTCCTGAGTTCAAGCGATCCTCCCACCTTGGCCTCCCGAAGTGTTAAGATTATAGGCATGAGCCACTACATCTGGCACTGGAGCTTAAGTTTTAAGAGGCGTTCTCAAAAATCAATACCAAACTTACTGTTCATTTATTGATCACTTCTTCTGTCGTGCCAACTTAGCCTTGCAGTGGGGTGGAGGGCTAGGAAGAGACAAAGTGATGAGTGTTCATGTGTGTCTAAGTACCAGGGCATGAGAAGCGACTCTGAAGACCTCACTAATTGGCTGTTCCTTTTCTCTGTGGCCAGTGTTTGTCCAACATGATGCTGCCCAACTGTACCTCAAACTCTGGAACCTGATTAAGGACCAGATCACTGATGTGCACTTGGTAAGAACCTAGAACCAGAGCACTCGGAAGCTTAAGATGCTGCTCATTTCACTCATTCAGCTGTTGTTCCCGTAGTGTGTAGAGGAATAAAAGAGTTAATCCCCTGTAATCCCAGCACTTTGGGAGGCTGAGGCAGGCGGATCACGAGGTCAGGAGATCGAGACCATCCTGGCTAACACAGTGAAACCCTGTCTCTACTAAAAATACCAAAAAATTAGCTGGGCGTGGTGGCGGGAGCCTGTAGTCCCAGCTACTCGGGAGGCTGAGGCGGGAGAATGGCGTGAACCCGGGAAGCGGAGCTTGCAGTGAGCCGAGATCGCGCCACTGCACTCCAGCCTGGGTGACAGAGCGAGACTCTGTCTCAAAAAAAAAAAAAAAAAAAAGAAAAAAGAGTTAATCCACATAAAACACTTATCACAGTTTCATAATATTGTTACTGGTATTATTTTGCACCTTTGTGAGGAGCTTCTGTCTCTTGGCTCCACCTTCTGGCAGTTGGCCTGACCTGGCTTATGGTGGTGTTCCCATCTCACCTCTCCGCTCTCCCTCTTGCAGGTGGAGAGACTGCAGGCCCTGTATACGATCCGGGTGAAGGACTCCTTGATTTGCGTTGACTGTGCCATGGAGAGTAGCAGAAACAGCAGCATGCTCACCCTCCCACTTTCTCTTTTTGATGTGGACTCAAAGCCCCTGAAGACACTGGTAAGGGGATTCTCTTGGTATTTGCTGCCCCTGTATGTGTTAGTCCATTTTCTGTTGTTATAACTCAATATCTGAGACTAGGTAATTTATTTCTTACAGTTCTGGAGGCTGGGAAGTCAAGGTTGAGGGGCTGCACCTGGTGAGGGCCTGCTTGCTGGTGGGAACTCTCAGAGTCCTGAGGCGAGGCAGTGCAGGGCATCACATGGCGAGGGGGCTGAGCATGCTAATGTGCCAGCTCAAATCTCTCTTCCTCTTCGTATGAAGCCACCAGTCCCACTCCCAGGATAACCGATTAACCCATTAATCCATGAGTGGATTAATTCATTTATGAGGGCTGTGCCCTCATGATGCAATAACCTCCCCCCCCCCTTTTTTTTGGAGACAGAGTCTTCCTCTGTTGCCCAGACTGAAGTGCAGTGGCACAATCTCAGCTCACTGCAACCTCCGCCTCTGGTGTTAAGTGATTCTCCTGCCTCAGCCTCCCAAGTAGCTGGGATTACAGGTGCCCACCACCATGCCCAGCTAATTTCTGTATTTTTAGTAGAGATGGGGTTTCACCATGTTGGCCAGGCTGGTCTGAAACTCCTGACTTCATGATCCACCTGCCTCAGCCTCCCTGGGATTACAGGCATGAGCCACCTTGCCCTCCCCAATTATCTCTCAAAGTCCCCACCTTTCCATACAGCCACACTGGGGATTCAGTTTCAACCTGGGTTTTGGGGAGGACAAACCCTCAAACCATTACACCACACAGCACAGTGTGGCCAATTCCCCCTTGCCTCTTTGATCTATCTCTGGCTTCTGGAAAGTCACTTATTTCATTTTCATGGCACTGGCCAATTTCTCCTTTGTTTGGCAAAAATGTTTTTCCCTCCTACCTCCACTTCCCTCATACTGCTCCCTTAATAGGAGCCCCCTCCTGTTTTGTTCCTCCAGTCAGTAGGTGCCCTTTGAGATCCTGCCAAGTGGACCACACCAGGCCAGGCATTAAGGGGGATATGAGGAGAACCAGAAGAAAAGCTGAAACCCTCAGCTGCAAAGTGTGGGGAGGCTGTAACTGATACAGTTTGGGACTGTGTCCCTGCCCAAAAATCTCCTGTTCAATTGTAATCCCCAGTGTTGGAGGTAAAGCCTGGTGGAAGGACATTGGATCATGGGGGAGGGTTTCTCGTGAATGGTTTGGCACCATCCCCCGTGGTGCTGTCTTTGTGACAGTGAGCTCTCATGAGATCTGGTTGTTTAAAAGTGTGGAGCCAGGCTGGGTGTGGTAACTCACGCCCATAATCCCAGCACTTTGGGAGGCTGAGGTGGGTGGATCACCTGAGGTCAGGAGTTTGAGACCAGCCTGGCCAACATGGTAAAACCCTGTCTCTACTAAAAACATAAAAAAATTAGCTGGGCGTGGTGGCGCAGCCTGTAGTCCCAGCTACTTAGGAGGCTGAGGCAGGAGAATCGCTTGAACCCGGGAGGCGGAGATTGCGGTGAACTGAGATCGCGCCCCTGCACTCCAGCTCCCCACTTGGTCTCTTGCACCTGCTCCTCCCAGGTAAGACACCTGCTCCTCCCAGGTAAGACACCTGCTCCTGCTTGGCCTTCCGCCATGATTGGGAGCTTCCTGCGGCCTCCCTAGAAGCAGATGCTGCCATGCTTCCGGTTGGCCTGCAGAACCATGGGCCAATCAAACTTCTTTTCTTATAAATTACCCAGTCTCAGCTATTGTCTCACAGCAGTGTGAGAACAGATGAATATAGTATTCTAGGTGGGAAATACCAACGCTGCTTTTTCCCTGTTCTCTTGGGTGGGACAGGAGGACGCCCTGCACTGCTTCTTCCAGCCCAGGGAGTTATCAAGCAAAAGCAAGTGCTTCTGTGAGAACTGTGGGAAGAAGACCCGTGGGAAACAGGTACTCATTCCCTAAATCAGACTCAGCTGTCCCTCGGTGCATATGGGGGATTTGTTCCAGGACCCCTGCTTTTACCAAAATCCACACACACTCAAGTCACACCCAGTCGGCCCTGTGGAACCCACGTATAGGAAAAGTCAGTCCCTCATCTATGCGGTTGTGCATCTGGGATACTTTATTTTTGATGAGCATTTGGTTGCAGATGTGGAACTCGTGCCTATGGGGGAGGGCAGACTGTATTTATTTACAACAATTTGTGTATAAGCGGACCCATACAGTCCAAACCCGTGCTGTTCAGGGGTCATCTGTCCTTCACTAGTCTGGGGTTGCCCCCCGTGGATTTCCTGATAGAATCATCAGAGGCCCCGAGGACACCCCATGGTGGGTGAGAAAGGGAATCTGGGTCTGGCTAGTATCTGGGACGCTGTGGTTCTGATATCTGGAGCCGTGGATGTGGCTTCTCATGTCGCATCACTGAGAGGGACTGCAGGAGGGCGCCTGAGAGCAGCCGGCAGGGCGTTTCCCTCCAGGCGAGACCAGCTCCCTGGAGCAGACGCGGTGGCTCCCTGGGTCCTGGTACCTGTGCAGAGCCCTGTGCCCTTGTGCCTCTTGTGGGGGGCCACATGGTGGTAGAATAGCCAAGTTTTGCATTATTCTCAGAGGAGCTCAGCAGATTCGGCGAACAGGAGCCTTGAACTCCGTGATGTCGCCCCGCTCCCCTCTTTTTGGGAAGAACGCGTTGCTAGCCCTGACATTTCTCTGACTCTCTCATTCCAAGTAGACTTCATCTCCAGAGTGATTTTGATTTTTCAGGTCTTGAAGCTGACCCATTTGCCCCAGACCCTGACAATCCACCTCATGCGATTCTCCATCAGGAATTCACAGACGAGAAAGATCTGCCACTCCCTGTACTTCCCCCAGAGCTTGGATTTCAGCCAGATCCTTCCAATGAAGCGAGAGTCTTGTGATGCTGAGGAGCAGGTGGGATGATCCCGACCTCCTTGCCATCCTGCCTCTCCCCAGATGCCATGTCCTTTCTGTTTTCCCTTCCTTCACCCCCAGTCTGCTAGGAGCCACCTGTTCCTCAGAGACTGTCCCCAGCCTCAAAAGCCTTTCTTCTTTCTAAATATTGGATTTGTGTTCATATGCCTCACAGCACTGAGGGACAGAATCCAGAATTCAGTAGGCTTCTTTGGAAATAATGTGGAATACATAGAAATGCATAGGCAAACATGTCATTGTGGGTTCATAGTACCAACCAAACTTTCTTCCTCAGATGGCCTGTGCCCACTTTGAGGATAATCATAAAGTAGCCAGTTGACTGGACCACATTTAATCAGAGTAAAGTTTAATTCACTTGTCCTGAGATAATAACTTATCAAGAGATTCTGAGAAAAAAAGAGACACAAGGCCAGGTGATGTGGCTCATGCCTGTGATCCCACACCTCAAAAGGCTGAGGCAGGAGGATTGCTTGAGCCCAGGAGTTCGAGACCAGCTTCAGCAACATAATGAGACCCCCGTCTCTCAAAAAAAAAAAAAAAAATTAGCTGGGTGTGGTAGCACAAACCTTTAGTCCCAGCTACTTGGGAGGCTGAGTTGGAGGATCACTTGAGCCCAGGAGTTTGAGGCTGCAGTGAGCTATGATCTATCATTGTACTCCAGCCTGGGCAACAGCGCAAGACCCCGTCTCTAAAAACAAAACAAGAAAAACTAAAAAAAAAAGACACAAATATCTTTTTTTCCATAGATTTGAAATGCTACATAACAAATTTTGTATTCCTGTATGTACGGGTCTATTTTTGGAGTGTCTCTTCTGTTTTATTGGTCTGTTTGGCTATTTATGCTCTAGAACCATGACATTTAGAAAATTAAGACCTGATAATATGTTACAATAGCTCCTATTATAACATGATTTCTTTACCTACTTAGGCCGTATACATTTCATAGGATTCTCTTTTTCTTTCCTTCTAGTTCTTTTTATTTCTACCTGCAGATTCTGCCCAATGAAGTGTATTTAAAATTGTTTTTCACTTAAAAAAGACTTTTTTGACTGGATGCAGTGGGTCACGCCTGTAATCTCAGCTCTTTGGGAGGCCAAGAGGATTGCTGGAGTCCAGGAGTCGAGCCCAGCTGGACAACAAAGCAAGACTCCATCTTTGCAACAACAACAAAAAAGACTTTGTTATGGAACATTACAAATAGATACCAAAGTGTGTAGTGAAGGAAGAGTTAGACAGTGAATCCTTGGCTGTAACAGTTACCAAAACTCATGGCAGGTCTTGCTTTTCCTATAACCCACCCTCTTGTTTCACCCAACCCTGTACTGGATTTTTTTGAAGCAAATCCCAGACATCATACTATTTCATTTATAAACACTTCATTATGTATCCCTAAAGAATAAGCACTCAAAAGATAATCATCTCCATCTTGCAATTCCTTAATAGCATCAAATATCTGGTCAACGTTCAGACTTCCTGACTGTTGTGTAATCTATGTGGTTTGTTTGACTCTAGATCCAAACAACGCCTACACTTGCATTTGGTTAAGTTTCTTTCTTTTCTTGAGTTCCTTTTAGATTTCCGCTCCTTTTCTTTTCCTTGCAGTTGATTTGGTTGAATATTTTTTTCATATGCCAGCACTGGCTGGTTGATATCTTTTAACATGTTCCTGTAACCCTTTTATTTCTTGTAAACTAATATTTAGATACAGATATTGCCCTGCATTTTGTAAAGTTCTGCACAAAGTCTGCAAATGGAAATAGGGATAATTTCAGCCTCCACTGTGGGTGACTCAGCTTTGCGTCTGCCGCCCTTGCCCTCTGTCTCCCCTCCCCCTACAAAAGACTTTTTTGGCTGGGTACGGTGGCTCAGGTTAGGGTCATTCCTGGGCTTGTGGAGAAACAGAACTGTGTTCTGATGATCCCCACCCCTCCCAGGGGAAAGTTCTAATCTTGCCTTGGCTTTGGGGGCCTCTCTCATGACCTGCCTTCCATCTCTTGCGTGCTCTGCCCTGCCAAGCTGCTGAGCCTTCGCAGTTCAGGATCCACACTCGGGAAAGCCCCTCCTGGAGGGTGCCCACTGGCTGTGGGTCGGGACTGTTTTCTAATATTCTAAAGTCCCAGAGTCGGGCCTAGTGTGGGCAGGTATAAATGTGTGAGGCAGTCGTGTTTGTGGTGGTGGGTGAACTGTCTCGTGCCTGTCTCTTTCCAGTCTGGAGGGCAGTATGAGCTTTTTGCTGTGATTGCGCACGTGGGAATGGCAGACTCCGGTCATTACTGTGTCTACATCCGGAATGCTGTGGATGGAAAATGGTTCTGCTTCAATGACTCCAATATTTGCTTGGTAAGAAACATCATCCACAATTGCCTCCTGCCCTGGATTGGCCACCTCTAGCAAATGCTGGGCTCAGGGCTGCGTGGGTCTCTGAGATCAAGACACACTGTGATCCTGCTGTCTGGGTGTGGGGCCTTTGATGAGGGTTCAAGCCTTTTTCGGTCTGAAGTCCCCATGTGGTTTGCACCTCTGTAAGGGTTCAATTCACTTCACTTCTAAGTTTTTGGTGCTCTAGGCTCATGCTCTGCAGCTTCCTGCTTTGTGGGAAATGTCTAGAGAGCAACGAGTGTTAGAAATATGTAAGTTAGGCCTCTGGGATAAGCATGACCAAGTTTAAACACAGGGACAAGGGCACTAAACATACTTCATTGCACAAGACATCCTGCTGCTGTTGCTCCAGGCTCTTGGGAGTTGCTAGGGGTGGGCTTGTCTGGAGGATGAGGGGCACATTATAGCATCCTGTCCTCTGTGGGTGCTTGTGTCAGCTGGCTGCTTGACCCCATTTGTTTCTGGCTTCCAGGTGTCCTGGGAAGACATCCAGTGTACCTACGGAAATCCTAACTACCACTGGTAAGAAACAGATTTGGGTAATTGGAGTCTGATGAGCTCACATAGGGTCCTTGGAGCTGCATGAAACGCCCATGGATTCCCCTGTTACTAACATGCTGATGGCTCACTGTCCGCCTCATCTCCAGCACTCACCCCACCACCCCATGTTTGCCTCACACGTCACACTCCAGGAATATTAAAGTACAGGTAGCTGCCAATCAGCCGTGCCCTCCATCTCCCGTCTGCTGTGCACATGCACTTCCTGGCCGTATTGTCCTCTCCTCGTTTACCATCTAGGCCAACTCCCCACTCATGTTTTCATACTCATGGCCTTTTCCTATCCTGTGAAGCCTTTGCTGATTCACCCAGATTCGTAGGGGCTTCTTGTATGGTTTTCTTTTCTTTTCTTTTCTTTTTTTTTTTTTGACGGAGTCTCGCTCTGTTGCCGGGCTGGAGTGTAGTGGCACAATCTTGGCTACTACACTTGGCTCCTCCTCCCAGGTTCAAGCGATTCTCCTGCCTCAGCCTCCTGAGTAGCTGGGACTACAGGTGTGTGCCACCACGCCCAGCTGATTGTTTTTTGTATTTTTAGTAGAGACGGTGTTTCACCATGTTGGCCAGGATGGTCTCAGTCTCTTGACCTCATGATCCACCTGCCTCAGCCTCCCAAAGTGCTGGGATTACAGGCATGAGCCACCACACCTGGCCTTCTTATATGCTTTTATTGCATTTGAGCATACCTCTTTTACAGCGAAGATCTTTTTTTTAATTTAATTTTATTTTTAGAGATGGAGTCTTGCTTTGTTGCCCAGGCTGGAGCACTGTGGTGTGATCATAGCTCACTGCAGCCTTGAACTCCTGGGCACAGGTGATCCTCCCACCTCAGCCTCCTGAATAGCTGGGACTACAGGCATACAGTCTGTACACCATGCTTGGCATATTTTAAAAAAATGTTTGTAGAGATGAGGTCTCGCTATGTTGCCAGGCTTGTCTCAAACTGCTGGGCTCAAGCCATCCATCCATTTCAGCCTGCCAAAGTGCTTGGATTATAGGCATGAACACTGCGCCTGGCCATCACACTGTTTTTTTGTTTGTTTGTTTGTTTGTTTTGAGATGGAGTCTTGCTCTGTCACCCAGGCTGGAGTGCAGTAGCAGGATCTCAGCTCATTGCAAGCTCTGCCTCGTGGGTTCATGCCATTCTCCTGCCTCAGCCTCCTGAGTAGCTGGGATTACAGGCGCCCGCCACCACGCCTGGCTAATTTTTTGTATTTTTAGTAGAGATGGGGTTTCACCGTGTTAGCCAGGATGGTCTCGATCTCCTGACCTCGTGATCCGCCCACCTCGGCCTCTCAAAGTGCTGGGATTACAGGCATGAGCCAATAAATATTTTTATAATCATTAACTACCGAGGAGAAGCTGGAGAGAAAAAAGGTGGATGAAGTTAAGGCAGAGAGACTTTGTAAGTTTCTTAGCTGAGCTTTTGGAGACTGTATATCAGAGATCCTATTTGAGGTGATTTTCAGCTACAGAGATAGGCCTGGTCATTTGAAAAATAATGGATTAGGTGAAGCTTGCGTTTGAAATCCTCCTTCTACTTTTCATCTTTCTCTCTTGTTTATTCTGAACATCCATCTTAGACACCCAATCTTTGTCACTTTGTGGTTGTCATTGATTTCCCTGTTATTGAGATCAGAGGTTGGCAGACTTTCTCTGTAAAGGGCTGGAGAGAAAGTACTTCAGACTTTGTGGTCTGTGCGGTGTCTGTTGCAACCACTTAACTCTGCCCTGTAGAGCAAAAGCAGCCGTAGACAGTACATGGGCAGATGAGCATGGCTGGGGTCCAGTTACATTTACTTGCAAAAAGAGGGTTGGAGACTGGGTGCGATCTCCCACCTTTAATCCCGGCAATTTGGGAGGCCGAGGCAGGAGGATCACTTCAAGCCAGGAGTTCAAGACCAGCCTGGGCAACAAAGCAAGACTCCATCTCTACAAAAAAATAAAAATTATTATAGCTAGGCATGGTGGTACACATCCATAGTCCTAGCTACTCAGGAAGCTAAAACTGAGGCAGGAGGGTCAGTTGAGCCCAGGAGCACGAGGCTGTGGTGAGCTATTATTGTGCCAGTGCACTCCAGCCTGGTGACAGAGCAAGAACGGTCTCGTCAAAAAATAAACAAAAGGCTGGGCACGGTGGCTCACGCCTGTAATCCCTGCACTTTGGGAGACTGAGGTGGGCAGATCATGAGGTCAGGAGATTGAGACCATCCTGGCTAACACGGTGAAACCCTGTCTCTACTAAAAATACAAAAAGTTAGCCGGGCGTGGTGGCGGGCGCCTGTAGTCCCAGCCACTCGGGAGGCTGAGGAGGGAGAATCGTTTGAACCTGGGAGGCGGAGGTTGCAGTGAGCCAAGATTGTGCCACTGCACTCTAGCCTGGGCTACAGGGCAAGACTCCATTAAAAAAAAAAAAAAAAAAACCAGCAAAAACCAAACAAAACATAATGCATGTTCTCTCTTATAAATGGGAGCTAAACATGGGGACTCATTGACTTAAAGATGGCAACAACTGGGAACTGCTGGATGGGGAGGGAGGGGAGGGGTGAAAGGCCAACTGTTGGGGAGTATGCTCATATCCACGTGACAAACCTGCACATGTGCCCGCTGAATCTAAAATAAAAGTTGAAAGTAGATTTAAAAAACCCCAAGAGGGCTGGGTTTGGCTTGTGTGTCCATAGCTTGTTAACCTCCGCTTTAGATATTAACTAATAGAAACATAGTGCTTATCTTCCCAGGCCACCTATTTTGTTCCTCTCCAAGGTGATGGATAGATGAAGGCCTAATCCAGCCGCCTGGAAGTTTGCTGACGCTTGTCCTGTCACGGATTAATGAAGCATTGTTTTCTGATGAAGGTTTCATGCCGCTGTGCTGATGTGTCTTCTCTTCTCTCTAGGCAGGAAACTGCATATCTTCTGGTTTACATGAAGATGGAGTGCTAATGGAAATGCCCAAAACCTTCAGAGATTGACACGCTGTCATTTTCCATTTCCGTTCCTGGATCTACGGAGTCTTCTAAGAGATTTTGCAATGAGGAGAAGCATTGTTTTCAAACTATATAACTGAGCCTTATTTATAATTAGGGATATTATCAAAATATGTAACCATGAGGCCCCTCAGGTCCTGATCAGTCAGAATGGATGCTTTCACCAGCAGACCCGGCCATGTGGCTGCTCGGTCCTGGGTGCTCGCTGCTGTGCAAGACATTAGCCCTTTAGTTATGAGCCTGTGGGAACTTCAGGGGTTCCCAGTGGGGAGAGCAGTGGCAGTGGGAGGCATCTGGGGGCCAAAGGTCAGTGGCAGGGGGTATTTCAGTATTATACAACTGCTGTGACCAGACTTGTATACTGGCTGAATATCAGTGCTGTTTGTAATTTTTCACTTTGAGAACCAACATTAATTCCATATGAATCAAGTGTTTTGTAACTGCTATTCATTTATTCAGCAAATATTTATTGATCATCTCTTCTCCATAAGATAGTGTGATAAACACAGTCATGAATAAAGTTATTTTCCACAAAAGGACTTTGCAGTTTTAACGGGGGGCAGTAGGGATTGTGCTATAGAAATTCAAAGGCAAGGGAAGTCACTTCTGTTGTGGGGCCCTGGGAGGAGCCTCCAGGCTGGAAAGGGTTAAGGTGGAGGTCTCCGATAGGGGCAGCGTACACAGTGGACTGGCTGCAAAAGGCCGTGCTCAGCATTCAGACAGCATCACACACTCCGCTTTTCTCTACCAGGGAGGCAGGTGGGGAAGGATAGCGATGGGAAGGCAGGCGGAGCTCAGAATGTGGAAGGGGATCCAGTAAGACTTGGAAGTTTGCACCTGATCTGGTGGGTGGTGAGGGGCCCTTGAAGGGGCAAGGAGGCGAGGAGCACTCAGCTGTGTTCTTACACTGATCTGCCACTGGGGTTAGAGACAAACGTGGTGGGAATGGAAAGCCACGCACAGTCACTAGCGCCTCTAGGGGGAGAATGGATGTGGCTGGTGAGAGAACAGGGGGGCCCAGGGAGAGTCCGGCACCAACCTGGGTGGGGGAGCCCAGTGGGTGTGAGCACCCCCACTTTAGAGATGAAGTGATGGAGACATTCAGATGTTTAACCCCTTGTTCAAGATTCCATACTTGATAAATGGCAGATCAAACTCCCAACATAAAATGTGGGTCATTTCTTTATTATTTTATTTGTATTGGTTAACAATGATCAGCCATGCAAGAATAAATGATTATTGTAAAATCTGCAAACAATGTAGATATGTAGAGAGTCCCTTCCTTGGAGCTTGACCTTGTCAGACAGGTATAGATGAGTGTTCCGGGGCAGCCGTAAAAACTGCCAGAGACTGGGCTGCTTATAACAGAAACGCATGGTCTCCCAGAAGCCCACATTCAAGGTGTCCAAAGGCCTGGCTCCTGGAGGCTCTGGAGGAGAGCCTGTTCCCTGTCTCTCAGCTTCTGCCGGTTGCCAGCAAGTGTTGCCGTTCATTCACTCCAGCCACTGCCTCCATCTGCACACAGCAAAACAGCGTATCCTGAAGTGCTCAACCTTATAGCCATTATTTTAAAATATCCGGAACACACAGGACCGTGGGAGTGGCTGTTGGAGAAATTTTCATGAAGGAAGAAAGATTACAACTAAGTTTTAAAATGCTAATTTTGTTTGTTTTGTCTTGGAGAGGAGGTCAAAGTGGGAGTAAAAATAGGGAGTTTGGTGTAAGGTGGGAAAAGCAAAGGAACCCCGCATGGATGGGCTGAAGGGTGTGATGGGAGAACAGTGAGAAGTACGTTTGGGGAAGCAATTGGAAATAGTAGCTAAGCTTAATCACAATCTATCAAAAGGGACTTGTTGAAGAATTAATGTGTGACTAGGAACAGGGAGGTTATGGGCTTGTCAGCTCGACAGTGGGCACTCAGTTCCACTAACGAATGATGCCCGTGTGGACAGACAGAATGATGGACAGGCAGATGAATGCGTGGGCTTTATGTGAAAAAGGTCCTCTTGGTTGTTGACAAGATACTGTTTTAAAGTTCCATTTTGCCATACTTCGAACAGCTTGTCATTAGCTCAATTTAGCCACATGTGAAATCACTAAGGCGGACGGACTTCCAGAGTTCCCACATGAAAATCAAATGTAAACCAGCAGTGACCTGCTTCAACACCATCATCGGAAGTCAGAAGTTGAACTCTTTTTTGATGTTTAAAGCCTGCATAATATTCGCTGTATTATTATTCAGCATATTACTATTTCCTTCGTGATGGAAATTTGGTTTATCCCAATTTTCTGTTCTATCAAAACACCGCTACATAGAAAATCCCCATGCACATATTTCTCCTAATTGTGGAAATATTTTACATAAAAGACTCTTGACATGGGATGAAATTCCCAGGTTATTGGAATTTTAATATAGATAGGTACTTCCAAATTGACCTCTTACAAATTATATGAATTCGTAAGCTTCCAACTGTTATGGAGTTACCCATTTTGAGAAATCTGTGCTAAAAGGACCCAAACAATGCTGATGACAATGATCAGGATAATAAGTACGCTGGGAAGACAACAAAATGATTTAGATCTTAGACAAGTCATTCTAGGTGTCTCCACTGTTTCAGTTCTTGCGTTCGTTCATTCTTGTGCTTTTTCATTTTACCAAATAAAATAGCTCCTTGATGTCATATGAATCCACGCTATGCTTAATGAGTATTGGTTAGTAAAATGCCTATAACTAGTAATCTTCATCTATGCAATTAAATATTCATTCATAAAACACTTCAAATGTAAACAATAATTAGTAAAAGAAAAGTACATAATACCTCAATTAGAAAAAAATCACTCCATTAAAAAGACATTATTTGTGTGATAAAAGAGATTGCCATTTTTGTATTTTTCTACAAGGTTAAAGAAAACTAAGTCAACTTATACAAGTGAATTTTAAAAGACTTTAGGGCAGGCGTGGTGGCTCACACCTGTAATCCCAGCACTTTAAGAGGCCGAGGAGGGCAGATCACCTGAGGTCAGGAGTTCGAAACCAGCCTGACCAACATGGTGAAATCTCATTTCTACTAAAAATACAAAAAAATTAGCCCAGTGTGGTGGCATGTGCCTATAATCTCAGCTACTTGGGAGGCTGAGACAGGAGAATAGTTTGAACCTGGGAGGCGGAGGTTGCAATGAACCAGGATCGCACCATTGCACTCCAGCTTGGGCAACAAGAGTGAAACTCCATCTCAAAAATAAATAAATAAATAAATAAAATAAATAAAAGCCTTTAACCCAGAATGCTGAGTAAATTGGCCAAAAATGCTAACCTATGCATTTCAATATTATAGGAGTTGCATGGGTAGAAATAACCAGATGAAATACTTCTGGTATTTCACCTTCCCAACCCACACGAGCCAGTGTTTTTCTGTGAATAACAAAAACAGCAGAATTTACTTGCCTCTCCATAAGAGGTTACCACTTCTGTGTGTTCCCCCGAAACAGGTGGTGGCTGGGTGAGAAGGTGGACAGCACTAGGGCAGGAGATGGGGGCTCCAGTATCGTGGGTGAGCTTCCTAAACCTCTGCAACTTTCAGCCCCTAAATGGGATGAGCCATCAGAATTTTTAGCACAATGCCCAGAACAAAGTAAGGATTTGACAAATGACGCCTCTCTCCACATTGTTCTGTCATCAGCCACCGCATCCTGTACCTCCAAGCCCACTGGGCTCCGGCTGTTTCCATCACATGGAGAATGACTCAGAGCCTGGCCTCCAGCCACCCTCCTGGCCTTTCTTCTTCTCACTCTGCCACTGGCTCCTCATGGACCACCAGCCTGGGTGTCCTCAGACATACCACACACTTCACTGTGGGAGTCACGCAGCCCTCACTGCTCCTTCGCCAGGGAGCCACGGGGCTTTCCTCCTCAGGAGGACTCTGCAAGCAGCTGGATGAAGGGCCCTCCCGTCTCTCATCCTTCCTTAATTTTTGTCACAGTTCTCCTTCCTTCCACTCAGTGCAGCGCACACTGATTGATCCTCCATCTTCCCCAAAAGACAGGAACAGCATGAGCAGTGGAGAGTAGATTCCAATGATAGAAAAAATAGTCAGTGATTTCTCATTTCCATTGATCATCAATGAAGAAAATGTATCCTGAAGGTCATGTACCTCCTATGGGACTGCTGCATCCTCAGCCTCCTGAATTTCAGCCCAGCACCTTCCTCCCCAGCACAGCAACAGGTCAGCCCTTACCAGCATCCCTCTCTTATTGCCTTTGTGCAGAGCCAGCACCAGGGCCAGGGGAGGCCTTGGGATTGTCCCTCCCCAACAATCTGTGAAACAATCCTTTATGTCACCAACAAAGCACAGCCTTCTGCACTGGTGGTCAGTCCCTCTCAACACCTCTGTCACTGTAAAGCTGGCAGGCAACCCTCCAAGGTTGGCCTTCCCAAGCACTGCACCTCTAGGTGACAGAGCACGTCCTTACCTTGAAGCCTGGGCGCCCAGTCTATCCTGTCCAATGAGCGAGCTGTGGAGAAGGGGGGATTCCGGGTTAAGGGGAGACTAGCAGGGCTCCTGCTTTTATGTTGCCCTGTTGGGAAGGCTATTAAAGAAACACAAAGTGCTAAGCAGTGAGGATAGAACATGTTTTCATTATTTCAACCAATACATTCCACAGATGGAATAATAAGAAATGCTACAACCAAGCTAACTGAATCCAACAGCATATCAAAAAGATAATCCACCATGATTCAAGTGGGTTTCATACTAGGGATGCAGGGATGGTTTAACATACGCAAGTCAATAAATGTGATACATCACATCAATAAAACTAAAAACAAAAATCACATGATAATCTGAATAGATGCAGAAAAAGCCTTTGACAAAATCCAGCATTTCTTTATGATTAAAACCGTTCGTCAAAATCAGCATAGAACGGACATACCTTAAGGTAATAAAAGCTATCTATGACAAACCCACAGCCAACATTTTCCTGAATGGGGGAGAGTTGAAAGCATTCCCCCTGAGGAAGGGAACAAGACAAAGATGCCCACGTTCACCGCTTCTCAACACAGTGCTGTTCACTACAGCATTGGTTATAAGAGCAAGACTGGAAACAGAACAAACGGATACCCATAGCGGGGTGCTTAAGTAATTTTGGGAATAGTCATGGGGTGCAGTACTTTATAGCTCTGAAACAATACAATGGATTTACATTTGAAATGTGGAATGATAACTAAGGTGCATTGCCCAGTGATATATGCAGAGGTGCAGAGGACTTTGTGTAAACACGATCACACATCAGCCTGCATTCCAGGTGCATGCTTCTATTTGCACATAGATTGCAGGGATGATATGCAAACAAAAATGTTGACTTGGTGTTTGGAAGTTCAGAGTGGAAGGGAAACTTCCTTGCTAACCTTTTATGATATTTAGAGTTTCTAAATGTGAATACGTAATACATTTAGAAATCTTAGTTAATAAGAAAAGCCTCTGTTCCTGGCCTCTTGCTGGCACATGTCAGGTGGAAATGGGGCTGTCATGCTAATGTGTGCAAACTGAGAAAAATCCAAGAATGGGAGTCTGCTTTTTTCATCATACAAATAATTGTTAATAGAAACAGTATGATAATTGCTCATTGATATACCATGCATATTCTATTAGATAATAATAAATTTCTGAAATTTGAACTATACTTACACATGGAAATTGAAATATATGGATGAAACATTGTGGCTTATATAGGCAATTGTTTTATTGGCATTTTACAAACTGATCATCATTCCTCATGGCACGGGTCCATGTGATATTAAGTAGCTTGTTATGCTTGGGAAAGGCAGTGATGACCACAAGAATGACTTCAACTACTAAAGTACAATGGAGATTTCAACAATGTTTTGTTTAATATTTAAATATTTCATTGTGCTCCCAGGCTTTTTCTCACCCTAATAGCTCTCATCCATATCATGTGGGTCCCATTAATACAGATACTTCCGAATGCACCACTCTTCCATTATATCCAGTCAATTGCTGGTTACCTTGGGCCTACCAACTGGGGGAGGGCAGGGGCTGCTGGCCACCTCCTCATCTACAGTAAGAGTCAATGAGCAGTTAAATGGATACTGAAAACCATTTATCCTGCTGGAGTGAGAAATAAATGGTTTCTTTCAATAGCGTAGTAAAATGCATCTTTTCCAAACTATTTATATGACTCAAGGCCCATCTCAATTTCAGATGTGGTTAGCCTCAATTCCTGATTCTCACCAAGGTGTGTAATGTCATCCACGGCCCAGTGCAGAGGAACACAGGTGCTGCCGTCAGACTGCCAGGGTCCGATCCCGCCTCCTCACTCACCCCGGGAGATCCCTTTAAGCCAGGAGTCAACAGTGAGGATGGAAACATGAGTGCTTTTTAAAGTCCTGAAAGTTCAGAGGCAGACTGTCAATTTCTCCTCCACCCCTGGGCACACACCAGGAGAACTCTGTCTCCAGGTTGAAGGAAGTGCCTGTGAGAGAGTTGTGTCCCTCAGATTCTGTTCACCACAGGTGACACTCGATGCAACCCCAAACCTCTTCTGCACAATCCCAAGGGGTGCTGACTAATCCAACCCAAAGGCTGTGATGTTTGGCAGAGGCAGAAAAGAAAAGGCCAGGTGTTCTGGGAAAGACCACCTTTAAATATCACAGCACCCTCATAGCCCAGAGAGACAGTTCTAACTATTATGCCAATAAACCCGGAAAAGACCAAATCCAATATGACACATATTTCCTGTTTCCTTTTGATTTCATGCCCCCTCCCTTAACCTCCCAAGCAGCATGGATACCCCGAAGGCCCCTGGGAACTCTCTCCAATTGGATCTTACGTGGAAAGTAGTTACCTACCTACAAATCCCCATCATCAGATATGCTCTCCACAATCAAATCTTTAGAAACACAAACACCAGGATAAGTCATTAGAGAGAGGCCCACCCACTCCTCCCACCCTAGCTGAAGCCATGGTGCTTCGCACAGGATCCCCTGGTGTTTCCTCTGGGCTCACAGATATCCCTACAGCCTCTCTGGACATTGTTTTATACTTGCAAAATCATTTGCTCTCACCAGACTCCAAATCCTCCTTCCCAAAAGGAGCCCAGAATCAGGTTTCTGTACCCTAGAGATGGCGTTTTTTCCTCAGGAAGTGAGTTATTTCAGGGTAGGTATCATTCTCCAGTGTCAATGGCTCCTGCAATTATAGAAAAGAAAACATTAGGAGGGTGAAATGATGCCATACACGTCACACAGATCTGATAGTCTCTCGACAACTTGAGAGAGAAAATAAGAAGGGGTATAGTGATTGAGTCAAAGGTCAAAGTCCCCCAAAACTGGCACGGAAGACACCTGTGGAAAAGACAAGACCTTTTCCCACAGAATTTATCTTTAAAGTGTATCTAGATTGGCAGTTTCACAACTCTTAATCCATGGGGGAAAACTGCTGTGGAGGGAAACACCTCTGCATTGCAGTGGATCGTGGATGCTGCCATCTACCACACCCCAGTGTGCCTGGCATGGGTTGGTGAGAGGCTGCCAATCAATAGCACCACACCAAGGGAATTGCAGATGTCATAAATAGTCCACATTGGCAGATGTTCATGTCTACATTTGATTAAACTGCAGATGACATCGATAATGCACACTGGCAGATGTTCATGTCTACATCTGATTGGAAAGAAGCCAGGAAAGTAACATTTCTGTTCAAGACAAAGAAAAGTGTCTTACATTGGCAGCATCTTCTTTTTTACAGATGTCTTGTACAGTGTCCTCATTAGCAATGTCATATACAGCGTCCTTATTAGCGAATTCGTATACAGCATCCTCATTAGCGATGCCATATACAGCGTCCTCATTAGCGATGTTGTATACAGCGTCCTCATTAGTGATGTCGTATAGAGCGTCCTCATTAGCGATGTCATATACAATGTCCTCATTAGCGATGTCATATACAGCAACCTCATTCGCTATGTCTTGTAAAGCATCCTCATTAGCGATGTCATATACAACGTCCTCATTAGCGATGTCGTATACAGCGTCCTCGTTAGTGATGTCTTGTACGGTGTCCTTATAAGCAATGTCGTCTACAGCGTCCTTGTTAGCATGCCTTGTGGGTGTCATTAGCGATGTCATATAGAGCATCCTCATTGGTGATGTCTTATATGGTGTCCTCATTAGCGATGTTGTGTACAGCGTCCTCGTTAGCAATGCCTTGTACAGTGTCCTCGTTAGCAATGTCATATACAGTGTCCTCATTAGCGATGGCTTGTACACTGTCCTCATTAGCGATGTTGTGTACAGCATCCTTGTTAGCGTGCCTTGTACGGTGTCATTAGCGATGTCGTATACAGCGTCATAATTAGCGATGTCTTATAAGGTGTCATCATTAGTGATGTTGTGTACAGCGTCATCGTTAGCGATGCCTTGTATGGTGTCCTCATTAGCGATGTCGTATACAGCGTGCTCACTAGCGATGTCTTTTTTTTATATATATACTTTAAGTTTTAGGGTACATGTGCACATTGTGCAGGTTAGTTACATATGTATACATGTGCCACGCTGGTGCGCTGCACCCACTAACTCATCATCTAGCATTAGGTATATCTCCCGATGCTATCCCTCCCCCCTCCCCCCACCCCACAACAGTCCCCAGAATGTGATATTCCCCTTCCTGTGTCCATGTGATCTCATTGTTCAATTCCCACCTATGAGTGAGAATATGCGGTGTTTGGTTTTTTGTTCTTGCGATAGTTACTAGCGATGTCTTATACGCTGTCCTCATTAGCAATGTCGTGTACAGCGTCCACGTTAGCGTGCCTTGTCGGTATCATTAGCAATGTCGTATAAAGCGCCCTCATTGGTGATGTCTTGTACGGTGCCGTCATTAGCGATGTTGTGTACAGTGTCCTTGTTAGCGACGGCTTGTATGGTGTCCTCGTTAGCGATGTCGTATACAGCGTCCTCATTACCGATGCCTTGTATGGTGTCCTCATTAGCGATGTCGTGTACAGCGTCCTCGTTAGCGTGCCTTGTACGGTGTCATTAGCGATGTCATATACGGCACCCTCATTAGCGATGTCGTATACGGAGTCCTCATTAGCGATGCCGTGCACGGCATCCTCGTTAGCAATGCCGTGGGCAGCGTCCTCGTTGGCGATGCCATGGGTGGCGTCCTCGTTGGCGATGCCGTGGACGGCGTCCTCGTTGGCGATGCCCTGGGCGGCGTCCTCCTTGGCGATCCCGTGGGCGGCGTCCTCCTTGGCGATGCCCTGGGCGGCGTCCTCGTTGGCGATGCCCTGGGCGGCGTCCTCGTTGGCGATGCCCTGGGCGGCGACCTCGTTGGCGATGCCCTGGGCGGCATCCTCGCTGGCGATTCCGTGGGCGGCGTCCTCGTTGGCGATGCCCTGGGCGGCGTCCTCGTTGGCGATGCCCTTGTCGGCGGCCTCGTTAGCGATGCCGTGGACAGTATCCTCGTTAGCGATGTCGTGTGTGGCGTCCTGGTTAGTGATGTCATGTACGGTGTCCTCATGGGGAGCTAGAAAAACACAGAGTTAAGGTCAGTGCCCTGGTGGTGGAGACTGTGAATCACCCAGGGGCTTGCTTGGTGTGATGCATGGAGGTGGCTGATCACAGCATGGGTCAAGCTGATGCTGGGACATCCTCCCAGGTGGACCTGCACTAGTGAAGCTAAGGGATGTGGCTCAGAACACTTTCTGCAGTGGGAATCAGTTTCCAGGTTCAGGTATGCATTATCTGGTGAAGTGGGGAAATATAAAAAATAAAAATTGACAAATTCATGAAAAGCCTTCCATGAGTGCAAGTGTGAGTTTTTTATCCACTTTACATTCAGTATGCATTCACACATACAAAATATTTTTACAAGAAATCAGAAATTTTAATTTTTGTCAGTTATGTGAAATCTAACTTAGCTGCCAGCATAAAGATTCTATCTCATTTACTTGGTCTCGAGAAAATCTAGCACATAGTAAGTAGACCAAAATGTTTATTAAATGAAAACACAGAGCAGAGATAGGGGGGCTGCTAGGCAGACTGGGTTGCACCTGATTACCTGGATGATAATAAACTGCACAAAACCTCGGTCAAATTAATATTGAAACTGCCTTTTGCTTGGGCTCATTTCCCTTGCGGAAGAAGGATGACCAAGAAGATGAACAGGAAAGAAATGAGAAACAGAGGCCTTTGCTTAGTAGCTAAAGGCCACCTTCTGTAACATGAAATAGTCTACAAGTGGCCTTGAACTCTGCCGTGATTTAGTGACAGAGTTCCCTCATGTCTTCTACCCAGGTTGAAGTCCAGCAAAATTGCGACTGTCCTCTTTACAACTTGCGAGACCACACTGCTTCTGCATTTGCCTGTTGTATGTATGAGATTTACACTTGTTTTAGAGCAACATTTTGTTTCAGTTGGGCTGGTGGCCATACCCGGCACTAGCCGGTCAATAGTGAGATGGCTCCTCATGGAGGAGGCTTGGCTTGAGGCTGAGGGTCTTTAACCCACATATACAAGAGAGTTGCCACTAAGGGATGGAAGCCAGGCTAATAACCAAGTGCCACACAGAGTTCCTATCTGTCCCTCCTCACCATTTTTGGCTGGCAGGATTTGAGCATTTTAGGGCTTGGGAAGATAGTATTACTAAATCTACTAAAGTACATCACCCATCCTTATAGACTTTGGCCAGTTGCTGAGCAAATTAACTTCACAACTGAAGTGGGCCACACTGGCCTTTGTGGTCCCCCACTCCTCTTAGAATTTGTGAGCGTGGGGCCTACTGGAGGGTGGGAGGTGGGAGGAGGGGGTGGATCAGGAAAAATAACTGATATTAGGCTCAATATATGGGTGATGCAATAATCTGTACAACAAACTCTCATGACACACATTTATATATGTAGCAAACCTGCACATCCTGCACATGTACCCCTGAACTGAAAAGTTAAATAAAAAAAAGGGATCTGTGAGCTGAGCCAAACACCTGGGGATCTTTGTGCTTTTGACACACTGATGACTATGCCGGTCCGTGGGGAGATGAGCCTATAACTGCCCTGGGTTGTGTGACCACGGAGGCCACTTTATGATGATGGGCAGTGTCTGGGGCCTCTTGGGCTCGTTGCTTTAGGGCTTATACATGAATGCTGGACTCCCTGTGTGGTGGTGAACACCCCATGACTAAGTGCATGTCAGCGTCAGCACTGGCCCACACTCCTGGGTTCGTGTTTTCACTGTTTCATTCAGGAACTCGGGAGCTGGGGCCACTCCCTTGGCCCTTCAGGTTCTCCACCTGAGCAGTGGGGATAATAAGGCAGACCCGGGGATGGCTCTGGTGAGGGTGGAGGAGTCACTGTACAGAGAGAGTAGAGCGGGGGTGGATTTTATTGTTAGAAGTGGACACTGGTGATTGGGTTGTATAAGTGGGAAATCTCTCCTGAGAAAACACACAGCCTCACCTGTACAGAAACACACACATTCACACCACACGATGCAGCCTCACACAAGACACCACCAATCCTCAAGCACCCAACTCAGCACCACCCAAAAGGGAGCACAGCTGCTTCCTCAAAATTTGGCCATAATTTTTCCCTGGGGAATTCAGGTTTTAAAAAAACACTTCCCCTATACTTATTCCTATCACAATCCCAGGATCAGGGAGGCTCTTCACATTGAAACCAGGCAAGGATGCCACACCTTTCTTGGCATCCAGATTGTTTTCTTGGCAAGTGATTCCAGAATACTTACTAGATTCAAGCCTCAGAGGGGCCACCTGCACCACCTGCAATACAGAAACAAAGCTTTTTGAGGGGTATGTCATGTTGTGGATTGTTTGCACAAGGCTCTGTTTCTCTCAATGAATACTGAAAACTTGATCAGAAAGTGTAGTCAACTTCAAGGCCTCCAAAACAAGAGTAGGATACACACTGGAAAAGACATCAGCTTCTGGATGGTGGATCTCTCAGGTCCACGTAGGTTGGCAAGTGCAAAATACTGAATCCAAGGAGAAGACATTGCTTCCAAGGACAAGGACCCCAAGGATACAGTCTACAACCTGAAGCCGTCATAGCTAAATGCCATTTTGGATTACATATCAGTTGCTAAGAGTCACTTCTTCCTCCCCCTCAGAAAACTGCATTTAATACCTGTCATGGACATTGTCATTTTTTCACATGTAAAGTCAGTTGAAAAAGAAAGACACCAAGAAAGGAACATTTCTATTTCAGAGAAAGCAAGGCAACCTTACCCTCGCGTTGACTGGCCTCTCTCCATCTCCTCTGTCCTTGTGAACTAGAGACTCCTCAGAGGCTAGGAGGACACAGAGCAACAGTTAGTCATAGATGCTTTTGTTCATGAGTTATTCAGGGAGCTCTGCTTAATGTGGACAACAGGACAGTGTGTGTGGATGTGTTTCATTAAAAGCACAGCTTGAGCTCCTGCTAGAAAATCTTCCCTCGTGGAAAGACAGGCAAGAACGAGGAGCTAAGGAGCGAGAAATAGAGTCCCTGGCATTTTGCTGATGGCAACTTAAGAAAATGGGAATGAGTCAGTCTACAAATGGTACTGAAGCACATGCTATAGTTTGATGAGAGTCCCACTGCTCACACTGTGAGGTTTGAAACCCAGCTAAATGGTTTTCTAAACCTGTAAAAACAATATTAGCTTGCAGGATTTATGTCCCAAGACTACTTTTACCTCTGAGGATCCACAGTGGCTGTCACTGCAGTTATGTGTTTTAGCATTTTGCACTTGAATAAAAGCAAAGTTTAATAGATAGATTGGATTCAATTCTAGGCAAAACAGTCTATGGTATTTATTCACTAATCCTTTGTTATAACTGCTGATGGGAGAATTAGAAGTACTGAAATTATATCCTTTAAAATTAATTAAAGCATAATTATTAATCACACAATATTTTTTCATCCAGGCCTCCTTTTCTTTGTCATGCATGCATATTAATTGAGGATGGAGAATATCTACGCTTGTTCAGGCCAGCCAACATACGACAGTTTACTTCAAGAGAGGAGACATGGGTTGAATGCTGGTGTGTTTTAACTCTGCAGTGCAAACAGCTGCAACAAGTGTGGTGAACTAAACACCAGATGGCCCTTTGCTGCCTTATTTGTCATTGTGCCTTACATGTAGCTTGCAGGATTTGATTACGCTTATGTTTTGTGGTGATCATACTTTCAACTATTCCTAAAATACTGCTTCAGTCTTATCTGTTTGGGGTCAACTGCCGAGGATTTCATACAAATTAATGAAGTTTGTGAATCTAAAGTTCTACACAAAGGTGGAAATATTTGCAAATCATTTATCTTGTAAGAGACTAAAATTTAGAATATATTTTAAATATATTTAAGATATATTCAAAAATCTACAGCAACAAACTAACTAAATAAAAATCAGACAACTCTTTAAAAATGGGCAAAAGACTTCAACATATATTTCCCTAAAGAAGATACAGCCACAGATAGTAGCACAGGAAAAGCTGCTCAGGATCATTAGTCATTAGGGAAATGCAAATGAAAAACACAAGCAGCCACCAATATACACCTACTAGGATGATTTAAAGGAAAATAAGTGTGAAGAAGGACGTAAAGAAATTGTAACCCTGATACATTGATGGTAGAAATGGATAAAGTTGCAGCCACTGTGAAAAACAGTCTGCAGTGGCTCAGAAGGTTAAATATAGAACCCCTGTTGGACCCAGGAACTCTATTCTTAGGCACCCCAAAGAATAGAGAACAGAAATCAAACAGATGTTTGTATACTAATGTTTGCAGCATCACTTTTCACAGGAGCCAAAAGGTGGAAATAATCCAACCATCAGTGAACAAATGAATGTAACAAAAGCAAGGTGGTCTGCATGCAATGCTACATCATCCATCTGTAAAAAACGAACATCATTTTGATAGATGATACAACATGGGTGGACATTGAGAACATTATGCTTAGTGAAATAAGCCAGACACAAAAGGAATATATTGTATAATTGTAATTACATGAAGTGCCTAGAATAGTCAAATTCATACAAGAGAAAGTGGGATAGGAATCACCATGGGCTGGAAATAGGGGGAAGGTGCTATATTGCTTATTGTGGACAAGGTTTTGTAAGAAATCATCAAAATTGTGGGTGTAGATAGTGGTGTTGGTTATGCAACCCTGTGAATATATTGAATGCCATGGAGTGCACACTTTGGTTAAAAGGTTCAAATGATAAATATTGTGTTATATATATTTCCCCACGATAGAAAACACGCACAGCCAAGCCCAGATGCCAGTCTTGTTAGCTGCCTTCCTTTACCTTCAAGAGTGGGCTGAAGCTTGTCCAATCTTTCAAGATTGCTGAAGACTGTATGATGGAAGTCATCTGCATTGGGAAAGAAATTAATGGAGAGAGGAGAAAATTTGAGAATCCACAGTACTCACCCTGCAGGGCCAAGAACTCTGTCTCCCATGCTTTGCTGTCCTGTCTCAGTATTTCCTGTGACCACCTCCTTTTTCAACTGAAGACTTTGCACCTGAAGGGGTTCCCAGGTTTTTCACCTCGGCCCTTGTCAGGACTGATCCTCTCAACTACTGACCATTTCACCTCCATTCATGTCCATGCCACATCAGGCTGTGTTGTCTAGATGGAATGAATCCACCCCAAATGTCCCTTTCTGGAGGAAGCCACCATTATGCTGTACCTCCAAGCATAATGGTACGTCCACACACACCAAGGCACCTCGCTCATGCAAGGTGTGTGTCCTCTAACAAAGTTTCACGCTCTAAACCCAGATAACTTTTGAAACCCAAGTTCTGTTGATTCCCCTACTTTGGGTGCTCCATAGATGCTCATTTGTCTACTAAACACTGCCCCAGGCAATTAAATATTCCAAAGTGACCAGCAGAATTTTTATGTTAATTCTGACATTGCGTTGTTAGTACAAGTGTTTTTCCCCCTTCAAATTTATGTCTTTGTTACTGATAAATGTAACTGATAATGCGTTTTTCAGCTATGTTGCCAAGCATATTTATATAAAAATATACTCAGATTGTTTTCAGAATTTGACAAAGATGATAGCAACAATGATAATCTTATTTGTTTTATACCAATCTTTATGTGTTACTTTCATCATTTCTTACATATTGGGGCCTACCATACATTGTACGGTGAAATTAGTGCTATGCATCATGGTAGAAATATAAATTGGCAAAAGTAATTTAGAAAATAGTTCCCTTCTTTCTTAAAAAAATTAGGCTGGGTGTGGTGGCTCATGCCTATAATCCCAGCACTTTGGGAGGCAGAGATGGGTGGATCACCTGAGGCTAGGAGTTTGAGACTAGCCTGACCAACACAGCAAAATCCTGTCTCTCCTGAAAATACAAAAATTATCCAGGCATGGTGGCGTGTGCCAGTTGTCCCAGCTACTCGGGAGGTTGAGGCACGAGAATTGCTTAAACCTGGGAGGTGGAGGTTCCAGTGAGCCGAGATTGTGCCACTGCACTCCAGCCTGGGTCTCAGAAAAAAAAAAATTTTTTTGACCAAAATGTCATTATGCATTACATGACTGTATATGAATGCTCAAAGCTACATTACTCATCAAAGAAAATAACAAAACAATTAAATGTCCATTAACTGATAAATGAATAAACACTATCTGTATGAGTAAACACAGCAGACTATGAAGGAAAACACATGACCAGCACGTGCTAACACGTCAATTAACTTCAAACATAGTATGCTAAATGAAGGAAGTCAGATTCCAAATATATATATATGTCCATTTCTATTAAGCAAATGGGAAATTTATGGAGATGGAATGTCACAGCAGTATTGCTTAGGGCTGGAGATGGGAGTGGGGATTAACTGCCAGTGCGCAAGAGAGAACTTGGGTGAGGGAAACATATTTAAATTAGATCGTGGTGATGGGTGCACACAGTATCAATTTAATAAAGCATCAAATTGTAGACCTTTTCAGTGGGCAAACTTTATGGTGGGTTCACACCCAATATAGGTGTTAAAAATAAATTAATGTTACGGAAATTCTTGTCGGGTTTTTAACAAGCCAAGAGATATGCTGTGAAAGCAGCATTAATTCAAATGGTTGTCACAGGTCACTTAAAGTTAGATAGTTGTCCTACAAATATAGGGTGAATGTTATTCATGAATTTCCTGAATCTATTGCAATAATCACATTTTTTTCCATTAAACTCTTGAGGTAGCTAATTTTATTTATTGCATTTTCAATGTTAATCTACTATTTCATATATTGAGATTAACTCACATTAGTCAGAATTTACAGTATTTTAAAATATCACAGAATTTAATTTACCTTATCTGGTTTTGGTTTCAAGACTATACTAGCCATTTCATTTAATTGTACATGTAGGGTATTCTAATTTATGGAAAACTATTACATCTTCCTTGATTTTTTTTTTTTTTTAGAAATTACTTCTAGGGATCTATATGGTAGAGTCCATGGAGAATTGTTTTAATTCTTCATTCATGTCTTCAGTGGGTATAGGATTGGTCATATTGGTCATAGTTTTCTGCTCGGATTTCAATAAGAAACTTGTGGAAGAACCTGAAGGGTGGGATCTTTGAGGGAGCCTAAGACAGAGCAAGACAAGCTAAGAAGGAGGGCAGTGCCACAGCAGAACTGCCATTGATGCCCCCTCGCCTAGATTGCGGAAGAGACATCCAGCTGTAGACACTGAGGTGCAGGAAAACAATGGAGCACCATCAGAGAAAGCAGTGCCCAGGAACAAGGAGGCACTGATGGTGGCAAGGGGCAAAGACAGCTGCCACGAGGCTGTTCACATGAGGGTCTCAGGCTGCATAGACACCCACACCAGCTGAGGGGTCCTGGTTTTCATAAAGTGTGTGGCTCAGCCAGGCCACCAACAAGCAGTTCACAAACAGTAGTAATACGACACTTTCCAAAGACCTTACTTGAGTAACACGGTGATCCTCACAAATTTCCAATCAGGATGGTCGCACAGTTCCTCCTGCTTTAGGACTCAGAGCCTGCCCGTGGTCACAGTGGGTAGGTGCAGACTCTGAAGATGCACTTTGGTCAGAGACCCTGCTGAACTCTGTCTAATGAGGACCTCTGTCCTGTCTGCTGACCACCGGTCAGAGGTGCAGGCTGCAGTGGGGAGTAAGAATGCCACCTTCTCAATGTTGGGAAAACTCCCTGCCAGAACTGAGAATGGCCCTTTCTAAGCAGAAGGCAAGCTCAGACTAAAGAAGGAGGCCGAACACATCAGGTTGGCAGATTGCCAAAGATTCACTCAGGGAGAGCCCACATCCTGGGCCATCTTGGGTGGTGGCAAGATGAGGTAGACGACTGCTTTTGCAACACACACCTGACAACAAAAAATCAACAACTGTAAAAGAGCCACAAAATCCCCAAATATTTGCAAATTAGCAATGCACTTTTAAATAACTGTTGGGTTAAAGAAGAAGTCTCAATAGAAAATTAAAAGTACTTTTAACTACATTAAAAGAAAATGTGACTTGGCAAGATTTCTGGATGTAGCAAAAGCAGTCCTTAGAGGGAAATCTATAGCATTGGATGCAATATACTAAAAATCACAAGACCTAAAATCAGTAATATCATGTTTCAATTAGGGAACTATAGAAAATAGAGGAATGCAATGGAAAGCAAGTAAAAGTAATAAACAACATCACAGAAATCAATAAAATTAAAACACTGAAATCATCAGAAAATCAATAAAACCAAAAGCTGGTTCTTTGATATGCTCATTACAATGAATGAATTGATATGCAGGCTAACCAAGAAAAAGAAGATAACACAAATGACCAATTTCAGAAATAAAAGAGGAGCCATCTCTACTGAACTGTTAGGCATTAAAAGGAATATCATGAACAGTTCTATGAGCGCAGTTTGATAACCTCAGTGAAATGTATCAATTCCTTGAAAGGCAATCTTCCCAAGGTCATGCTAGGATCCTAATTTGAATAAACTTATGTCTATTAAATAAGTTGAATTCACATTAAGAGCATTCCGAAAAAGAAAGCACCAGGCCCAGATGGTTTCTCTCATGAAATCTACCGAATTCTTCAACAGGTGAATAAAAAGACAAAAATTCATTTAATGCAATATTATTTGGTGATTTAATGTGCCATTTTTTGCCATTAAGGCATAAAAAAGACATGAAAGCAGCTAAAGCGTACATCAATTTAGTGCAATAAATTCATCTGAAAAAACTACATAATATATGATTCCAACTATATGACATTCTGGAAAAGGCAAAGCTGAAGCGATAGTAAAAATATTAATAGTTGCCAAGGTTTCTGGAGAAAGAGGACAGAGATTAATGAGAAGAGAGGATTTTTAGGGAAGTGAACATTTTCTTTATGAGACCATAAGGGTGAACATAATGTTTTAAATATTTCAAAATTCATATATATGTATAACAGAAAGAATGAACATTATGCAAATGCAGACTTCAGATAATAATGTGTCAATATTTTCTCATTATTCTAGCAAATGTACCACAGTAATGTAAGATGTTACTAATAGGTGAAATTAGGAAGTGAGGGTGAGGAGACAGAATAATATGGGAACTTCGTGTATTATATACTCAATTTTTATTTATTTATTTATTTATTTATTTATTTATTTATTTTGAGATGGAGTTTCACTCTTGTCACCCAGGCTGGAGTGCAATGGCATGATCTTGGCTCACTGCAACCTCTGCCTCCCGGGTTCAAGCGATTCTCCTGCCTCAGCCTCCTGAGTAGCTGGGATTACAGGCGCCTGCCACCACACCCGGCTAATTTTTTTGGATTTTTAGTAGAGATGGGGTTTCACCATGTTGGCCAGGCTGGTCTCCAACTCCTGACCTCAGATGATCCGCCTGCCTTGGCCTCCTAAAGTGCTGGGATTATAAGTGTGAGCCACCACACACGGCCATATGCTCAGTTTTTATGTCAATTTAAAACTCTCTAAAGAAATATATTAATTGAAAAATAATAATATAGCACCACTCTTTCAGGGAGATCTATGCTTATGTTTAACAACCAGGTAAGTTCTAGACATTAGCTTGAAACATTGTCTATCATTAAACATGAACCAAAATTGACTTTTAAGTAGATATTTACTTTTGTGGTGGTAGCAATATTTACTGACCAGGCAAATTAGAATCCTGACACATTAAAAAATATGGCTTAGTCTCTTCATAGTTTCCTCTTACATATGGGACACTGAATACTCCCCGCAACTGCAATTCTTGAATCAACTTAATTAATGAACTTCCACAGTACCTTCTTGTGGGTACCTCTTCTTCTTTACCCGGGAGCCATGAGGTCTCCTACACTGGTTGGTGTGCACAGCATATCTTCTTATATTCTCTATCAGAGAAGATGCTGGTTAATGCATTTACAATAGATAGGGCTGTTGACATCTTGCTGACAGAGGACCAGAGGGAAAATAGTGATAATCTGTTCTAAGTTTAAACTTATGATCCTTTTCTTTACAGGCTTCCAAGCAGAGCCCACTGAATCAAAGTTGGGTTTCAGGAAGATCACGGAGTTCAGTGAGCACTCAACACCTCTATCAGACAGACTGCGTGGGCAGTGCCTTCCTGGAGAGGAGAATACAGCAGGATGACTGTGAGTGCAGGGCTGGTGCAGAGTAGGGGCCCGGATTCAAATTCCACTAAGCCATGTGGACCTGGCAAGCTCATGTCCTCCCTCTGCCCTCAGTTCTCTGCACTGTCATAATGTAATTTTAGCAATACTTTTTAGGCCCTATTTAGGCCCTACTTCTTAGTATCACAGTACAGGGCTAAAAAATCACTAAATACAGGAAAACCTTAGAGAGGACTGGTACTTCAGTAATGTTCTCTAAGTGTTTACTACAGGCCAGGAGGAATAAGCTGGACACTCAGCAGTGGCGGAATATGGAGGGGGAACTTGGATGGCTCCGGGGCAGTGGAGCATGCTTTCCTGTTCGGCTTTTCCGTGGGCATGATGCCTTATGGTTTATGGAGAACATCAGCCCTGCAGGGGGTGCAGAGGAGGGGCTGTGGCTGAGATTTTACACTTGAGGGTGCTGACATTCAGAGATGATAAGTGACGAGCAGAACCTCAACCCCGCTGAGTGAAGGACCTGAGATGGGAAATGTATTTGGTTCCCTAGAGAGAGAGATTCCTGAAAAACTGCCACCTCTTCATCACGCCCTGTGCCAGAGACCCAAGAGACCCCTCACTGTTTTTCTCCAGTCCTCCTAGCCCAAGGTGTGTGGGTGGACAAAGGTGATGCTCTGGAGGAAATGCCTGAGATAAGGACAGGTCCTTAATGATAAAGAATTCTCCTTCCTCTTTCAGATCCTTGACCTCCCAGTATGACAGCTTAAAGGCTGTCATCTCTGTGGCCTGCCTCCCCTTTCCCTTCACCCTGCCAGCTGCCTCTCAGTGACTGTCTCCTCCAGTGACTACACTGAGGGACCAGGGACTGCTTGCCTCCCGAGGCTGCTCAGACCTTCCGACACTGCAAAATGATTGTCAAAAGATGGGTCTGCAAAGAGTAACTTCCCTTCCACTGATCAAACCTGAATATGCAAGCTACTGTGAATTAACTGGAAAAGTGGCCGTGTGGGCTGGTGCTTTGGTGATTTAATGAATTAAGTCTGCAACCCCCACTGCCTCCTTGACTATTGATCAGAGCTGCCTGCAATAAGGTCTGGCTAAGAATGGGCAGTGGCTGCACCAGCTCTGGGTAAAATTTGACCTAAAATGACCAGTCTCATTCACTAACCTCACCATAGTCTTATGGGTTCAATGGACCTGTCCAATCCTTTGCTCTGTTCTCTCCATCACCTTCCTGTGTAATTTTCCTCCACCACGCACATAAGAGAAACATGGCACAGGGGAGCTAATCGCCTCTTTTATCCCCCACTTCAGGCTCACACGTAAGTTTATAGTAAAAGCCTTTTCAAATGACTGCTTTAACTGCTGCTACAGCATGTGTCATCAGTTGAATGGAATCTGTCACGTGACTTTAAGCAACCCTTTGCTGAGAGACAAGATTCAATACTAGGGACAGTATTCTAGTGTACTACATCATTGATTTTATGTTATGAAGATCATCATTTATTGAAAATGTATAAATAATGAAGCCCAGCCTTACTCTTCAACGCTGTGTGTGTAAATCCACTGAGTGTGCTGACCCCCACGCTTGTACCCACCTGCTAACACAGAAAGGGTCCACTCAGAAGGCAGGCACAGCTCCAGCACTGAGGCTGTCCACACCAGCTTCACAAGAGGGTTGCCACAAGGACGACGGATACCCGGATAACAACCAAATGGTAATTTGAGTACTTAATGGTCATGATCCCTAAAGTGTGTAGCTCAGAGGGCTTGTGGTGATAACTCCATCAAGACTCTAAAGCATCTCCCCAATTCTTACTGGACTTGATCCATGTCTTGAGGAGACCCAGCTATGACACGCAGGCACCACGTTGTCCTACTTAGTGCCTCCCTTAGTGTTTCAGAACCTGTGATTTGATCAGAAACATGGGCTTTCTATGTTGGTTTCACACTAAGGACTATGTGACACCTGCAGGAAGATGTCTACATAGCTACCTGGATTATGAGATCATGAGGCTGTCTTATGTGAGGGATGGCGTTTGGGATCTCTGCAGGCGTGGGTAATTCCAGGCATAGAGGGTGCTGGAACTCCCTTGCATGGTGAATAGTGATCTCTTCACTGGCTGATAAATAGTGGTTGTAGTTCAGGCCTTCAACATTAGCACCGTATGAGGAAACATTTTGACTCTTCACTATGCAGCAAGTGAACCAGGGCACATTTATTTATGTGGCTTAGTTTCTCCATCTGGCATGTGGGCTCAATAAACAAGCTCACAACATATGGGCATGATGATGATGAGGTGTGAACTAATGTAAGTAAAGTATGTGGTCTGATTTGTTAAATTAAGAAACATGGCACTGAGAGTTGTGCTGGGTAAACACAACATTTTTTTCCTAGGGGAAACACACATAGACACACATTCACAAGCAAATCATGCAGACTTGCACACAGACCACCTCACCCCACCCCCGCCCTAATACACACATACCCACACACAACCTAATGTGAACATGTTCCCAGAAACTATACATAGATAAAAAGAGTATGTCACCAGGAAAACCAGTTTCTTTTACTATACCCTACATCCTCATTCCCACCAGATGTCTTGGATCATGGAGGCTCTCCAGACAAAAGCCAGCAGTTAAGCTCCAGATTTCCTGTAGAATCCTTTTCTAACAACCAGTGAGTGATTCCAGAATACGTACCATTGAATGTGCTCCCTGAAGTCACCTGTAATTAGAGAAGGAAAACACTCTGAGAATCAGGCTATGCTATGGATGGCTCACACAGGTCTTTTGTTCACTTGGAAACTCTGGGTAACCAAGACTGGAAATAAGGTTCAAGTCAAAAGCCCCAACTCTAGAGTAGAGTTGCCTTAGGAAAGCACAGGAGCTTTTGTTGAAGAATGTTTCTGTCTAGGTAATTTTTGAGTAGCAATTGCAGAATTCTTATCTAAAGTGGAAAGCTTGTTCCTGAAGAAAACATCCCTTAACACCCAGTGTACTATCTGACACTGCCAATTTTGCACGTCCTCTGGAATCAGGTGTCAGTTGGTAAAATACACCTCCTCCATCCCCAAGGAAATATTATCTAACACCTATAATGTAGTGGAGAATTTTCCCATAGCTGATATCAACTGAAAAATAAAGGATCCAAGAAAACAACATTTACATCTTAGGCAAAGACAGGCTACTTTACCTTGGTAGTAGAGTAGGGCTTCCTTTTCACACGCTTTTTGGAAGGCTTCTTCGAGTCACCTAGGGGATGTGGAGGGACACAGCATGGCTGTCAGTTCATTGGCAGTGCTACTCATGAATGACTCAGGGACTGGAACTTAGGGGCGTGCCTGGTTAACAAGCATGGAATGAGCTTCTCCTGGACCATCTTCTTCACGGACCAAGGAAGGCAAAGAAAGAGCAGCAAGGAAATGAGAGTAGAGCCCTTGGCTTTCCAGGTAATGGCAAATGAAAGCAACGTGAAATAATCAACTCCAAATGAACAAATGCTAAAACACATGCTACGATTCAACCACAGCATCCTGTCACTTCTTCAGACCCTTTAAAAGCCCAGCAGGACTGCCACTACCTTCTTGACATCGACCAAGTCCCTTTCAACCTCCACAGACCCACATACACTGCTACTGCATTTATCATGGAGGGTATAGGGTTCTGCCCTGTTTATGTGTGAATTTTTTAAAAACTAGATTTAATACCATGCACCAGCATTAATTGTATTTATTTCTTTTCTTGGTTATGAAAATAATCAGTCAGGCATAGTGGCTCACACCTGTAATCCCAGCAGTTTGGAAGGTGGAGGTGGGTGGATCATTTGAGGTCAGGAGTTCGAGACCAGCCTGACCAACATGGTAAAACCCCATCATTGAAGATAAATGTTTTATATCCATGGTTAACAGATGAGATGACCATGAAATGAACACCAGTGTACTGGGTGGAGCAGCTTATCTATTCAGTCTTCGGCACTAAAACCTGTGAAACAATATCATCTTGCCTTATTTACTAACAAATACAAGTGCCTCTAAACTTAGACAGTTTCCAAGTCATGGAACTGATGAGCACTTAGCTCCTGCAGAGAGCTCTGGATGATGGGTCGGGAGAACAAAGACACAATACATCAAAACAGCATTCACAAGTAAACAGGTTTTCAAAGCCCTCTACATGCAAATTTACACAATTATCCTTTTAATTTTTATCTTCATATATATGTACATAATCTACTTGCTTCTGAGTATAAATCAAACTGTATGTTCTTAGTTAATAGTCTCTATAAATTCACTCTATTTATCTTTCTGAGTTGAAATACTGCATCTCATTGGATAACAAAAAAAAAAATTTGACTAAGATTACACTGGAAAGGTGAGTAGGTTGGGTGATTGACTGTGATTGACAATTCCATGATTCTGGATAACTTCCAAAGCATAAAAATAAATGTGTGTTTTCTTTCACACGTAGACAATACACATGCTTATTACTTTAAAAAATTAATATGTGCATGGAAGTGACTTACTACAAATATATTAAAGTAAATACACATTTCACAAAAAAAGAAGAGAGGAAGGGAAAAACATGTTAAAAACAAAGAGAGTTACATTTTATTGTGTGAAAAGCCTCCAACGGATCCTTACTACTGTGGCTTTGTTCCAAAGTTTTGGAAAGTAATGATTTCATAGGTTCTTAATTGGGTTAAAAACAGCATTAAAATAGACTTCGCCATATTCTCCCCAGGGGAATAACTTAATCTGTGGGGTGGGGGATGGAACGTTGAAGGATGCAGGTTGAAGGATGCAGGATGTAAAAGGAAATTATATATATATTATGACATATATTATATTATATATATTATGACATATATTATATTATGACATATATTATATATGACATATATATAATATATGATAATTATATTATGTATATAATATATATTATTTATATATATTATATATATTATATATATGATATATAATTATTTATTATATATTATATATTATATAATATATAATATATAATTATATATCATATATATTATATATATAATATATATTATTTATTATATATTATATAATATATAATATATATAATATATAATTATATATTATATATTATATATTATATATTATATATAATATATAAATAATATATATTATATACATAATATATAATATATAATATATATAATATATATAATATATAATATTATACATATTATATATAATATATATTATATATACTATATATATTATATATAATATATATTATATATCCTATATATATTATATATAGTATATATATTTTATATATAATATAAAATATATATAATATATTACATATAATGTATATATTATATATAATATATATGTTATATATATTATATATTATATAAAATATATATAATATATTATATATTATATATATTATATATATATATATAAAATTTGGGAATTTGGGAATAAACGGACTCCCAATTCACACTGGGACTACACCAGCTGCCACCATGCCTGGCTAATTGATTGTATTTGTAGTAGAGACAGGGTTTCACTGTATTCGCCAGGATGGTCTTGATCTCCTCACCTTGTGATCCTCTTGCCTTGGCCTCCCAAAGTGCTGGGATTACAGGCCTGAGTCAAGATACATATTTTTTAAATGAAGAAAAATTTCAAAGATACTCTGCTTGGTACAGTAATCAAATATATAAATTGAGGAATAAAACATAATCATGAAACATATTTATAACTGCATATGGAAAATACAGAGGCTAATTTTTTAAATAACATATTTTGAAAGCATTAACTAGTAATTTGAAAAGATCGCATTTGACAGGCCAGTATGAACATACCTTGAATGCAGCCACACAGGTTCCCCATAAGAAAAATCAAAATCAGGGAAAATGAAACCACAATGGTTCAATCTGCTCTGACCTTTGAAAAACTCAGCACAGATAGTGGCACGTAGGACCAAGGGCAGGAGATCCCTAATCCCATCACCATGGTGATAGGGCATAAACATTCCAGGGTGAAGGCACAATCCACACTGTGAGGTCCAACTGCTGCCATGCAGACAGGTGGGCTTTTACAACTACAGGAAGGTCATCAAAGGCTCAGTGTTTTGTTTCAAAAACTGAATCCCAAGCCCACACATTATTATGCTGGCTTCTTAAAATAAGTTATGAGATGGGAAATAGGGCACCCAAAAATATATATATATATAATTATATATAATATAATATATAGTATATATATAATATATTTAATATATTTTTTATATATATATATATAAAATTTGGGAATTTGGGAATAAACTGAATCCCAATTCACACTGGGACTACACCAGCTGCCACCATGCCTGGCTAATTTTTTCTATTTGTAGTAGAGACAGGGTTTCACTGTATTGGCCAGGATGGTCTTGATCTCCTCACCTTGTGATCCTCTTGCCTTGGGCTCCCAAAGTGCTGGGATTACAGGCCTGAGTCAAGACACATATTTTTTAAATGAAGAAAAATTTCAAAGATACTCTGCTTGGTACAATAATCAAATATATAAATTGAGGAATAAAACATAATCATGAAACATATTTATAACTGCATATGGAAAATACAGAGGCTAATTTTTTAAATAATATATTTTGAAAGTATTAACTAGTAATTTGAAAAGATCGCATTTGACAGGCCAGTAAGAACATACCTTGAATGCAGCCACACAGGTTCCCCATAAGAAAAATCAAAATCAGGGAAAATGAAACCACAATGGTTCAATCTGCTCTGACGTTTGAAAAACTCAGCACAGATAGTGGCACTTAGGACCAAGGGCAGGAGATCCCTAATCCCATCACCATGGCGATAGGGCATAAACATTCCAGGGTGAAGGCACAATCCACACTGTGAGGTCCAACTGCTGCCATGCAGACAGGTGAGGGCTTTTACAACTACAGGAAGGTCATCAAAGGCTCAGTGTTTTGTTTCAAAAACTGAATCCCAAGCCCACACATTATTATGCTGGCTTCTTAAAATAAGTTATGAGATGGGAAATAGGGCACCCAAAAAAATATATATATATAATTATATATGACATAATATATATAATATATATAACATATATATAATTTCCTTTTACATCCTGCATCCTTATATTATATATAATATTATGTATAATATAATAGGTATTATTATATATAATATAATATATATGAATATATATAGCAATATAATATAATATATGTAATTATATATAATGATATATAATATATAATTATCTATATTATATATAATATAATATATATAATATAATATAATATATAATATATTATATTATATAGTAATATATATTATAATATATTCTATATTGTATTATATAATAATATAATATAATATATATTATATATAATATATATTATATATAATATAATATAATATATAATATAATATATAATATAATATAATATATAATATAATATAATATATAATATAATATATAACATAATATATAATATAATATATAAAATAATAATTAATATTTAAATTAATTATTATTAATTAATATTAACTAATATTAAAAATAATATAAAATACAATTAATATATCTAATATAACCTATAATTATTATATATAATATAATATACAATTATACATAATATATATAATAAAATATATATAATTATGTGTATTTATTACATATAATATAATACATAAATTATATATAATTATTACATATAATATAATATATACTTATATATAATTATTACATATAATATAATATATAATTATATATAATTATTACCTATAATATAATATATATAATTATATAATTATATATAATTATATATACAAGATAATAATACATAATATATATAATATATTATACAATATAATATATTGTATAATATATTATATAAGATATTATATATAATATGTTGTATAAAATATATATATTATATATAATATAATATTATGTATAATATAATATATAATATATATTATATTATAACATATTATACAATAATATATTATAATATAATGTATATTATAATCTAATATATTATATATTATAATCTAATATTATATATTATAATCTAATATAATATTATATATTATAATCTAATATAATATTATATTATATATAACATTATATAGTATTATATATTTTATAATAATATAATATATAATATATTATGATATATTATATATAATATTATATAATATATTATGACATATTATATATAATATATAAAATGATATATTATATATATTACATAATATATTATGATATATATTATATATTATATAATATATTATGATATATATAATATAATATAATATAATTATATGTAATATAACATTATATATCATATATTATATATTATATATCATATATTATATATCATATATTATATATTATATACCATATATTATATATTATATATCATATATTACATATAATATATGTCACATATTGTATGTAATATATGTCACATATTATATGTAATATATATCATATATTATATGTAATATATATCATATATTATATGTAATATATATCATATATTATATGTAATATATATCATATATTATATGTAATATATATCATATATTATATGTAATATATATCATATATTATATATGTCTTTTATTATGTAATATGTATCATAGATATTACATAACGTGACATATAATATATATTATTTATATATAATGTATATTATATTTTATATATATTATATATATTATATATTATATGTTTTATGTAATATATAGTACATATAATATACATTATATATATATAATTTTTTTTAGACAGATTCTTGTTCTGTTGCACAGGCTGGAATGCAATGGTGCCATCTTGGCTCACTGCAACCTCTGCCTCACGGGTGGAAGCGATTGTCCTGCTTCAGCCTCCCAGGTAGCTGGGGCTACACCACACTGGGACTACACCAGCTGCCACCATGCCTGGCTAATTTTTTGTATTTTTAGTAGAGATAGGGTTTCGCCACATTGGCCAGGATGGTCTTCATCTCCTCACCTTGTGATCCTCTTGCCTTGGCCTCCCAAAGTGCTGGGATTACAGGCTTGAGCCAAGATACATATTTTTTAAATGAAGAAAAATTTCAAAGGTACTCTGCTTGGTACAATAATCAAATATATAAATTGAGGAATAAAACCTAACCATGAAACATATTTATAACTGCATATGGAAAATACAGAGGCTAATTTTTTAAATAACATATTTTGAAAGCATTAACTAGTAATTTGAAAAGATCGCATTTGACAGGCCAGTATGAACATACCTTGAATGCAGCCACACAGGTTCCCCATAAGAAAAATCAAAATCAGGGAAAATGAAACCACAAAGGTTCAATCTGCTCTGACCTTTGAAAAACTCAGCACAGATAGTGGCACTTAGGACCAAGGGCAGCAGATCCCTAATCCCATCACCATGGCGATAGGGCATAAACATTCCAGGGTGAAGGCACAATCCACACTGTGAGGTCCAACTGCTGCCATGCAGACAGGTGTGCTTTCACATGTACAGGAAGGTCATCGAAGGCTCAGTGTTTCATTTCAAAAACTGAATCCCAAGTCCACACATTATTATGCTGTGCTTCTTAAAATAAGTTATGAGATAGGAAATAGGGCACCCCCAAATATATATATATATTATGTATAATATAATATATATAATATATAACATATATATAATTTCCTTTTACATCCTGCATCCTTATATATAATATCATATTTAATATAATATATAATATTATGTATAATATATATTGTTATACATAACATTATATATAATATAATATATATAATTATGTATAATTATATAATTATATATGAAATATAATAATGTATAATTATATATGTAATATAATAAAGTATAATAGATAATATATATTATATATTATACAAAATATTATATAATGTAACATGTAATATATAGTATATCATAATATAATATATTTTATAATATAATATATTATATATTATATATGATTACATTATATGATATTATATTATATATTATATAAATAATTATATATAATATAATATATAATATATAATATAATATAATTATATATAATATAATATATATAATATAATATAATATAATATAATTATATATCATATAATATAAAATATATAATATATAATATAATATAATATAATTATATATAATATATCAGATATAATATATAATATATATCAGATAAAATATATAATATATAATATATATCAGATATAATATATAATATATATCATATATTTTACATAATATATATCATTTATTATGTAATATATATCTTTTATTATATATAATATATATCATTTATTATATAATATATGATATATCATATATGATATATATCATCTATATCATATATTATTTATCATCTATATCAGGTATGATATATCATCTATGTCATATATACGATATATCATCTATATCATATATGCGATATATCGTATATATCATATATGATATACCATGTATATCATATATATGATATATCATGTATATCATATGTAGTATATAATCTATATCATATATATTGTATATAATCTATATCATATATATTGTATATAATCTATATCATATATATTGTATATAATCTATATCATATATATTGTATATAATCTATCATATATGTTGTATATAATCTGTATCATATATATTGTATATAATCTGTATCATATATATTGTATTTAATCTGTATCATATATATTGTATATAATCTCTATCATATATATTGTATATAATCTATATCATATAGTATATAATATATATCATATATTGTATATAATATATATCATACATATTGTATATAATATATATCATACTTATTGTATGTAATATATATCATACATATTGTGTATAATATATATCATACATATTATGTATGATATATATCGTATATATTATATATGATATATATCATATGTAATATATACGATATATATCATATATATTATATATGATATATATCATATTAAGTTAAGTTTGGGGATAGCCCAGAATTATATATGGATTTTCAACTGCACAGGAGCTGGTCCCCTAACCCTTGCACTGTTCAAGGATCAACAGTATGTATAATACTACAGATTTTATTCATATTTTAGAGTGTAGTACTACTACTCATTAAAAAAAATTAACTATGAAACAGCTTCAGGAAGGTCTTCCACGAGTTCTTCCAGAAGAAAGCCTTGTTATCATAGAGAATGACAGCTGCATGTATGTTATTGCCACTGAAGACCCTGAAGACCTTTCACTTGGACAAGATTTCGAGATGGAAGACAGTGATATTGATTATCCTGACCCTTACAGGACTAAGCTAGTGTGTGTGTTTGTATCTTAGTTTTTAACAAAAATGTTTAAAACATAAAAAATCAAAATAAATGAAGCTTATCAAATAAGGATATAAAGTATTTCTGTACAGCTGTTCAATGTGTTTTTGTTTTAAGATGTGTTATTATCAAAGAATCAAAAAATTAAAAAAATTAAAAGTTTATAAAGTTATGATAAGCTAAGATGAACTTGTTAAAGAAAGAAAAAATTTAAATACATTTAGTGTAGCCTAAGTGTACAGTGCATATAAAGTCTATAGTTATGTACAGTAATATCCTAGGCCTTCGCATTCACTCACCAGGTACTCACTGACTCATCAGAGCATCTGCCAGTCCTGCAACCTCTGTTCATGCTAAATGTCCTTTACTGGTGTACCACTCTCTTTAAATTTTGTAATATATATATATTTTTTTCTTTGTTTTTTTTGAGAAGGAGTTTTATTTTGTTGCCCAGGCTGGAGTTCAATGATACGATCTTGGCTCACTGCAACCTCTGCCTCCGGGGTTCAAGTGATTCTCCTGCCTCAGCCTCACGAGTAGCAGGGATTACAGCCCCACGCCAGCACGCCCAGCTAATTTTGTATTTTTAGTACAGACGGAGTTTCTCCATGTTGGTCAGGCTGGTCTCGAACTTCTAACCTCAGGTGATCCGCCCCCCTCGGTCTCCCAATGTACTGTGTTTTTACTGTATCTTTTCCATGTTTAGATATTACTACTGTGATATAACTGCCTACAGCAGTGGGCCCCAAAGTTTTGACACCAGGGACTGGTTTTGTGAAAGATAATTTTTCCACGGAGTGGGGATGGCTTTGGGCTGAAACTCTTCCACCTCAGATCATCAGGCATTAGTTAGATTCTTTTTTTCTTTTTTTTTCTTTTTTAGACTGAGTCTCCCACTGTTGCCAGGCTGGAGTGCAGTGGCACAATCTCGGCTCACTGCAACCTCTGCCTCCCGGGTTCAAGTGATTCTCCTGTCTCAGTCCCCCGAGTAGCTGGGACTACAGGCATGCGCCACCACACCCAGCTAATTTTTGTATTTTTAGTAGAGACGGGGTTTCCATGTTGGCCAGGATTGTCTTGACCTTGTGATCCACCTGCCTCGACCTCCCAGAGTGTTGGGATTACAGGCGTGAGCCACAGCACCCAGCCTAGTTAGATTCTCATAAGGAGAACATAACCTAGATCCCTTCTATGGGCAGTTCACAATAGGGTTTGTGCTCCTGTGAAGGTCTAATGCTGCTGCTGATCTGACAGGAGGCGGAGCTCAGGCAGTAATGTTCGGCTGGCCAGCCACTCATCTCCTGCTTTGTGCCCAATTCCTAACAGGACACGAACCGGTGCTGGTCCATGGCTTGGGTGTTGGGGACCATTGGCCTACTGTATTCAGCACAGTGACATGCTGCACAGGTGTGTAGCCCAGGAGCAATAGGCTGTACGATATAGCCTAGGTATGTAGTAGGCTACGCTGTCTAGGTTTGTATAAAGTACACTCTTTGGTGTCTGCACAGCCACAGAATCACCTAATGATGCATTTCTTGGAATATATTACCATTAAATGAGATTTACCTGTATTAGTGTCATCTCAGGTTTATTGTCTAGTAATTTTAAAAGTATTTGTATATTCTTTCCCAGACACATCATCATACTCTGGTGCATATCTCTATTTTATTCCCTAGACCCACTCTTAATTTTTCTGCATTCTGCTTTGTTCCTTAGGAGGCTCACCTGAATTGGATACTTCAGAGATCTCCCTTACCCTCATGCTTTTATTGGGGTTCAGCTAATGGAGGGGGTGGCAGAAGATAGGTGAGAGAAGAGTGTGTTTATCCCCCACCTCTGCCCCTGCAGGGTCAGCACAGGCAGACTGTGTCCCTTTGCTGAAGATCACAGCTTCTGTCTGGTGCCTTCTTGGCAAGCTGGCACTGTCTCTAGTCAGGTGACTGCTTGGCCCCTTACTACTTACACTCTTCTGTCTGGTTTCTTTGTGACTTTCCTGCTGTGCTGTAAGTAGTCCCTTTATTAGAATCCATCCACATTACCCAGTTATATAAAGACAAATAGTTGGTCACTGATGTAGTTCACTCCCTGAGAATCAGCCTTCATCAAAGATCCCTAACAGTCACATATTCTGTTGGCCGCTCCATTCCTGCTCCCCATTATTCTAGTTGTGTCTTCCTTGTCTCTAGTGCAGTCACAAAGCATAAGCGCCTCCACTGTCACTTGTTCTTTGCAACTCTAGGATCACATCATTCCCCTTGAAATCAGAGAATCTGCAATCTCCCCAAGCCCACAAAATTCAGCCATCACAGTACTTTTCAAGCATGCCAGCAGCCCTCCCCAACAAACGAATCCTTAATTTCTTAGAGAAACATCTTCTGGGCTTCCTGTGGGACACAGTGCGGGTCGGCTTGGCATGTGGATCACACCTGATATTTTTACCCCCACCTCCTACTATTCCTATTCCTTTGTATGCACCTCTCTTTATTATGCTAGGAAAGCTCTGGCAACACAACCTCAAAATAAGCAGGCCAGTGTGGATTCACAGTTTCTGTCAGACAAACAAACTTGAGCACCCCTTCTAACTTCTTGGGCTAAGACTTTAACTTCAGAATCTCTATGTATCTATGTTGATAAACTTAGCCTATGTCAAGATTATATTCTGCATGCCTTAGTCAAACACCATGTAAATCTATACCTCATATATTCTCTAGGCTTTAGCTGATAGGGATTAGCAAAGTAGTGTGGTTGTTTTGGTCTTTAAACAATGTCCATTTTCTACCAGCTTTCCATTGCACTCTTTTTTTTTTTTTTTTTTTTTTTGAGATGGAGTCTTGCTCTGTCGCCCAGGCTGGAGTGCAGTGGCGCGATCTCGGCTCACTGCAAGCTCTGCCTCCCGGGTTCACGCCATTCTCCTGCCTCAGCCTCCCGAGTAGCTGGGACTACAGGCGTGTGCCGCCACACATGGCTAATTTTTTGTATTTTTAGTAGAGATGGGGTCTCACTGTGTTAGCCAAGATGGTCTCGATCTCCTGACCTCGTGATCGGCCCACCTTGGCCTCCCAAAGTATTGGGATTACAGGCGTGAGCCACCACACCGGGCCGAATCCATTGCACTCTTACAGACCATGTTGACAAAATTATAACTGCAACAGTCAACTACAATAGCAATTTTACCTCTCATGTACCACTTTAAAAAACACATCATTCCCAATAACCACATTTGATGATTTAAGTAATCATGATACCACCGTACACTACAGATGATCAGGTTTCTGTCTCCTCCCGACAACAAGGTCAGGAATTCATTCAGACTGAAACAGGTCAGCAAACCACTTCCAGATTCTCATCTATAAAGATCTATTTCTAGAACCATTTCTAGTACCTATACAATATTAGAATCAAGTCAGGAAGCAGAAAACATTCTAGATATTTTAAACAGAAAACAATTCATGGAGAGATCAATTACAAGAGTATGTGTAGCAAAAGATGAAAGGGTCAGGTAACTTGATAAATCTCTGCTTCTTTTGTGTTGGGTGATAAAAATGTTGACCAGAGATCAGTGGCAGATGATCCAAGGCGTCAGCTGTCCAAGCTCAGCATCTGGAGCCGGTGCTGAGGAAATGTGCATTTCTAGGTCTGGGCGCCATTGGACCATCACTACTGTCCTTGAAGCTGCCACCGTGAGAACTCACATCTCAGCTGCTATAGCCACAGCTGATATTGTCATTGCTTCCAGAATTATTTCCCTTGCTCCATCGTGGGGATCCCGCAATACTGCTGCTGCTGAAATCACTGTTGTTGCTCCTTCCAGAACTGTCGGCACCGCAGCATTATTATCACTGCAGCTACCACTGGAGATGGCTACAGACACCAGAAACGGAAGAGCACCTCTCCCCTCCTCCGGCAGTGTGACTTTCAGTCGGCTCCTCTCGTAGCCAGATGGTATAGAAATGACACACCAATGTCCTTCAGAACATACATGCAAAATAGTTTAAATATACTAGAAATTCTATTCCCCTTAGAAAACTAAGTCCACCTACATATTTTTCAAAAATCCATCAGCAATACAGAATAAAGGCATTGGTTCTATACAGCGTTGCAAGAATATTTTAACAATAGAAGGTATTTTAATGTCATTCACCACATTAGGAGATTGAAAAAGGGAAAACACAGGATTACCTTAGCAGATGTAGGAAAAAAAATAAGATGGTAAAATACAACATTCATTTATATTAAAATCTTTATACCAAACTAGGAAAAGCAGACAAATTTCTTAACCTGATAAGCTTATCTATAACAAAACCATCGACACCACCATATGTAATGTTGAAGCATAATCGTTATTTTTTATAAAAGCTAGGAAAGGGAATGAGATGTCTGTTGACACTGCTCGTATTTATCATTGTCCTGGGGTTTCTGGCCAGTTCAGTTAAGATAGGACAAAGAAATATTATAGAAAGAGGAAGAAAAAAAGAAAACACATACGTTGTCATTGTGTGGAGTTTCTGTTTGTTTGTTTATGTGTTTTTGTGAGATGGTGTCTCACTCTGTCGCCCAGGCTGGAGTACAGTGGTGTGATCTTGGCTCACTGCAACCTCATTGTGTGGAGATTTGTAATTACCCATAGAAAATCCAAGAAAATTTGTGGATGCACTAATCAAATCAGCAAGGTTTTCAGATATGAAGGCAAAGTAAAGAGAAAATGAAATTCTTATAAACAGTAGCAACCAATTAAAAATATTATATTATAATATCACATTCATGGTAACATAAAACATTAACGTATCTAAGAATTAATTCAGAAAACACATGATCTTTCATTTAATTTTATTAAAGTTATTTCAATAAATATACCACCAGTATTTTTTTAGAACTTGATTGGAAAAGTCATATTAAAATAATCAATGGAAAGGAAGAACCAAAGTTATTCTGAACAATAATAGCCTATCAATATTTAAATGTGTTTTAATTATAATAATTAAAATGGTTTGCTTTGGCTCAGTGATACACCGTTAAACAATGGGAAAAAATGGAAGCACCAAGAAATAGATCCATAGATATGCTGAATACATTGGACTTGTAATAAAAGATATGATACTAAAAGTCAGTAGAAAAATTATACTATTCAATAAATGATGTCAGAAAAAACATATAAATTTTTATCCATATATAAATAAAAATCTGTATATTACAGCATATCACAAAATCCTGTATCTATTTAGGTTAAAGACTCAAATCTTAAACTACTTGTGAAATTACTTATGAATATTACATGTTTAAGATATTTAAAAGTATATACAGAGAACTAATGACGTTGGGCAACAAATGGCTTATTAATCAAATGCCAGAATGCATGAAGAAGAAAAGAAAAGAAAAATAAATTAGACTGTATTAAAATGAAAAATCCTAGGCATCCTAAATAAAGGTTAAATGCAAGCCAGAAAATTGGGTAAAATATTTACAAAATATATAATTGAAAAGTATAATATCCATTATATAAAGAGGATTTCTACAAATTCATGATATAAAATAAATAATATAGTAGAAAAAATGATTAAGAACTACTACACAATATTCACAACAGATGATAAATAGTGAATTATTGTGAAAAGACAATTGAAAAGAGCAAGGTACAATTCAACAGCAATAAGACTTTATGCCCTTTTCTATAAAAACACAAAACTATGCCAAGGGCTTTAGGAACCGTGAATTTATACACGGCGAAGGGGAGTTTAAATCTGCCACTTTGAAGAGTTTTTTGGAAATATATAGTAAAGTTGAAAATATATACATATGTGTATATATATATACCCACACACATACACATACACACTAGAAATTCCACAGGGTAAACCTTCTCCAAGAGAATACACACACATTTGCAGAAGAGATGTCCAAAGGTGTTTGTTGAAACATTATTGGTAATAGCTAAAAATTGGAAATAATCTTAAAGCTCATTACTAGGAAAATGGAAAAGTGAATCGTGGTATGTGCATATAATGTAAAACTATACATCAGTTAAAATTAATTGTCTGAATTTATATGGATCAATTTTTATATATTGAAACATCGTTGCATTCCAGGAATAAATCCCACTTGGTCATGGTGTATAATCCTTTTAATATGATGCTGAATTCAGTATGATAGTTTTTTTTTAGACAAAGTTTTGCTCTTGTTGCCTAGGCTGAAGTACAATGGCATGATCTCGGCTCACCACAACCTCCACCTCCCGGGTTGAAGCGATTCTCTTGTCTCAGCCTCCCGAGTAGCTGAGGTTACAGGCATGCACCACCACACATGGCTAATTTTGTATTTTTAGTAGAGACAAGAGTTTCTCTATGTTGGTCAGGCTGGTCTTGAACTCCTGACCTCAGGTGATCCACCCACCTCAGCCTCCCAAAGTGCTGGGATTACAGGCATGAGCCACCGTGCCCCACCCAGTATACTAGCATTTTTAGAGTTTTTGCATCAATGATCAGAGGCATATTGATCTGTTGTTTTATTTTCTTACAGTGTTTTTGGCTTTGGTATCAGGGTAATGCTGGCCTCATAGAAAGAGTTAAGAGGTATTCACTCCTCTTCCACTCTTTGGAAATGCTTGAAAAGAATCAGTGTTAGTTCTTCTTTAAACGTTTGGCAGAACTCACCAGTAAAGCTATCAGGTCCAGGACTTTTCTTTGTCATGAGATTGTCTTATTACTGACTCAATTCCCTTACTAGGTTAGGTCTATTCTGACTTTCTGTTTCTTTATAATTGAGTCTTGGTAGGTTTTGTGTGTCTAGGAATTCATCTATTTCATCTGGGTTATCCAATTTATGAGCACACAATTATTTATAGTAATCTTTTATAATCCTTTCTAGGCTGGGAATGGTGGGTCATGCCTGTAATCCAACAATTTGGGAGGCCGAGGTGGGAAAATTCCTTGAGGCCAGGAGTTCAAGATCAGCCTGGATAACATGGCAAGATCCTGTCTCTTAAAAAAAAAAAAAAAAAAAAGAGCTGGCATAGTGGCGAGCCCAGGAATTCAAGGCTGCAGTGAGCCGATTGTGCCACTGATTCTGGTTGCATCTGATTGTTGCCAGGGCAATAGAGCTAGACCTTGTCTCTAAAACATAGACAGGCAGACAGACAGACAGACAGACAGAAATATATAAAGATATTCTCAAATACATTTCTGTTTTAAGTAATTTAGATTGTTTCCCTTTTCCTTAGTCTTGTCAGTTTTATTAATCTTTTTGAAGAACCAACTTTTGGTTTTGTTTTTTATTGTTTTTCTATTCTCTTTTCCATTTATCTCTGCCCTGATCTCTATTGTTTCCTTCCTTCTGCTAACTTTGGGTTTAGTTTTATTCTTCTTTTTCTAGTTTCTTAATGTGTAAACTTATGTTGTTGAATTGAGGTGTTTCTTTTTTTAATGTGTTTATAGCTATAAATTTCCTCCTTAGCACTCCTTTCACCACAACTCATAAGTTGTGTTTTTTTGTTGTTTCTTTGTTTTTTGAGACAGAGTCTCATTCTGTCACCCAGGCTGGAGTGCAGTGGTGTTAGCTCAGTGGTGCAACCTCTGCCTCCTGGGTTCAAGAAATTTTCATGCCTCAGCCTCCTGGGTAGCTGGGACTACAGGCACGTACCACCACTCCCAGCTAATTTTTGTGTTTTTAGTAGAGACAGGGTTTCACCATGTTGGCCTGGCTGAAATTGAACTCCTGACCTCTAGCTATCCACCTCCCTCAGTCTCCCAAAGTGCTGGGATTACAGGTGTGAGCCACCACAACTGGCCACAGCCCATAAGTTTGGATATAGTGTGCTTTCATTTTCATTTGTCTTTAAGAATTTTATAATTTCTTTGTGATTTCTTTGATCCATTGGTTGTTTGAGAGTGTGTTGTTTAAATTCTACTAATTTGTGAACTTTTTTAAATCTTCTGTTATTGATTTCTAACTTTATCCTGTTGTGGTCAGAGAAGACACTTTGTATGATGTCTATCGTTTTAAATCTACTGAGCTTTTTTCCTTTTTTGGGACAGGGTCTCGTTCTGTCAGTGGTACAATGGTACATTTTCTTTGTCATGAAGTACAGGCTGGAGTACAGTGGTACAATCTCTGCTCACTGCAGCTTCAACCTCCTGGGCTCCTAAGCAATTCTCACGCTTCAGCCTCCCAAGAAGCTGGGATCACAGGCACGCACCACCACGCCCAGCTAATTTTTGTATTTTTAGTAGAGATGGGGTTTCACCATGTTGGCCAGGCTGATGTCAAGCTCCTGGCTTCAAGCAATCCACCCGCCTCAGCCTCCCAAATTACTCTGGGATTACAGATGTGAGCCACTGCACCCAGCCCCTATTGAGAATTAATTTGTGATGTGTTATATGGTCTATCCTGAAAATGTCCCATGTATACTTGAGAAGTATGTGTATTATGTTGTTGGGTAGAATATCCTGTGTATGTCTGTTAGGTCTAGTTGTTTTTTCAGGTGTTGTTCAAGTGCTGTATTTCCTTACTTATGTCTGGTCTGGTTGTTTTATTCATTTGTGAAATGAAGACAAGGGACAAAATCCTAAGACATCCCCCTTAAAAGGGAAGGACCACCCACAGAAAAGGACTGAGAGACCCCCAGAATCTATAGCTTAGCTAATTGATGGTCTTTCTCTCCTGAAGTTAGTAAAGAGTGGAAAAGATGACTCCTTCTTCAAACATGAAGAAAGCAATCTAAGTCTTCAAAGAACAGGAAGCATGAGAAAATATGACACCACCAAAGAAACAAAATGAAACTCCAGTGGCTGACTCCAAAGACATGAAGATCTACAAATTGCCTGACAAAGAATTCAAATAATCATCTTAGGGTGACATCAGCAAGATGGCAGAACAGGAGGCCCTCCACTCACCTCTCCCCACACAAACAATGATCTGGCAGCCATTCATGGACAAAACTGCCTTTGCAAGAGTTTTAATATCCAGGCAGGAGGTGGCAAAACTCTAGCAAAGCCCAAAACCAAGGAGAGCTGCTTTGAGAAGGCAGGTCCACACACCAGTGACAGGTTACCAGTTGCAGACTGAAAGCAGCTTTGTCCTCCTATGGACTTGGGTCCAGCTCCACTAGATCATGGTCTTGCAACTAGCCCCATCCACTAAGCACCTAGGAGGAACCATGACCATTTATGCCCCCAGTAACAGGCCTTCTAACCATGGTCCTGACTGCAGAAACTAAAGCAGCCCTGACCTGGCTTCAGCCCCACTCTACCACAGTCAGTCATGCCTGCCCAGGAATTCAGTGATGCCTTTACATACCCTTGGTAACAGGCCTGCTGATCTCAGTCTCAGCTATGGACACTAAAGTAGCCCTGTGACTCCATTCCAGTCTTGCTTTGCCACAGTCTGGGCACAGTCCAGCCCATCCTGGGACCTGGTGAAAGACATACCATCCATTCTCCTAATAAGAGGACCACCAATCTTGAACTCAAATGTGGTCACCAAAGCTGTCCTGTGACTTGGCTCTAGCCCTGCTCTACTGTGGTCTGGAGGCAGTCCTGTCTTCCCATGGACCTACCTAGTAAACCAGCAGGAGCTCAATCTGGGACCCACAGGGAGCTATACCAGTCCATGCCCTTGGTAATAGGCCTGATATCTGAAGACTTGACTGTAGAACTAGAAGTGGCCCCATGACCTGGCTCCAGTCCTGTTCAATCAGGGTATCAGAGGCAGTCCAGTTCTCCTGAGGATCCAGCAGAAACTGCATCACCAACCTATGCCTTGATAGCGGCCTGCCAATCAGAGATTCAGCTGCAGACCAGGCAGCAGCCATGTAATATGGCTCCAGGCCCACTTGACTGTGATCCAGTCAAGGGATCCAGCAGGAAAAGGTTTGTACCTGCTGAAACCAATCTATAAAGACAGAAAGAGATTGGGCATGGTGGCTCACACCTGTAATCCCAGCACTTTGGGAGGCCAAGGCGGGCAGACCACTTGAGGCCAGGAGTTTGAGACCAGCCTGGACAACACGGTGAAACTCTGTCTCTACAAAAAATACAAAAAAATTAGCCAGGCGTGGTGGCACATGCCTGTGATCCCAGCTGCTTGGGAGGCTGAGGCAGGAGAATCATTTGAACCTGGGAGGTGGAGGTTACAGTGAGCTGAGATCACACCACTGCACTCCAGCTGGGTGACAGAGCAAGACTCTGTCTCAAAAAAAAAAAAAAAAAAAAAAAAAGAAGAGGTATTTGCTTCTTCATAGACATTAATGAAAGTCTGTAGATCATGAAGAATCAGCAAATATGACACTACCAAAATAAACTCATAAATCTCCAGTAATCAACCCCCCAAAAATAGAGATCTACAAATTGCCTGACAATTCAAAATAATTAAGATAGCTCAGTGAAATTTACTAGAATGTATATATCAACTCAATAATATCAAGAAAATAGTAGATGAGCAAAGCTAAAAGTTCAATAAAGATACAGAAATAATAAGAACCAAACAGAAATTCTAGAACTGAAGAATACAATGAATAAAATGAAAATGCAAGCTGGGTGCCGTGGCGGACGCCTGTAATCCCAGCACTTTGGGAGGCCGAGGCAGGCGGATCACTTGAGGTCAAGAGTTCAAGACCAGCCTGGCCAACATGCCAAAACCCCATCTGTATTAAAAATACAAAAATTAGCCAGGCATGGTGGCATATGCCTGTAATCCTAGCTACTAGGGAGGCTGAGGCAGGAGAATCGCTTGAACCGGGAGGTGGAAGTTGGAGTAAGCCAAGATGGCACCACTGCATTCAAGCCTGGGTGACACAGACTCTGTCTCAAAAATATATAAAAATAAATAAATGAATGAAATGAAAATGCAATAGAGAATTTCAATTGCAGACTTGATCAAACAGAAGAAAGAATCTGTGAAATTAAAGACAGGACATTTGAAATATCCCGTCAGAAGACCAGAAAGAAAAAAAAGTTTATAAGTAAAAACCTTTGGGATTTATAGGACACCACCATGAAGTGGGTCAAACATATTATGGACTTCCTAGAAGTAAAAAAGATAGAAAAGGCCTGAAAGTATATTTGAAGACATAATGGGTAAAAACTTTCCAAATTCTTAGAGGCAAGTGGGCTTCCAGACACATGAAGTTCAGAGGCCCCAAAAAAGGCCAGCCCAAAGACCATAATACCAAGATGTATTATAATTAAAATATCAAAAGTCAAAGACAGAGACTTTCAAAAGCAGCAAGAAGAAAGGAATTCATCACATACAAGGAAACTTCAATAAGGCTATCAGTGGATTTCTCAGCAGAAACCTTATAAGCCAGGAGAGAATAGGATGCTATATTCAATGTATTGGAAGAAAAAAACTGCCAATCAGGAAGACCACAACTTGTAAAGCTGTCCTTCAGAAATGAAAAAGAGATGATAAGGTCTTTCCCAGACTCCCACCAAAAAAATTCTAAGGGAGTTCATCACCACTGCACCTGCCTTATAAGGCAGTTTTTCAAGTTGAAATAAAAGGATTCTGATTAGCAACATTAAAACATTAAGATATTAAGTTCACAGGTAGGCCGGGCGCAGTGGCTCACGCCTGTAATCCCAGCACTTTGGGAGGCCAAGGCGGGTGGATCACAAGGTCAGAAGAGGGGGATCATGCTGGCTAACACGGTGAAACCCCGTCTCTACTAAAAATACAAAAAATTAGCCAGGCGTGGTGGCGGGTGCCTGTAGTCCCAGCTACTCGGGAGGCCGAGGCAGGAGAATGACTTGAACCCGGGAGGCAGAGCTTGCAGTGAGCCGAGATCATGGACACTGCCCTCCAGCCTGGGCGACAGAGCGAGACTCTGTCTCAAAAAAAAAAGTTCACAGGGAAAGGTAAGTATATAGTCACATTCATAACACTGTAATATTGCAGTGGTGGTGTGTAAATCACTTTTCACTGTAGTATAAAAGTTAAAATGTAAAAGTATTAGGCGGCCCGGGCGCGGGGCAGCTGCTGCGGGGAGGCGGGGAGGCGGGGGGCCTGGCCGGACACCCCTGCGCCCCCTCCCCGCACCCGGGCGGAGGGCGGCCTCTTCCCCCTCCCCCTCCCCCACCACCCCCGGCAGCCGCCTCCCCCAGGACGCAGGAGGCGGGCGGAGGCCGGGTCCGCCCAGCTGGCGACTTGCGGCATGGGCCGGGTCGAGGTGGGGGGGCGGTTTCGGGGGCTGGGAAGCTGGGGTGCCGGGGACAGGAGGGTGGGGGAGCTGGGGAAAGGAGGGCTGGGGGGCCGGGGACAGGAGGGCCATGCAGGCAGTGGCAAGCGGGCGGCGAGGGCTCCGTGGGGCAGGTGGACGGGGATCAGCGCCTGGGGCTGCTCCGTTCCCCAGGCGGGTGTCGTGGCTCTGGCCTCCATGCAACTCCAGGTCTGCGCGCCCCGCGCTGCTGGAGCCCCAGTCAAAAGTCTATTTAAAAAGCAGAGAGAGGATGCTTCCCTCTGAGTGGAGCGATGAAGACCTGATCCCTGGGCCATTTGGGAACACTAGCTGCCTTTCATCACAGTCAACCTGGACTCAGAGAATGTCAAGAGCTTGTTGGTTGGGTCAAGAATGAATCTAGGCATGACGTCATAGTTTATAGTCATCCTTTTAAACCTGCAAAGAAGCATTTGCAGGTTTAAAGTTATTTCACGGGTACTGCTTGCCAATCTTTGGAGGATGTGAAGCCTGCAGAGAAATAAAGTGTCGCCCCTCTGCGCGTCGCTCCCCATCTGCTAGAATGTTTCTCATGAATGCTCCTCCAGTGGTTGCTCTCCAGCCCAAATGGGAGGCCTCTGTCCCACCAGGGAGCTTTAGGTTCCCCGGGTGCTTCTCGGAGGCTGACAAGGGCGTGGAGAGCATGTCGGTGAGCACCCGGGTGCAGATGCTCATCAGCACGCTGCAGAGCGACAGGGCTGCTAGGGGCACCAGCGATGAGCGCACTGCGCAGAGGGGGCAGAGGGATGCCACGACGCCAGGCCTGCTGCCAAGCCCACCATGCACAAGGAGCTGCCTGCGTTGGCTGCCTGTGGTCTTGTTGCTGACTTTGACCCCGTGGGGGAGGAGGAAACTGCAGACTTTGGCCCATTGGTGCTAGATTCAGACAGTGACGATTCCGTGGACCGGGACATTGAGGAGGCCATCCAGGAGTACCTGAAGGTAAAGAGTGGAGCCGCACAGCCCGGGGCCAGCGGGGCCCAGCCATGCACAGCCTTCCAGGGCTGCGGGCGGAGGCAGTAGATGTAAGCGGGAACTGGCTCACAGCAGTGCCCAACTGCCCTGTGTTCCCCAAAACTTGTACCTGGCTCAGGTGGTGTGGCCCTGGCAGCCAGGTGGGATCCAGCAAGGACCAGGGCTCTGCCTCCCCAGTCAGCATGAGCAGAGCAGACTCCTTTGAGCAGAGCATCAGGGCAGAAATAGAACAGTTTCTGAATGAGAAAAGACAGCATGAGACCCAAAAATGTGATGGGTCAGTGGAGAAGAAACCAGACACACATGAAAATTCGGCGAAGTCACTCTCGAAATCCCACCAAGAGCCGGCTACAAAGGTGGTGCACCGGCAGGGCCTGATGGGCGTCCAGAAGGAGTTCGCCTTCTGCAGACCTCCCCCGGTTAGCAAAGACAAACGTGCAGCCCAGAAGCCTCAGGTCCAAGGTCACGACCACGACCACGCAGGAGAAGGAGGGCAGCACAAAGCCAGCAACCCCCACCGCCCTTCAGAAGCAGTACAGAATAAAAGTGGGATTAAAAGGAGCGCCAGCACCGCAAGGAGGGGAAAGCGAGTCACGAGCGCCGTACAGGCTCCCGAGGCGTCCGACTCCAGCAGCGACGACGGCATTGAGGAGGCCATCCAGCTGTACCAGGTGCAGAAAACACACAAGGAGGCCGACGGGGACCCGCCCCAGAGGGTCCAGCTCCAAGAGGAAAGAGCACCTGCCCCTCCCGCACACAGCACAAGCAGCGCCACAAAAAGTGCCTTGCCAGAGACCCACAGGAAAACACCCAGCAAGAAGAAGCCAGTGCCCACCAAGACCACGGACCCTGGTCCAGGGGATCTGGACGCTGACCATTCCCCCAAGATCCCAAAGGAAACCAAAGCTCCACCTCCAACGAGCCCGGCTTCCAGGAGCAAGTTTGTGGAATGGTCCTCTTGCCAGGCAGACACCTCCGCTGAGCTGATGTGTGTAGAAGCAGTCCTGGACATTTTCAAGACGATCCTGCCGGCCCTATGGAGGGCAGCGATGGGTCCCTGTCCGCAAGCCCACTCTTCTACTCCCCCAACGTGCCTTCCCGCTCTGATGGTGACAGTAGCTCCGTGGACAGCGACGACAGCATTGAGCAGGAAATCTGGACGTTTTTGGCCCTCAAGGTGCAGTCTAGAAGTTTGCTGGCCAGAGGTGAGAGCTGCCCTCAGGCTGCCCAGGGCCCACTTTCACCACCTGGCCTCAGCAGCCAGACCGGCAGCCCCAAGGCCCCTCTCTCTAAAACACTGGACCCACTCCTGGCTGCAAAAGGAAGCATAGAGGCGGCTGCCAAGTGAGGCCATCCACTCCCAAGAACATGCGGGTGGTGGGGAAAGAGGGTGGCCAGGATGCCGACCGCAGCCAGGGGAGAGCCGGGCCCGGCCATGAGGGGCGGGACCTTTCCATCCAGGGCACAGCCAGCGAGGCCCCGGGAGGAGAGGGCGCCGCTAGGGTGCCCGGTGACACTCGCACGTCACAGGGCCAGGGTAAGACAGACGAGGCAAGGCACCTAGACAAGAAGAAGAGCTCCGAAGACAAAAGCAGTTCCCTGGACAGTGACAAGGACCTGGACACAGCCATCAAGGACTTGTTAAGGTCCAAGTGAAAGCTCAAGAAGAGGTCCAGGGAGCCCAGGGCTGTGTGCAGGAAGAAGGTCAGGTTCAGCACCTCCCAGACGCACTTCCAGGAGCAGCTGGGCAGGCTCCTGAGAGAGTGGAAAAACAGGCACCTGCAGGTGCTGAAGAGCTGCCTAAGTCCAAGAGAGACAGCTGCGAGGGCTCCAGGAAGAAACCCCCCAGTGTCTTTGGCAGCAGGGCCGAGAGGACGAAGCCTCGGCCTTCCTGGTGAGGAGACCCGCTTCTGCCTCCGCCTCCGAAGAGAATCTATTCCCCAGAGAGTCCCAGGGCCCAGCTCCCAGCCCTGGCTCCTTGTCTGACAACAGCAGTTCAGTGGACAGCGACGATAGCATCGAACTGGAGATTAGGAAGTTTTTGGTGGAAAAGGCCAAGGAGTCGGTGAGCAGTTCAGAAGTTCAGGCAGAGGGCCCCACCGCTCTCGGGACAGGGGGCCCAGCCAGGCCAGAGGTACCTTGCAGGAAGGAGCCGGCCCCACTGCCTGGCATGTGCACACGGAGCCAGAGGGCCGGGGGGTCCCACATTTGGCTAAAGGGCATCGAGGCGCAGGGAGCGCAGGAGCACAGGGCGCAGCGTGCCTGCTCAGCCAGGGTGGGAAGGGGCTCCCCACTGATCCGGCGGAGGGGATCATGCGCCACCCAGGAGGACCAGCGGCAGTGTCTCCGCCAAGGTCTCTCAGTGAGCAAGAGAAATGTTTACATTTACAAAGACCAGAGCCCACGAGGGGCTGAGCCTGCTGCCAAAAGTGCTTTTGGTCAGCGGCCCAGCTGTGCCACAGCGGGCACCGAGGCAGGAGGAGCCAGGGGGACCTTTCACGTGGACTGCAGGAACCGGAGCTTCCTGACCCCCAGCCCGGGAGCTGAGAGGGATGCTGGGGCCCAGGCCAACCGCGCCCCGCCCTGGAGTGACTTTGCCCACCACAGTCGGCTGCCCAGCCCATGGGCACTGCGCTCCAAAGGTAGAGATGCGGCGTGGAGGGGGCGGCATTGGGAGAGAGAGACAAGGGGTCCGAGGGCCCCGCCCGGGGCCTGCCCAGCCTGCCCCTTGCGGGCTTCTCCCCGCTGCTGTCCACCCAGCTCTTCCACTTTGGAAAGGGTGTCTCCTGGGGGGGCAGGGAGACCGGCCTCTTCAGCCCCTACCTGGGGCTGCCTCTGCAGGGCCTGTCCTTCTCGGCCTTCAGGGAGTCCCAGGCCAGGCCCAGCCCTGTCTTTGGAAGCCCACACTTGCTGGCGAAGAAGGACTGCGATCACCGGCCAAGCAGGAAGGTACAGACGGGGCTGAGTTTGCACAACAGGAAGAGCTCTGGCTCGGAGGAAAGGATTTTAGACCTGAGGTATCCACGAAGGGTCAATCAGTAGAGTTGACCAGGACCAGGACACCTTGGGCAGGGACACCAGTGATTTCAGCAACACCTCCGCAGAGGTGTTGCTGCTGCAGTGGTGGCAGCTCAGTAGTGAAGGTATAAGACCTCGAGCTGTGGGTTCGCGTCCTGGGTTCCATGCATTCGTGGAAAGCGGCATAGCCGACGTGTATCTGTGCCTGTGTGTGATGGTTCTGTGGTTGCAGGGAGGGGAAACAGTCTGTTATACATAGTCTTGTATATATGTATACCAACACGAAACAATGCTTTTATTTAACAGATGTGTCCTGGTAAATATGATTTTTGTAGATTTTGTACATTATTTAAAGTGATGAAAAATGTTTTTGGAAAATACTGTTGGTCAATTTTGTAGGGTGTTCCTTAACTGCAGTTTTCTGTGTTCTGCATACAAGTCTTAGATTAGAAAACATTTGGTTTTTATCATCACAACCAGGTTTACAGGGACTCTGATGTTTTTTGGTTGGTTGCTGGTGAGAATGGCCAGCGCTGGCTGCAGGGGTAGCCTTAGGAAGGCCGAGGTGCCCTCCCCAGGAATCGCTCACATGCCCCAAAGTGTCCGTCAGGAAGTTCCTGGGACAGCACTTTTTATACAGAGGACACCCCCCCACCACCGCCTGGCTTCATGGTCCTTGGAGGCCAGAGCACATCTGAAAACTACAGGAACGGAAAACCAAACTCCGCATGTTCTCACTCATAAGTGGGAGTTGAACAATGAGAACACTTGGACACAGGGCAGGGAATATCACACACTGAGGCCTGTTGGGGGATGGGGGCAAGGGGAGAGATAGTATTAGGAGAAGTACCTAATGTAAATGATGGGTTGATGGGTGCAGCAAACCACCATGGCACATGTATACCTAAGTAATAAACCTGCACTTTCTGCACGGCTACCCCAGAACTTAAAGTATAATTAAAAAAAAAAAAAACAGAAAAAATAAGTAGAGATTAAACCAGTAATGAAAAATCTCCCAACAAAGAAAATCCCAGGACCAAATGGTTTTACTGGTCAATTTCAACAAACATTTAAAGAATTAATAACAATCCTTCTCAAACTCTTCCAAAAAAATTGAAGAAAAGGGAACACGTTGAAACTCATTCTAAGAGGCCAGCATTATCCTGATATCAATGCCAGATAAGAACACTACAAAATAAGAAAACTATAGGTCAATATCCCTGGTTAACATAGATGCAAAAATCCTCAATGAAATACTAGTAAACCAAATTCAACAGTGCATTAAAAGAATTATTCACCATGAATCCAGTCTCTACCAAAAATCCAAAAAAAAAAAAAATTAGCTGAGCATGCTGGCGGGTGCCTGTGGTCCCAGCTACTAGGGAGGCTGAGGCAGGAGAATGGCGTGAACTTGGGAGGCGGAGCTTGTAGTGAGCCGAGATCGCGCCACTGCACTCAGGCCTGGATGACAGAGCGAGACTCCATCTCAAAAAAATAAATAAATAATAAATAAATAAAAAACAAAAAAAGAATTATTTACCAGGATCAAGTGGGATTTATCTCTGGCATGCAAGGATGCTTTAACATACAAGAGTCACTAAATGTGATACACCACATCAACACAATAAACGATAAAAATCCTTTATTTTTATTATTAAAAAGCACTTGATAAAATTCAACATCCTTTCATGATTAAAAAAAACAACAAACTGAGCAAATTAGGCGCAGAAGGAATGTACCTCAACATAATGAAGACCACATGTAACATACTCAACAGTGAAAGACTGAACGTTTTTCCTCGAAGATGAAGAACAAGACAAGAATTCCTACTCTCACCATTTCTCCTCAAAATAGGACTGGAAGTCCTAGCCAGAACAATTAAGCAAGTAAAGAAATAAGAATGGAAGTAAAATGGTCTCCATAGATGACATATTTTTATGTATAGAAAACTGTAAAGACTTCACTAAAAGACTGTTAGAAGTAATAAATTCAATAAAGTAGCAAGATACAGAGTCAACATCCAAAAATCAGTTGCATTTCTATGCATAGATGGACTGGAGGACATTATGTTAAGTAAAATAAGCCAGACACAGAAAGTGAAATATTGTACAATCTCACTTATGTGTGGAACCTAAAGACGTCAAACTCAGAAGAAGAGAACAGAATGGTGGTTGCTGGGAGCTGGGGAAGAGAAGGAAATGGGAAGTTGATGGTTAAAGTGTACAAATTTCAGTTATGCAAGATAAGTAAGTTCTGGAGAGCTATACAGCATAGTACCCACAGAAAATGATACTATATTCTTAAATTGTTTAATTAAAAACTTTTATTATTATTATTTTTTTTTAGACAGAGTTTCACTCTTGTTGCTAAGGCTGGAGTGCAATGGTGCTGTCTCGGCTCACTGCAACCTCCGCCTCCCAGGTTCAAGAGATTCTCCCACCTCAGCCTCCCAGTACTTTGCTCAGATTATAGGTACCCGCCACCACGCCCAGCTAATTTTTGTATTTATAGTAGAGATGGGGTTTTGCCATCTTAGCCAGGCTGCTCTCCAACTCCTGATCTCAGGTGATCTGCCTGCCTCAGCCTCCCAAAGTGCTGGGATTACAGGCGTGAGCCACCGCACCTGGCCATTAAAAACATTTTTTTATACAATAATAATAATAAAGAGGCAGAAGGAAATTTTAAAAGGTGATGGATATGTTTATAGGCTTGATGATAATGGTTTTATGGTGTAAATTTATCAAGATGTGTACGTTAAATATGTACAGTTTTTATGTAAATCATTCCTCAACAAAATGGTTTAAAAAGTAATAAAGTAATTACTGATAAGGGGGGACTTACTTCTGGCATTTTGCTATACATTTTCTATATGCCTTACAGCATTTTTGTCCATTTCCTGCATGATCTCATTTGTATTTAGTTGATTTTTTGTAGCGAAGTGTTTTAATTCCCTTCTCATTTACTTTTTTATGTTATATAATGTTTTATTTGTGGTTACCATAGGGATTACACTTAACATTCTAAAGTTATAGCACTCTAACTTGAATTCATACCAGCTATATTTCAATAATATGCAAAAACTCTCCTCACAGTTTTGCCACTCCTCTTTCAGTTATCAATGTCACAAAATTACATTTTTGTACATTGTGTGTCCATAAACATAAACTAATAATTGTTTTTAATGCATTTGTCTATTAAATTATGTAGAAAGCAAAACATGGAGTTTTAAACCAAAGTTACGATAATACTAGATTTAATATTTTCCCATATATTTACTTTTACTGGCATCTTTATTTCTTCATATGGCTTTGAGTTACTATCTAGTGTTCTTTCTTTTCAACCTGCATGATTCTCTTTAAGATTTCTTGCAGGGCAGGTCTAATGGTAGCAAACTTCTCAACTTTGGTTTATTTGGGGATTTCCCAATTTCTTCCTCACTTTTGAAGGACAGTTTTGCTGGATATAGGATTCTTGGTTGAGAGGTAGTGGTTGTTTTTCTTTTAGCCCTTTACATATGTCATCCCATTGTCTTCTGTTCTCCAAAGTGTCTGATGAGAAATCTACTTATAATCCTATTATATATTCCTAGCATGTGACTAGTTGCTTCTCTCTTGGTGCTTTCAAGAGGCCCTACTGGCTAATTATAATGTCTCAGTATGAGTCTTTTTTTTTTCATCCTACTTGGAGTCCATTGAGTTTTCTGGATATTTATTTTCATGTCTTTCATCAAATTTGGGAAGTGTTCAGCTTTTTTTTTTTCTTTTTTGAGACAGAGTCTCGCTCTGTTGCCCAGGCTAGAGTACAGTGGTGTGATCTTGGCTCACTGCAACCTCTGCCTCCTGGATTCAAGCGATTCTTCTGCCTCAGCCTCCTGAGTAGCTGGGACTACAGGTACGTGCCACCACGCCCAGCTAATTTTTTTTTTTTTAAACGGAGTTTCACTCTTGTTGCCCAGGCTGGAGGGCAATGGCACAATCTCGGCTCACTGCAACATCTGCCTCCTGGGTTCAAGCGATTCTCTTGCCTCATCCTCCCAAGTAGCTGGGATTACAGGCATGCACCACCACACCTGGCTAATTTTGTGTTTTTAGTAGAGACGGGGTTTCACCATATTGGCCAGGCTGGTCTCGAACTCCTAACCTTGTGATCCACCCACCTTGGCCTCCCAAAGTGCTGGGATTACAGGTGTGAGTCACCGTGTTCAGCCTCAGCCATTATTTCTTCAAATGATCTCTCTGCCCCTTTCCCTCTCTTCTTTTGGGACTTCCACAATGTCTGCTTGCTATTCAACAATCGTCTTTATTTCTGTTCCTCTGACTTGATCATTTCAAGTGTCCCATCTTCAAATTCACTGAATCTTTCTTCTGTTGCTCAAATCTGCTTTTGAATCCCTCTGGTGAACTTTTATTTCAATCACTACACTTTTAGTTCCAGAATTTATTTATTTTTTTTCTTTTTAGGTTTTCTATCTCTTTATTGATATTCCCATTTTGTTTACACATAATTTTACTGACTTTCTCCACATCTTCCTTCAGTTCTTTGACCATCTTTAAGAAAGTTGTTTTAAAGTATTTGTGTAGTAGGTTACCATCTGGTCTTTCTCTGGAACAGTTTCTGTTGTTGTTTTTCCTTTGAAATACCATATTTTCTTGTTTTTTGTATGCCTTGTGTTTTGTATTGAAAACTGGACACTTGAATATAATAATGCAGTAACTCTGGAGATGAGACTCTCCTCTTCCTCAAGGTTTGCTGTTTTGGGGTTTTGTTATGTTTTACATTGTTGTAGGTTGTCTCCATGCTGAGGATCAACCTGAGTTGTAAGCTTGAGGTCTTCTCAGGTCTGAAGCTGCTCCTTTCCCTGGGCACACACTCCTCTCTCCAAGGATGTGTGGTAACTTTAATTTCCTCTGGGTATGCCATTGCTTTTGAGTGTCCTAGTCTTTAATGTTTGGCTCCCAAAAAAGGAAAAGAGAACAATGAAGGGGAAGGGAAATGGGGTTCTGGCCTTTTCTATCTCCTAGAAGTTGCTTCAGTCTGGTAAGGGCTTGCAGCAGTGGAGTGGGGAGTTGTGAGCAATAATGGCTGCCGGCCTCTGTGTTTGCCCTTCCATAATCAAAAGTAGCAATCAACAACCAGAACGCAGATGCTAACACTTGGAGGACAGAGTGCTTATTGCCCATGATTGTTCCCACAAGCTTGGTACAAGCTGCTTCAGGAACACATGCAAAGCTTCTTGCCGTGAAGCTGGGGCATGGGGATTGGGTAGCCACTGCTGAGCTAAGAGCTGAAATTGACCAAAATTAAGTAAAAATTATAGTTTAAGCCTTCATTTGGAGGTTACAAGCCTCCTTTGATAGAGTCTAGAGTTCCAAAATAGTTATATCAGGCAGATTCTGCCAGTGTGATTATTTTCTAGGTGGGGAGATGAATTCCCAGTGCTTCCTACTCCACTTTCTTCCCAGAACCCTCTCTTGTAATAGTTTTTTACTTAAAATCTATTTTGTCTATACTTTTTTTTCCATATATTTACTTTTTATTGAATTTGTTAACGTTACAGAGTTCTTGCACTGCCAAACCATGCCTGAGAATTCAAACAAATGGTACAATGGACAGCCTCATCCACCCATCATACAGTATATTAAAACTTGATTCATCTATATTTTGATATTTTCACAATCTTTTAAAAAGTTATAATAAGAGCTGGAATTTAAATCTGCTGCAGGTCTTCAGATTTTGAGTACAGTATGCCTTTACATAACACCTCCACTTACTCATCTCTGTTCATTCTTCAGTAACATAAACCCCAACAACTTGTACAGCCATAACTTGTACAGCCATTCCTGATCTGTTTTGGTTACTTTTTGCACGGAATATTCTCCATTCTCTCATTTTTCAACCCATTTGTATTGGATTTCAAATGAGTCTCTTGTAGACACCATATATAGTTGAATCCCGTTTTTTTAAATCCAATCAGCCGATTTATGTCTTTTTATTGGGAGTTTAACCTATGTACATTTAATGAAATTATTGATTAGGAAGGACTTACTACCACCATTTTGGTCATTGTTTTCTGTATGTTTAGAGCCTTTTTGTCCTTCTTTCCTCCCTTATTGTCTTCCTTTGTGTTATAGTTGATTTTTTGTAGTGCTATGCTCTGATTTCCTTCTCATTTCCTTTTGCATATATTCTGTAGGTATTTTCCTTGTGGTTACTATGGGAATTACATGGAACATCTTAAAGTTATCTTATTATTTTAAACAGATAACTTCAATCACATGCAAAACCTCTACTCTTTACATCTTTGCCCCACTATTAAGTTACTGATGTCACAAATTAAACTTTATATACTTTGTATCCATTAACATAGATTTATAATTATTATGCTTTTGTCCTTTAAATTCCATTAAAGTATTAAAAATTGAGTTATAAGCAAAAATTACAATAATACAGGTTTTAATCTTTATGTATTTACCTTTATATTTTCATCAGGCTGAGCAACTGTCTAGTATCCCTTCATATCAACTTGAAGGACTCCCTTTATTGTTTCTTTTTTTTTTTTTGAGATGAAGTCTCGCTCCGTTGCCCAGACTGGAGTGCAGTGGTGTGATCTCAGCTCACTGCAACCTCTACCTCCCGGGTACAAGTGATTCTCCTGCCTCAGCCTCCTGAGTAGCTAGGATTACAGGTGCGTGCCACCACACCCAGCTAATTTTTGTATTTTTATTAGAGATGGGGTTTCGCCATGTTGGTCAAGCTGGTCTTGAACACCTGACCTCAGGTGATCCACCTGCCTCGGCTCCCGAAAGTGCTGGGATTACAGACATGAGCCACTGTGCCCGGCCCCTTTATTATTTCTTATTGGTCAGGTCTAGTGGTAATAAACTCCTTCAGCTTTTATTTATCTGGGAATGTCTTAATTTCTCCTTCACTTTTGAAGGACAATTTTGTCAAATATAGTATTCTCAGTTGGCAGGCTTTACTCTTTCAGTACTTTCAATGTATCATCCCACCACCTTCTGGCCTGCAGGGTTTCTGCTGAAATATCCACTGATAATCTTCTAGAGGCTCCCTTGCACATGAGAAGTCACTTTTCTCTTGCTGCTTTTAAGATTCTCTCTATACTTACTACCACTAAATTCTACACTTAAAAATGGTATAATCTGTTATGTATATTTTGCCACAATAAAAACATTGGAAAGAGGTACCATAGAAGAGTATATTACATGCACCATAGGCTGGAAAACATTTTCAGAGATTAGGCTATTCTCAGTAACTCACATATCTAGTTCTGGTAAACACTGATTGATTTAAACAAATATCAATGAACAAAGTATTACATGCACCGCGTGCAGCTAAACAGTGTTTCGCTGACATAACACTAGTACCTAGATCTGATAAACTATCTAAACAGGCATCACTGAAACTATGCTACAGAAAACACAGAATGCTAACCACAGTATTTCCAAGAGTCTACGCTACACCTAGGCAATCTTGCACCTATCTCTGTTAAACACAGGGTTTGAACTTGGAACAACAAAGAATGTAGTACCTGCACCACACACTTCTTAAAACAGGGTTTTGGCCGGGTGTGGTGGCTCACGCCTGTAATTCCAGCACTTTGGGAGGCTGAGGCAGGAGGATCACCTGAGGTCAGGAGCTCGAGACCAGCCTGGCCAACATGGTGAAACCCCGTCTCTACTAAAAATACAAAAATTAGCTGGGTGTGGTGGCAGATGCCCGTAATCCCAGCTACTCAGGAGGCTGAGGCAGGACAATCGCTTGAACCTGGGAGGCAGAGGTTGCAGTGATCCGAGACCACACCATTGCACTCCAGCCTGGGTTGCAAGAGCAAAACTCCATCTCAAAATAAATAAATAAATAAATAAACAGGGTTTCATAGGGAAAACACTATGCTAAGTCATTCACAAACCTATTTCTAATAAACACAGATAGTGAACATGCATTAAAGAAGGCTATCTTAGATGAGCCACACCCTGCTAAACACATCGATTCTCAAAGATAATGCAAGGCTCATTCACTCATGGTAGACCTAACTGTTAAACTTAACATTTAAATATGTATCACAGAAGATGGTAGTACCTGAACCTCATGCTTCTAAATGGAATGCTTCACCAATGTAGCATTATTCTCAATCACTCATGCATCTGCCTCACTTCAGTACGGAGCAAATATGTATCAGTGAACAATGTGCCACGTGCGCTATACACGGCCAAACACAGTGGCTCATACAGTTAACACAAGGTGTGGTCAATCACTGACAGAATGGGAATGAGGAATGTGTCCCACTCTCTCAGCTGTTGTATTATATCATACAAGGTGCAGTGACTAAGTTCATTCATGAACCCAGCTCTCTTAAACACAGAAATTAAACACATATATGGGATACAGCACACAGTGTGATTTGTGTCTGCACCTCCCTCGTGCATGTTGTATATTTCATATAATGTAGGTACAAAATGTAACTTTGGTCTTCACCCGCATCAGCTATCATCTATCACAGGTTACATAGCGACATAATACAACTCAGTTCTGCATCACCCTCTGCTATCATATGGTATCATGTGTGACAATGTGACCCGAGGTGAATAATGACTATCCCCTCTCACCTGCTGTATGGTGTCATAAGTGACATTTGTGACTCACATACACTGTGAATCAGGCCCACAACCCTTCTGTCAGTTGTTGCATGATACTGTATGTGCCATAGTGACATAATGCAACTGAGGTCTGGGCTCCTTGATGTCATATAATATCATAAGTGACATGGTGTGAACAAGGCTGCCTCCCCCTCTTGGGTTATCATTGGCTATCATATAGGACATAGTGATACAAAGTGACAAGTGTGTGTCCCCCTCAAGTGTTATATATCACATGTGACATAGAGTAAGGTGAGCCTGAGTCCTTCTCTTGGTTGTCCTAGATTATTTTATTTTATTTTTTTGAGTTACAGTCTCACTCTGTCCCCAAGGCTGGAGTGCAGTGGTGTAATCTCAGCTCACTGCAACCTCTGCCTCCTGGGTTCAAGCAATTCTCCTGCCTCAGGCGCCTGAGCAGTGGGGACCACAGGCGTGCACCACCTCACCCAGCTAATTTTGTATTTTTAGTTACACAGTAACAAATGTGACTGAGGTCTACCTGCGCTCTCAGCTGATGCTGGCACCTTTATTGCCTAGGTGTTTAATGCTTCTCAGGTCTGCATCCTATCTCCCGTCACACACTCTCATATGCTATGTAGGATGAGGACACAGCTGACACACTTAGTCACTGCACCTTGTATGATATAATACAACAGCTGAGAGAGTGGGACACATTCTTCATTCCCATTCTGTCAGTGTAACATAGCATATAGCAGCTGAGAACGGGGTACATCCCTGACTCACATGATGTCACAATGTCACATATGATATCATAAGTCATCCAGTGGGCTAGGCACGGTGGCTGACACCTATAATCCCCACACTTTGAGCCTGCCAAAGTGCCTTTTAAGTGCCTTTCACATAAAGACTATGACACAGCTAAGCTATTCATGTACTAATAAATACCTGCCCTGAGCTGTGTGACCACGGACACCACCCTATAATGTGGCCAGTGTGTAGGAACTCTGCAGGCTCAGATCATTCCAGACATACATGCAGATGTTGGAACTCCCTTGCACAGTGACTCATGATCCCAAGGCTGAGTGCTGAGGGCAGGTCAGTAGTTCAGAGCCTCAGCATTGGGGCCGTATGCTTGGGTTCCCATCTTGGCTCCCACACTTTGGGAGCCCGAGGTGGGTAGATCGCTTGAGCTCAGGCATTCGAGACCAGCCTGGGCAACATGGTGAAACCCTGTTTCTACTAAAAATACAAAAATTTGCCAGGCGTGGTGGTGTGTGTCTGCATTCCCAGCTACTCAGGAGGCTGAGGTGGGAGGATGGCTTGAGCTGAGGAAGCAGAGGCTGCAGTGAACTGCCCTGCTGAGAGTGGAGCTCCTGCTCAGCTCCTAGGAAGGCAAGAGCCAGCAAGGCCACTGCCCAGGCCCCCGAGGGTTCTAGGGGGTCCCATCCCTGGGAAGGTGGAATCTGGGAGGTGAGGGGGACCTAGGACCCCATTGTGTGCACAGCTTGGGCTAAGGCATGAGATAAGACCAGGGTGACAGTACAGGAGTATCCAAGAACTGACTTCACCTAACTTCTGCATTTGACTTCCCATCCCCAATGTGGGTAGGGCCCTGCCCTCTGGCGATTGGAAAGAGGCGCAGGGTGCAAAGAAGTCCCCTCCTCTGACCTCCTGCAGGGCTCCATCTTGGCCTGGATCAGCAGGGGGGCCTGGGCAGGAGGGAGGCTGTGGTCTTGGGATGGGGTGGCAGTTCCAGGCCCACAGCGGGGCAAGAGACATCCTACACCTTCCTCCCATCCTTGCCCCGAAAGTCATGGGCGCTGGGGTTCAAGGTGCCCTCACTATTTGACCTTTCTTGCTGGTGGCTTTGGTGTGTCATTCTGGTCCCCAGCCTCTGTTTCCTGGACTGTAAGTGGGGATAATAATAGGTCACCCCTCCCCTGCAGGATTAACCTCAGCGATTGTTGCTGGCATCAGTGCAGCCCTGGGACCAGAGCACACCTGGGTGAGTTTGGAGCGCTCGCGCTCTTCCTGGTGGCCCTGCCTGGGCACCGACCCCTCCCATCCTCTCCTCAATAGCCACGCCCCTAGCCCAGCTAGCTAATGAATAAATATGTAGTAGCCAGGCCAGCATCCTGGCTCCGAGGTCTAGCCACTTTCTAGTCCTTCCTAGCTGCGGCTGCCACTGAGCCACGCACGCCCCTGGCATCATGCTCGCCTTGCAGTGCAGCTGGTGTGGTGCAGACTCTGAGAGTGAGCACCAGGACTCTTCCCGTCTGGTCTCCAATCTACCCTCTTGCCATGCTCCACCACCCCTTAGGTCTTGCCACTGGGAGTGGGGAGGGACTGGGGAGAGAAAATACTGGGGTAGGGGTGACAGGAGAGAAGGTTCTTCACTGGCCTCCCCTGGCCTAAGCCCCTGGCCTACTTCATTCTTGGACCCCAGTTGATGGGATGGGGCTTGGAGAGGACCCAGATAACTGGTCTCTCAGCTCAGCCTCCTGCCCACTGTCTCTATAGGTGCCTGGTGCTACGACTCCCAGGACCCCAAGTGTGGTGAGGACAGAGTGTCATGTGAGGCTGAGTGACATCAGTCTGTGTCCTGGGACCACCAGACACCATAATACATATTATGTAATATGTATGATACATATTACATAATAAATGACATATATAATATATGATATATATTACATATAATATATGACATATATTACATATATGTGACATATATTACATATAATATGTGACATACATTATATGTAATATATGATATATAATATATAGTATATGATATAAAATATATAATATATGATATATAAGATATATATTATATTACATATAATTATATTATATTATATATATTATATATATCATAATATATTATATAATATATAATGTATATCACAATATATTATATATTATATATAATATATATCATAATATATTATATATTATATATAATATGTCATAATATATTATATATTATATATAATATATAATAATATATTATATATTATATTATTATTATAAAATATATAATACTATATAATGTTATATATAATATAATATTATATAATAATATATAATATAATATTATATAATAATATATAATATATTAGATTATAATATATATTATACTATAACATATTGTATAACATATGATAATATAATATATATTATATATTATATTGTATAAAATATTATATTATATATAATATATAATATTTTATATAAAATAATATATAATATATAGTATAATATATTATATAAAATATTATGTAATATATATTATATATTATATATTATTATCTTGTATATATAATTATATAATTATATATAATTATATATATTATATTATATGTAATAATTATATATAAATATATATTATATCATATGTAATAATTATATATAATTATATATTATATTATATGTAATAATTATATATAATTTATGTATTATATTATATGTAATAAATACACATAAGTATATATATTTTATTATATATAATATTATATATAATTGTATATTATATTATATATAATAATTATAGATTATATTATATGTAATAATTATGTTTTATATTATTTTTAATATTAATTAATATTAATTAATAATAATTAATTTAAAGTATTAATTATTATTTTATATATTATATTATATATTATATTATTTTATATTATATATTATATTATACATAATATTATATATTATATTATATTATATATTATATTATATTATATTATAATATATAATATATTATAATATATTATTATATTATATTACATATTATATTATATATACGTATATATAATATATTATATTATATATACGTATATATAATATATTATATTATATATATTTATATATAATATAATATATTATATATGTTTATATATAATATATTATATTATATAGAATTATATAGAATTACATATTATATTATATAATTATATATATTCATATATATTATATTATATATAATAATACATATTATATTATACATAATATTATATATAATATAAGGATGCAGGATGTAAAAGGAAATTATGTATATGTTATATATATTATATATATTATATTGTATATAATTATATATATATATACTTGTGGGTGCCCTATTTCCCATCTCATAACTTATTTTAAGAAGCCAGCATAATAATGTGTGGGCTTGGGATTCAGTTTTTGAAAGAAAACACTGAGCCTTTGATGACCTTCCTGTACTTGTAAAAGCCCTCCTGTCTGCATGGCAGCAGTTGGACCTCACAGTGTGGATTGTGCCTTCACCCTGGAATGTTTATGCCCTATCGCCATGGTGATGGGATTAGGGATCTCCTGCCCTTGGTCCTAAGTGCCAGTATCTGTGCTGAGTTTTACAAAGGTCAGAGCAGATTGAACCATTGTGGTTTCATTTTCCCTGATTTTGATTTTTCTTATGGGGAACCTGTGTGGCTGCATTCAAGGTATGTTCATACTGGCCTGTCAAATGCGATCTTTTCAAATTACTAGTTAATGCTTTCAAAATGTGTTATTTAAAAAATTAGCCTCTGTATTTTCCATATGCAGTTATAAATATGTTTCATGATTATGTTTTATTCCTCAATTTATATATTTGATTATTGTACCAAGCAGAGTATCTTTGAAATTTTTCTTCATTTAAAAAATATGTATCTTGACTCAGGCCTGTAATCCCAGCACTTTGGGAGGCCAAGGCAAGAGGATCACAAGGAGAGGAGATCAAGACCATCCTGGCCAATACAGTGAAACCCTGTCTCTACTACAAATACAAAAAATTAGCCAGGCATGGTGGCAGCTGGTGTAGTCCCAGTGTGAATTGGGATTCAGTTTATTCCCAAATTCCCAAATTATATATATATATAAATATATATTTTATATAATATATATATATTATATTAAATATATTATATATATACTATATATTATATTATATATAATTATATATATATATTTGTGGGTGCCCTATTTCCCATCTCATAACTTATTTTAAGAAGCCAGCATAATAATGTGTGGGCTTGGGATTCACTTTTTGAAACAAAACACTGAGCCTTTGATGACCTTCCTGTACTTGTAAAAGCCCACCTGTCTGCATGGCAGCAGTTGGACCTCACAGTGTGGATTGTGCCTTCACCCTGGAATGTTTATGCCCTATCGCCATGGTGATGGGATTAGGGATCTCCTGCCCTTGGTCCTAAGTGCCACTATCTGTGCTGAGTTTTTCAAAGGTCAGAGCAGATTGAACCATTGAGGTTTCATTTTCCCTGATTTTGATTTTTCTTATGGGGAACCTGTGTGGCTGCATTCAAGGTATGTTCATACTGGCCTGTCAAATGCGATCTTTTCAAATTACTAGTTAATGCTTTCAAAATATGTTATTTAAAAAATTAGCCTCTGTATTTTCCATATGCAGTTATAAATATGTTTCATGATTATGTTTTATTCCTCAATTTATATATTTGATTATTGTACCAAGCAGAGTATCTTTCAAAATTTTCTTCATTTAAAAAATATGTATCTTGACTCAGGCCTATAATCCCAGCACTTTGGGAGGCCAAGGCAAGAGGATCACAAGGTGAGGAGATCAAGACCATCCTGGCCAATACAGTGAAACCCTGTCTCTACTACAAATACAAAAAATTAGCCAGGCATGGTGGCAGCTGGTGTAGTCCCAGTGTGAATTGGGATTCAGTTTATTCCCAAATTCCCAAATTATATATATATATTATATATATATATATAAAATATATATATATATAAAATATATATATAATGTATTTAATATATATATAATATATTAAATATATTATATATAATATATTGAATATATGATATATATGATATATATAATATATTATATATATTATATACAATATATATTATACATTATATAATTATATATTATGTATATTATATATAATATATAATATATAATTATATATTATATAATTATATATTATGTACATTATATATTATTTATATATATTATATATAATATATAATATATATAATAAATAATATATATATTATATATATCATATAATATATAATATATATAATATATATATAATTTCCTTTTACATCCTGCATCCTTCAACGTTCCATCCCCCACCCCACAGATTAAGTTATTCCCCAGGGGAGAATATGGCAGAGTCTATTTTAATGCAGTTTTTAACCCAATTAAGAACCTACGAAATCATTACTTTCCAAAACTTTGGAACAAAGCCGCAGTAGTATGGATCCGTTGGAGGCTTTTCACACAATAAAATGTACCTCTCTTTGTTTTTAACATGTTTCTCCCTTCCTCTCTTCTTTTTTTGTGAAATGTGTATTTACTTTATTTGTAGTAAGTCACTTCCATGCACATATTAATTTTTTAAAGTAATAAGTATGTGTATTGTCTACGTGTGAAATAAAACACACATTTATTTTTATGCTTTGGAAGTTATCCAGAATCATGGAATT